>NC_000007.14:92506779-92809809 GCF_000001405.40 Homo sapiens | reverse complement strand
GTTTCAGGGAACCTTTGGTTTCTTCATCATCAAAAATTTGCAGTCTTTCCTTTCTGTTTTTAATTAGTTAATGGTACTAGGTATGAACCATTATATTTCACACTGGATTAGATACTTTTTGTTCTTAAGATGGTCACAATCTAAGGAAGTAGCTTTGACCCTGGACTATAAATAAATATACCCTTACCTCTCAAGTAAGAGCAGTCCTGCTATAACTCATTTGGTCTTTTATTGTTTCTGTGCAACCTAATAAGTAGGGCAGGAGTGGAAGGAAATGGAGTTCAAACTTCAGTTGCACTGTTTGCAGCTTTGGTTTTAGGAAAGGCTTAGTGACCAGTAAGGCCAAGTAAGGGAAGGTAATTGTGGATCTGCCCCTTGGGTCCCTCATCACTTTCTGAATGGTCCAGAATAGGTCTACCATGAGTGAAACCAGATTGTCGTTGTCAATTAGTTTTATATTTAGGATCAGCCACAATTTTTAGACTCTAAAATTATTAACATTGAGCACATTTGGAGATGAAAATTTTCAGAAAACATTGAAAGTTCCAGGAAACCTTGAAACTTTTTAAGCCTGAGTTTTCCTGGGCTATTGAGAGTTTCTCCATGTTGACAGCCAATTTGTTTTACAATTTATGAAACAATTTAAAAACCATTTTATAGATTATCTAGATATATTTCTTTAGAAATATATCTTCATTATTAAAGGAAATCTTAAACCAGTGGTTTGCAGTGAAGGAAATAGCTATAGTATAGCAAAAATATGCCTATATTTAAAATACAAATATTTATTGTTAAATGTGTTTATGTGTTTTCATCTTTACAGAGGCCTCTAAATAGCCAGGATTTCTGGCCCTTTAACTGCTTCCAAATAAGCAAAAGTAAAAATTCCTACAGAAAACATAGCCCTGACCTTTTTGCACATGTAATCCAAACAAAAAGTTAGCTTTGAAATGGAGTCTTGTTACATAATCATACTGAAAATATGCAGTAATATGTATTCCTTTGAATATCTTTCATTCAGAAACATATTTTTGTTTATTTGACTATCCTCCCAGCTGAAAATGGGTTATGTTCTGGTTGTTCATCTAACCACCCTACCTCAAAATACTTGAGAAATCACATGAAGAATTTCATTCCAAAGCATACAATTTTCAGAAGGGCTCAGGACATTGGAAAATTGCACATTGGATTTAACTCCATTGATGATTTAAATAAATAGCAAATAATGCAAGAAGATAGATAAACAGAATATACAAACACAGTTTTTACTAGGCAGAATACCTGTCCAATTAATAGTGAATTATTTAAGCAGCATTTACTTTATAGAAGGCACTTTAAGTGAATCATTTGTTTCAGATCTGTCTGTAACATTTCTACCAAACTATTTGGCCGACTATACCTTATGGTATCAAGCATTCTAAATGTGAGAATACTGGCCAATATAGGCAAAAGCAAAGAAACCTCCCTCTTTTCTTGTGTGTTCTCTCAGATGCTGCTATAGAAATCTGAGAATTGGGAGCATATGCTTCAGACTGCAGGCTTCTGATGCTGCCCCGCAGCAACACAGTAACTGGCATTTTGGTTCACTTTGCATTTTACTCATCTGCTGATTTAATGAGTGTTCTGTGTATTGAGCAATAGCAGGAGTTCTACTTAACTATCACTAAACATAAAGAAGAAAAATACCATATGAGGTGTCTAGTTTTTTTTATTTTCTTTTTAATTTACAGGGGAGTCATCTGTTAACTTGCGTAATTGAGGAATAGAGCAGTCCAGTTAATAAGAAAGCTTAGTTATTAGAAAGTTGCCATCTCTTCTGAGTCCCCTTTTCAAAGGATTAGAATGTGATAAAATACACTTAACACTAAAACTCATAATTTAATCTTTGTTGAGCATTGAGAAGATACTTCAAGATATATCCTTTATTGTACCCTAATAAAATGGTAGTTATGATGAATGATGCCTATGCTTGCTACTAGAGAATTATAGTTAATAAAATTTTCGCTTGGTTATACCGTTTGACTGTTCATCATGATAGATAAGAGAAGGCCTTGTGTCATGTCCAATGGAAACACGAAGTCAATTGCTGAATTATGCTTGGTTAGGTATAAAATTTCACTTTTTAAATTTATTTATGGAGGGAAAGGTTGAGATAGTACTAGTGAAGGGCAAGCAGGAAGTTTAGGTGGAGAATAAAATAATGAGAAACCAGAAGAAAAATAATATGTATTTATATCTATACCTATTATATATATTGATATATATCTATATAGAGAGATGCAGAGTTAAATACATTTTATTTTTAGATAGATATAAACTTACATATAATTATGTAGATATATTTATAAGGAGATGTGTATCTATGTCTAGATAAAGAGATGTATATCTATCTATATCTAGATAGATATCTCTAGATACAGATATATAATCTAGATATCTAGATATAGATACAGAAATCTGGAGATATATACATCTCTCTATCTAGATATAGATATCTCTAGATATAGATATACATGTCTCCATATAGATATAGATCTACTTTCAGAAAGTAGATAGAGTAAAAGATGACCAAATTAGAAGAGATCAAATTAAGAAAACAAATGATTTCTTAAAGTTTTAAAAATATCATGGAAGGGTAAAAATTCATATGGCAAAAACTTCTGGATCTAGAGGCTCTCAAGATTAGGTAGAAAGAATAAATGAGGTTAAGGGGAACAGAGGACAGGTGGTGAACAAACCAAAAAGTTCAAGGGAGTGATACAGAATTAAAACTAGTTCAGCTCCAAAATTGGTATAAGCTACAACTTCAGTATGGCTTATCTTAAATTGTTGACCTCTTGCCCAAAACCTAAATAAATGTGTATTTGTTTGTCCTCTTCGTATTATGTCTCTTGTGGGAAACACAAAGTAAATTTTTCTTGCATTCATCTAGCTTATGGTCTTACGGTAGAAAAATATGGATAAAACAGTTGTTATCAAAATGAAGAAATGCAGTGAAGCGCAGGTAAAGGCTCACAGCCTTTCTGTCTAGTGCTCTGAATGTCAGAGTGAACAAAGGAGTTGTTATACTTGGCATGCTAACAAGAGAAGTCGGTCTGTTCCGCATGTTGCAAAATTTCTATTGGTTTTTATTGTTGGCATTAATATACACGATATCCTGTGCCCGTCATCTGGTTACACAGACATTTTTGTCATGTTATAACATGAACTGACTGCTTTAAATGTATAGGTAAGTGGTAATCAATTTACAAAATTAGGTTCTTCATTCCTCCCTGACATCCTCCACTCCTTCCCACCAGGGTCTGCCTCTTTGCATGTGGACACGTGCATATCCATTTTGCACTTTATTACATCGTTTTATAAAGATGCTAATAAAGTGATAAGTAGTGATAAAAGTAAAGGGATGGTGGGGGGAATCACTGACAAAACAAAAGATCACTTCA
This sequence comes from Homo sapiens, assembly GCF_000001405.40. Lineage (NCBI taxonomy): Eukaryota > Metazoa > Chordata > Mammalia > Primates > Hominidae > Homo > Homo sapiens. The sequence goes on along the minus strand of NC_000007.14, from coordinate 92,806,366 downwards.
GAATCTACAATTGTACATGTTTTAACGGGCGTCTTTGATAGTCCTGGATACAGGCTCAGAACACTTTACTGAATTTTGGGAGAGTTGGGAACATACTTCTATTTATATTCATAAGTATAGGAAGAAAAGCCCCAACTATCTAGGTTTATCTCACGTTGAGGATTAGAAGCTTCTGTAGACAGTGTATTTCAATCATGCTTTTTTCAAGAAGATAGATTTTTTAAAAACTTATTTTATTGTGGTAAATAAAGGTAATATACATAACATATGTGGTCAATAAACATAACATACAATTTACAGTTTTAATCATTTTTAAATGTATAATGCGGTGACATTAAGTACATTCACATTGTTGTGCAACCATCACTGCTATCTCCAGAACTTTTTCATCATCCCAAACTGAAATTTTGTACTCACTAAACAATGACTCTTCACTCCCCTTCCCCTACAAGAAGATACATTTTTAAATAACATTTTAAAATCAGAAGAGAACCGGTAGGTAGTTTATGCCATAGCCAGTAACCTTAGGGTTCAGATTGGAAATAATAGAGACCCACTGAAACTAGCTCAAGAAAGAGGGATTTTATTGTACGGGGGGAACAAGGTTCATGAGAATCATTACACTTCTGGTCTCCTGGAACAGGGGTTCTGGATACCAGGAGCCTCTGTGGAGTGCTTTAGGATAGTTCTTAAATCGTTTCGAAGTTTTACTAAGCCTTTTGAAGCCATGTAGGTGTTACTAGACCGGTATAAAACTGCATGCCAAGACTTCATGGTAGTTTTTTTTTGGTCATAACATCCTTTCCAATTTCAACTATAGCACATCATGATTACACTGAGGGAGTTTATGAAGAGTAGGTTTCATGGATGAACATTATCAGTCTTGACCATAGTGACATCTTGAGCTCACTCATTTTGGTGGGAAAATCATGCTTTCAGAGTGAAAAGTTGGAACAGCATGACGGAAAATGGATTTTTATTTTAAACCATTGAGAAGAAATGCTGTATGACTTTATGATGGCTAGGAGATACCTTACATATAATTACCTCACAAGCTGATGCTTTTACCAACTAACCCCCAAAGCAGCATCTCTTTGATCCTGAGTGACTTGAGCCAAGGGAAGTGGCAACGTGATGGTGGTGAAGGGTGTGGAGTGGGCAGATTACATGATTCAGTCTCCAACTCATCCCAAGTCTAGCCATGCCCCTCTTAGTATGCCTACTTTAAGGGCATAGGCTATGTGGCCAATTTTCCTTCATCGAGATTTCAAGCTCTTTGAATCAAGAGAGAAGGCAATATGTTTATTTAGAGGTTAAGAAATTATAGGCTTTCAGAGTTAATAGGTTATCTAATTTTTCTACTCATTCGTTCAGTCTTTGAACCTAGAATTATACAAACAGTACATGACCAGTATTTGTCCCCCAAGATCACATTACAGCAGTGGTCTTGAACCAGGGGTGAATTTGTTCCCCAGGGGATTTGACAGTCTTTGAACACATTTTGTTTATCACAACTGGGGCGGTAGAGTTTATAGATGTTACTAGTGCTGCGACTACTGCCACTAACATCTAATAGGTAGAGGTTATTGATGTTAAGTATCCTGCAATGCACAGGATGGCTCCCCACAACAAACAAATTTCAAAATGCTGATAGTCCTGAGATTCAGAGCTCTGCATTTCAAAAAGACACTAGTTAACAACAATTTGTAGAAGGCAAAAAATTATAAAGGTCTGCAGCATAAATTGGAAAAAACACATAAGTCCAACCATCTAGCATTAACAAGCTCACATTCATATAATTAGCACTCCTAATATTAGTATTTTTCATTACCATCAATAGGCAAGAAGAGGAAAACCAAGAGTAAGGATAGTCTTTTCCCACAATTGTTTGATTGGGAGCGAGGTGAGATGGCTGAAATGGACGGAGTTAAAGACAACTGGAAAATGTGAGATTTCCTTAAGAGTGTGGCTCAGAACTAGAATCCACGGTGAAGGTTGTTGAAATTGTTGTTGATTTGTTTTGGTTGGCTAAATTTGTGAATTAGTTGTATTTGGACCCTGCTAGGGAATCAGGGGTTTAAAAAAGGAAGCTAACTAGAATGAGGCCTAAGGAATGGGTTAGCTCAGTGACTGGTTCTTATAAGAGGGGATGCATACCCTCAAGTGAAAGGGTCTAGGTAATTCCAGGCAACCAAGACCTCAAATCAGAGCTCCCTCTAAATTATGAATGCATTGCCTCATCTCTGTTCTCAATTGTCCTAATGTATATGGTTGGTATATTATGTTTTATATTTTTCTTTTCATGCCTCCATTTATAAAATGTCACTAATCTATATGAGGTGATCAAATGAAACAAACCAGTGGAGAAGTGACTCTTAAGATTAATTAAGGTAGGTAATATTGAGATCTATGAATACGGTAGATGGCTTATATAGGTTGAGGCTTTACTTCTTTTTCTACTCATCCAGACTTGAACCTTGAAGATTAATTTATCCTACTTGTCATAGTTTGATATTAACCAAGTCTAATAGATTTTCCCTTTAAAACATTTCCTGGTGCCCATTTTTTCCCCCTTTTCATACTGTCCCGGGAGTCAATCAATATAAACCTGTATGAGTAACTTTTTTCTCTCTCTCGTTTGGGTTATGTTCCAGTTCATATGATGCCTTCTTCCCACATCACACATGTGCCCCAAAATGGTCTTGAATGTCTACCATCTCAAACCCAGACTTTTTGATTTGTGGTCCAAAGCTCTTCGTGATCTGTATCCGTCTTACATGTTCATGTCCCACACTGTCCTCTAAATGGGGACTCTGCCCTCATGGCTCTCAAACGGAGCCTGCTTGCTCTCTCCAACCAGCCTGGTTCATGTGGCTGCCCTCCATGGCTTACTTGCTCTTCTCCTTGTTACCTATGTGATATTCACTCATCTTCAAAGGTTGCACCTGGCTGTCATCAGCTCCATGGGAGCATTTCTGAAAACTTTAGTACTAACGTTCACTCCTCCCTTGTGAAGTTTATATCACCTGGTTTAGTGTTGTGTTATATCTTGTCCTACAGTGTCCTTAGTTATTCACATGTGCATGTCTTCTTTCCTCATCTATAGGGAAAGCTCCTTGTAAGCAAAACCTGTGACTTATTGAAGGTTCACATACTGCTAACCATATTGCAAGTACTTAATAAGTGCTTATTATGTGGTTGATTGTGCAAGATAGCCTATTTCTTTAAAAATGTCATTGAAATGATATGTACAAATACAGTATAATATTAGTTATTATACAAGAAGTACTTGAAAAGATTAATTACTGCCAGTCATCTTAATATTGGGTGTACATGGGAAGGGCATATTTGAAAAACTGTAAGAACGCAGAATGACGAATTGGCCCTCTATAGTAGTAGTTCTCAACTGAAGGCAGTTTTGCTCCTAGGGGACATTTGGCAACATTTCCAGATATTTTTGGTTGTCACAAATGGAGGGATATGATTAGTATTTAGTGAGTAGAGGTGAGGGAAGCTGCTAAACATTCTACAGTGCACAAGACAGTATCCCCATAACAGTGTTATCCAGCCTCAGATATCAATAGCTCCATGGTTGAGAAACCCTAATTTACAGCATTGAGTGGGCACCATCATTAACATACTTTACCACCTAAAGGAATGAAAGCATGCAAAAAGTAGTGCATTTTTATATAGAGGAAATGATCATATATTGTAAACTCCTAAACGGTGGGAACTGCAGCTGTGTACATAAAGCAGAACAGTCGGATAGTTTAAAAGACATGTGATAGCTGCTTGTACCGTAAACGAGCACTTTATGTCTTTGGCCTGGACTTTGAGAGGAGAGAATGATTGTTAAGTAGACAGAATTCTCTTAATACTGAATGCACATAGCCCATAATTTTAGAAAATTAGAGGCATTTGCTAACCCAGAAGGATGTATTGGAATTTCAGGTCAAATTTTTAATAAACTGGAATTCCTTTGCAAGGATTGATAGTTATATTAGAATATTGAATGAAATCTACCTCCTTCCATTTTTTCAAATATTTTAGAAGCTTCCTTGAAGAATACTTGATAGTTTTTAAGGTGTAAGAATAATATTATTTCCCTAAATAATGTGTACACATGGAAGCAGAGTGTAGAATGTTGGACAATGGAGACTCAGAGGTGGAGACTGGCAGAGTTCTGGATGGAGGGGTGGATGATCAGAGGTTGTTTGATGGGTGCAATGTAAGTTGCACCAGTGATGGATGCACTGAAGACCCTGACTTCACCACAATGCAGTATATCAGTGTAGCAAAATTGCGCTTGTTCCCCATGAATATATACAAATAAGAAAGTGAGGAAAGGAAGGAGGGAAGGGAGGGAGGGAGGGGAAGGAAAGGAGAAGGGAAGGGGAGAGAACGGGGGGGAGGGGAGGAGAGAAGAGGAGACGAAAAGAGAGGCGGGGTGGCGCAGCAGCTCACACCTGTAATCTCAGCACTTTTGGAAAGCTAAGGCGGGTGGATCACTTGTGGTCAGGAGCTTGAGACCAGTCTGGGCAACATGGCAAAACCCCATCTCTACCAAATGTACAAAAATTAGCCAGGCATGATGGCGCACGCCTGTGGGCCCAGCTACTCAGGAGGCTGAGGTGGGAGGATTGTTTGAGCCTGGGAGGTGGGGGTGACAGTGAACCGATATCACACCACTGCACTCCAAAAGAAAGAAAGAGAGAAAGAGAGAAGGGAGGGAAGAAGGAAGGAAGGAGGGAAAGAGAATATTCTTTCTCTCTTGAAATTAATTTTGGGAGGTGCTTATGTGGCCAAGAGTGGTATGGTGGAGGGAGCAGTTCAGAGAGATCCTGGGCAGGACACCTTAACCATTCCCTGCCTGTTTCCTCATTTTCAAAAAGAAGGGCTAAGGCTTGATGACCTCTAGCTTTAAAATTCTATGTCCCTGTAATTTCAGATAGAGAGAGAGAGAGAGCACGCATGTATGTACAGTTATTTAAGAAAGAAACTTTGAAGGCAATTTTTCCAGTTCATTTCTTAGAAATTTCAGAAATATTCCATTCTCTAAAAGCTTAATTCCAGTGTTTAAAGAAAGGAATTCCTGTTATAAATAAAAGTTGTTCTCTGCTCCCAATCAAAATAAAAAGAGTGAAATAAAATTTACAATTGATTCAAAAGTGTCGTTATTAGCTAATTTTGAAATTTTTATCTATTTTCTTTTGTTTATATTTAAATATAAATAAAATATTTTAATAATACTGACTTTTCTCACACAATTCATGTTAGAATTTCTTAGATGGTTCCACATCTGAGAAGTTTCTTGCTTGTAAAGGTAAAACAGATTTGGAAGCTTTATAATGATTTTTAATCCATCATTTCGGAAGTTACTGGATATTGGACAAAATGATAAAGTGTTATTTTCTGGATGGAAAATTAAGTAGAGCCTTGATACTCACCAGGCTGAGGATACATCCCAAGAAATGAGGCTTGCTTCTATGGTGTCTCTGTTCTTAGGTTTCCTCAGAGTCCATTCTAGAACTTGGATAATGAGATTGCCTGAATCGAAGATGTTTTTGGGATGGGCCCAGAGATGCAAAGGATATCCAGCTACATATTAGATCTTATTCCCAGAATTAATGTTGCTACAGGGAATAGCAGTACATGGCATAGAACATGTTCATAAATAGTGCCTTAGATGACTTTTGGTTTAACAGAGGTTAATTGAGCCCCCCCTGAATGCAAGGCACCTACTATAGGGACTACACAGTGGGTCAGATTGTGTATTCCTTAATCTCTGCTTTAAGTGAGTTTATAACCTAGTGGGGAGAGAGAAAGTGTGTGTGTACCTGTGCCAATTACTGTAATACAAAGAATAAAGCTATCGTGACCATTCAGAGATACAGACACAATTCTAGGCCAGTTCAGAAGACAAAATTAAGTTTAATTTGCAGGAGCAAGAAAATGAGGCTCCAAACAAGAGAAGAACGATGTGAAAAGAAACAGACACATCGTATACATGGAGATGAATGACATCACGTATGGCAGACGAACCTGAGGTGCTGAGTTAACCACAGTGTGAGGAGAAGAGGAGGAATGGAGATAATGCCCAATCGATAGGGTCAGAATCATAGCAGAGGGTAAAGCGGCCTGAAATGGAATCTAGAGACAGGTGAACTGGTTAGGAGATTGACCATTCCCTGGAGAGAGAAAAAATAATGGTGGCCTAAATTAGGGTAGTGCCCTTGAAATGAGAGGAAGGTTTGCATATGAGAGATAGTTAAGTCCTAGAATTGGCCAATGTGGGTAGCTAGTTAGATGTGTAGGTGAACAGAGCTGTAGGGTCAACAAGATGAATTATGGTTTTATGCTTGAGTGAGAGGATAGTGATGGTGATGTCACTGTTAGAAATAGCATTCACAGCAGAAGGAGCAGGTTTGGAGGGACAATGATGAACTCAGTTTTGAACATGTTGAGTTACATGTGTTTTCAGGAAATAGCCAAGGCAGAGTTATAGTCAAAGTTCAGGAAATTGAGAGCTCCATCCAGATAGGAATCCGGAAAACCTGTGGCATTCTTAAAGGAGATGTATAGAAATCTTTTTTGAGCCCCACATTTGGAATATCACTTTTGCATATAATTTGTCCCACAATAAGGAGAAAATCACGAATGCCCCAGTGTGGTTACTGAGCACATGACTAGGCTGTCACCAGCTAAGTGACTTGTTCACCCATGCCAACCTTCACAGCACAGGCGGTTCAAAATTGCCTCTGACACAGTTGCTGTCTGTAGTAGATCTTCAGGGTCACTGGCAAATAGGACCCTGTATATTAAATAGATGAATGAGCAAGAAATCCTGTATTTTAAGTGAAAAAAAAAAAGACTATGGAAACTTGAGACTCTGCATTTAGGATTGAAGGAGAAAAAAGGGGGCAGAGAGAAAAGCAGACACAAGAGAAGTAGAGGGAGAAGTAAAAGAAAACTCTCAGGGAAGCCATGGGAGGGGAGAGTTTCGGGGAGGAGTAGGCATCTCATTCTGGTATCTGAGGTGCGTCCAAGAGGTGGAAGAGCCTAAAGACTGCATCCAGTAGTGGGGAATTACTGCTATCCATTTGAGAGACAGATCTCGCTGGAAGAGAAAGAGGGGAAACCTGGTAATAGATAACTAAGGAGTGAGAAAGTGTAGCACAAAGTGTAGAAACTGTAGCACAAAGTGTAGACTGTCATTCAGTAAATTGGGGGACATGGAATGTGGCTGGCAGAATGACAATCTGATAGAGATAGGCACAGTTAAACATTTTTGTTGTTATGAGGAAATAGGGAAGTGTATTAGAAGGAGCCAGGAGGGGAACACTTAAAGGGGAATTGAATGAAAGGGAATAAAAGCTGATGAATTGCAGATTTAGCATATTGTGGAGAGGCACAGTTCAGGAGGAATAGGGTTCGTCTTGAAGAGGAGGACACTTTCCTGTGAATCATGAGGGACAGAAGATCCATATAGAAGAAGACAATAGCTTTGATCTTCTATTACAAGAAAAGGACATTTGTGTGAAGCAGGGAGGAATTGGGAGCCCTAAGTAAAGGCTGAGGAAGTGTCTGGAGTTAGGAAGAGAGGGCAGGAGAAGGAAGAGCTAGATGTTGAAGAGGAGGAAGCAGAGGGATTGGCTGTCCTAAGAGGGACCCAAGCCTGTGGAAGACTTTAAAGTGGTCAGCACACTTGGGTTCCCTTAGCAACAGAGAGACTCTCCCTCATTCATCAATAAGAGTGGATTTATTCACTGATATGTAGACATTAAAAAATTGTTAGGGTGACATTTTATAAAAAGTAAGAACTCTCTTATATAGCAGATCTATAAAAATTAGTGTGCTAACTGGGCTTAGCAAAAGTTGGGCAAATCCTTCCTAAAACACAGTTAATATTTGTTGAATTCCTTTTTCATCAAAATGTTAACTTAGAGTTGAAATGCAAAAGAAGAGATTTGATAAAGCATTTTGACATTTGGCATTTTAAAGTAATTTCATTAGATCATCAAGCTATGAATTATTAAACATTATTCTACTGTAAACAGTTTTTTTCCATTATCTTTCTTTGAATTAGAAACAAGTTGCATGCCATTTGCCTAGAAGAAGATAAATGTATTATGCACTAAAATATACAAAGATTTTGGCACTGTTTTTTTTCTGCTTTTTATTCATTAATGCCTTTGTTTAGTCTTACATCAGATGAATTGGACAAATTTGGGCTTTGTATGGCTAAAGCCAGGAACAAAATTCTCTAACAGTGTTGACAAAATTCACTTGAAAAGTCAAGTCATCATTCAGGACGAGTCATTTTCAATTTAATTTCCACCCTAGCACACTTGAGAAAAGTAGAGTCATCTGTTATAGTGGCTCCCAGGATAGTGATTCCAGTAACTTCCAGAGGGGACAGTTTTGCTCACTGGAGCACCTCCAGTGTTAACACATCGAAGGTGTCCAAGATCCCGTTGTTGTCTGGCTGATTTTCCGTGGAGAGTGAGGAGGTGTTTGACAAGGCCCTGCAGGGGATTTCCCATCCCATGAGGCAATTCATAACCAAAACAATTCAGTATAAACCAAACTAACAATTAGCCTTTTCAAAAGTGCTCATCTGTGCTGCCCAAAGAGTTGATTTCTTTAGAAGTTCTTCTAACAAACCAGGGTAGTCCTGATCTTTATTCTTATAGGTTAAAAGTTGTAGGAGTTAAAGTCAAAATGCAGAAACATTATGCTACAGTGTGAAGAAAAGGTATGTCTGAGGGCCAGGGCCTTTTTAAGAGGCAGTCAGAACAATGGCTGGCTGCCCAAACATAGGGAGCCAATTCTGTGATGTGGTTGCCATGTTCCAGTATCCACCTGGCACTAAATGCCTAGAAGCCCAATTTCATTAGTATATATAGAGGGTTTGGGAGTCCAAGGTTGACAGACTCATCCCGACCTCACAAGAAAACTGAGGTTTGAACAAAAATGTTAATGCATTCTTTTCCAGTAAAAACTGTACATGTCAAGTATGCTTGCATCTGCCAGCCAAATCATTGTCTCCCTTGCATGCTTGTCTGTGGGAAAGCCAGGTTATAGTAGGATACTTGCATTGTGGACATGGAACCTGGAGAGGGGAGTTAGCTGATGAGATTAATGTCTGATAGCCTCAAGCTCTGGTGCCAGTTGCATCCATTTTGGCTGTAGGAGAGGAAGTTTCATTCACAAACTCTCACCTATGACAGGGTTGAGCCATGCTGCCAGTTGTGTCTTTCCAGAGTTTGCTTTTCTATAGATAACATACATACTTTTTGTAAAAGTACCGTTTAGTTGTCATCACAGCCTAGTCTGTTCGATGTGGGGTGGTCATAGTCTCTTGGGCCTTTTCTATTGGTAGATCATCCTCATCCCCACATTTTGGTTTTCCCTATTTCCATCTTAGAGTTTGTCCATCAGTTCAGTTCAGGGGATACCATGTTACCTGTCTCATGTCCTGCTTATGGATACTTTTCTGTCTGTTCATTGATATAACTTCTCTGACTAAAAGCTAACCTCCTGGAGATAAATTTTTGGCACATGACTTGATAGTGGTATTTAAAAAAAAGTTTAACTGGTATAAGTGGAATATTTTAAAGTGCCCTGTTTATTTACCTCTATGATTAAACAGTTACTAAAATATAAATTATAGACTTTGAGGGTTTTTTTTGAATTTTGATACAGAGATCATTTTCTTTTGAATAAAAAATAATGTGTTTACAGTTAAGGGGAAAATATCCTACTCTTACCAACTCAGTTTTCCCTTTCAATTGTAAAAGGGAAATAGACTGTATATCTTTACAATGTAGAAAAGAGATGTGGAATATCCAAGACTGAAGAAACAATGTTTAGGATAAATAAACAATATTTATGCACGTAGCAACTTATAAAATATTATTTTCTCTCAAATTATTCTATGAGAATGATTTAAAAGACTAAGAGTCTGTCTAAACTATCTGGTTTGTTATCATTTTTGTATCTTGAAACAAGTCAGTAAAAACTATGATCTCATAGAGCTACTTGTTATCTGCTAATTTGTCAATTTTGCTTTTTCTTTTACTTGAAACAAAGAAATGCAAACCAAGAAGGTAGTGATTAAATATCCATATGTCTATAACTTTTAAAAAATTGTATAAATATATATTTATTCCTAGGGTTATATTTTTCAAAAAATCTGTTGCTCATTACAGAAAAAAAAACTGATACATGCATGCTAAGTGAAATTTTTTTTTTGGATGAGTTTTTTTTTTTTTTTCTCCAAGTTAATTTCAGCTGCTGGTGGTGTTACCTTTGTCCTCCATTTAGGTAGCATTGCTCTGTGTTTACAACTTTCCATCTTAGTTTCAGTGGATATTCTTCAGAGAGTGACCTTATGCTCAAATAACACTTAAATGTAGGACAAGAAGGTGGCTTTAGTAGAATGACCTCCTAGTAACAGCTAAGAAACACTAGTAAATGACATTAACAGAGATGTACTTAATAGGCTAATGCTTAGATCAAACCTTTGTATAAACTAATTCAAAATGCATAATGTAAAAATCTATAAAATTCTGACACAAGAAAAACTGGTTAAATTAAACTATCTGGATATTAAAATCTTTGAAGGACATTTAAACACAGATAGGCTTATTGATTTAGACTTGGAAGATTTAGACTTGGAAGAAATAGCACGACTGAATGTGTGCTGTGGCACAGTTAGTTCTCTTCTATTGTTTTAATGATGCCCTTAATCCATACTGGGACAGGGCTTATCTAGGATGTGATTTAAGGTATGAAGTTACTTCTTTCAGGAAGTTTTCTTTTTTGTGATTCCTTGGAAATTTCTCAAAATGTTGGAAGAGTGAAACACATTGTCATTGTAACACATTTTGTGACCTAGTTTTGGTCTGAGTATACTTTTTTACTAGCAAGATACCCAGAGGATTTAGACTTTACTCTGACAGCTAAATGAACTCAAATGTATACTGAATGTAAATTGCTTTGAAGGCTGTGGATCACAAGTTAATAGATTCTGGACCTTGTTTTCCCTTTCATGAGCCAAACATTCCTTGGATTTAAGGGTAGGTTTAAATTAAAGTGTAGCAAATTGCTTCCCTCTTTGGAAATAAGCAAAATCACCCTTCTGATAATAAAATATTTCTTGAACATGTCAAGACAGTTACTGAGGAAAGAAAGCATGAGGGGAAAAACGACAATAACTTTTCAGAGACTTGCTCTTTAGGAAATGGAATATGTTTAGTAAAAGGATAATTGCCTTATCCCATGTGACTTGAAAATAATGAGACAAAGAGAAAATGAAAACACTCCATACAAGAACTTATATGACCAAATAAATCTGGTCCCATGGGAAGCAGTCCAGTTTTTCTAGCCCTACTTTAATTGAGCAAAACATTTTCAGACTCTTTTGGAATTATCTTCAGAATCGTTTTATGGGCCAAAGAATCAACATCTTTATTATCACACCTCTTTTTGGACCCAAAAGAATATTACTCAGCCTGATCCCCCACTTAATTTATCAGACTTGGTTCAGGCTTCTTCCAAAAATACAGTACACTCTCTTATAGGACAACTGAATATTTTTCTTAATTCATATTATATATCCATTCAGCAATCATGGCTGAGCACCCCCAATGAGTCAGGTATGTTGTGGTAGCACAGAGGAGTCCTGGCTGTGGGAGAGGGAGGGTGGAAGGGGAGACAGTAAGGATATGGAGAATGTGTGAGCATAATCTTTGAAGATCAGTAGGGACGTCACCAGATGGACAGAGAAAAAGAGAGCTTTCTAGGCAGCAGTAACAGCTGGTGTTGAGGCACAGCACAAAAATCACGCACATTCTAGCAACTGTAAGTATTTTTAGGATCCAATAAAAGATGAGGATGGAGTGGCGAGTGGGGCAAGATCACGAGTGACCTAATAAGCCATGGGATGGGGTATGCAGTGTTTAAGAGTGAGGGTTCTCTTGCTTGGTTTTCTGAGTACAAATCCTGGCTCTCTCATTTACAGTCTTTAGGATGCTGGGCAATTTACTAAACTTCTATACCTTAATTCTTCTCATCTGTGAAAGAGATGATGGTACCTGTATTATAGGGTAAAGAGATTTAAATACATAAAACAAAATTATTAGCATTGTGTCTGACACACAGTAAGCACTCAGTAAGTGTTAGCTATTTCTTCTGCTACTTTGTCCAGTGGATAAAAGACAATAGAAGGATTTTAAAGAGCAGAACACACTTCTTTATCTTATATACACCATTGACCACTTCTTTCTTCTTGAAACTGACTCTTGCCTTGATTTTTTTAAACAGCTCTATTGAGACATACTTGACATGCAAAGCAATTCACCCATTTAAAGCGCTTGATTCAGTGTTTTTACTATATTTACAGGGTTGTGCAACCATTGTTAAACAGTCTGATTTTAGAACCTTTTCATTCTCCCTCAAAGAAACCCCATACCCATTAGCAGCCATTCCCCACTTTTCCCCAACCCCCACACCCCTGGCCTTAGGCAGCCACTAATCTACTTTCTGTTTCTGTAGATTTGCCTACTCTGGCCATTTCTTACAAATGAATGAACATTTTTAATTTTGATGAATCTGTAGTGATCTGTTCTTTCTAATATTGCTTATGTTTTTGGTGTTATAATTAAGATATTGCCTAACCCAGGGTCACAAAGATTTACTGCTATGTTTTTTTCTAAGAGTTTTATAGTTTTAGCTCTTACATTTAGGTTTGTGATCCATTTTAAGTTAATTTCTGTGTATATTGTGAGGTTAGGATCCAATTTCATTCTTTTGCATGTAGGTATCCAGTTATCCCAGCATCATTTGTTGAAAAGATTATTCTTTCCTGAGTGAATGGTCTTGGCACATTTGTTGAAAATTCATTTAGCATAAACATGAAAGTTAATTTCTGCACTCTAAATTATATTTCATTGATCTGTTTGTTTATCTTTATGCCAGTACCATACTGTCTTAGGTACTACAGCTCATGGTAAGTTTTGAAATTGAGAAGTGCGAGTCTTCGAACATTGTTTTTCTTTTTCAAGATTGTTTTTTGCTATTCTGGGTTCCTTGCATTATCATATGAAGTCTAGGATCAGCTTGTCAATTTTTACTAAAAAGCCAGCTGGGATTTTGATGTGGATTGCATTGAAGCTCTAGATCAATTTGGGGAGTATTGCCTCTTAACAATATCAAGTCTTCCTGATCCATGAATACGGATGTCCTTCCATTTATTTAGCTCTTTTATTTCTTGCAATATTGTTTTGTAGTTTTCACTGTACAGAGAACTCTTGTTAAATTTATACGTATTTTGTTGCTTTTGATGATGCCATACATTGAATTTTTTTTAATTCCCTTGATGTTTTATGATATCATTTTCTTCATCTATTTTCTTGCTCACCTCTCTGATTCATCTAGGGATGCTATTCTGCTTGTTTTATGTTTTGCCTCCAAGATTCCGTCTCATCTGGAGGCTGATAACTTCCCAAACTATTGCTTGACTTGTGTCTGGAGCTCTGAGAAGTATATGTTTACAGTTGTTTATTGGACTTTACCACCTGAATGTCACAGACATCTCAAATTAATCTTTTCCAGACTGAGCTCATTAATTACTTCACTCATCTTATTTTCATCTCTTCTTATGGCCTTTGGAAATAGTACTATCATCTACCTTGTCTAAACCAAAACGTGAAACTCATTTCAAACTTCTCTTTCAACTTGTACATTCTGGTAGGTTACCAGATCTTCTGGATTCCACCTCCTAGATATCACTATGGGAGTATAAATTGGTACAATCTTCTGTCAGGTGGTTTGGATCAAGAACTTTCAAAAAATATATATATTTTGATTCAGAAAAAGTGTATATCATTTTATTTTTAAAATGCCACTTCTAGGAATTTATCATAAGATAATAATGAGCCAATGTTACAAGAACAGGGAAATGGTCTAATAAATTACATATAGAATATAATTTAGTGCAACCTAAAAATGGAGATAGATTTGTGAAAGTGGTTGGTACACTTAAACTTTTTTAATTGCAAAACATGATTCAACTTTGTTTAACAACAGTAGAAAATAAGTTCTAAGAGAGCAGGGATCTTGCCTGATGATCCTGATAGACAGCTGAAGAGTATAATGTGCTCAGTCAATATTTGTTAGTTGTATTGGTCTCTCTCTGCTGCTACTATTTCTGTAACCAATCTGTCTATATTTTTTACCTGGGCTTTTGCAGACACTTCCTACTTGTTTTCCTCACCTCCAATTTTATTCTCCTATAATCCAACTTCCATTCTGCAACCAGAGTAGTATTTCCAAGTGACACATCCTACCATAGCATTGTTCATTGTAAAAGTCCTTTGCTTTTTTCCCAGTGCCCATAAGATAATTTCCAGACTTCTTAGCCTGGATTACTAAACTCTCATAATTTCACTTCTGTGTACTTTTCCAGCTCTTCTCTTGCCATTTTCCAAGATAATCACCAAATCATGCCAGACTATCCGCAATTCCCCAAATATGAATTTTTCTGTGTACCTACATACCTTTGGACATGCTGTTCCTTCTGCCAGGACCATGCCAAACTTCCTTTGTTTATCTGGCAAATTCCAGACTGTCCTATGAGACTCAGCTCCCCAGCCACTTCCCCTCGAGGTATGTTGAATGCCTCTTCTTCAGGGCCTCCAACACCATTTGAACTTTTTTACAATTCTTAATATATATACATTCCTCTAGGGCTGGAGAGTTAGCCAGGGCAAGCCTGTCTATTCCTTTGACTTCAACTCATCATCTTACTGCTGCACTGACTTCTCCTATATTCTACCTCAGGGCTTTGCAGTGTTGGTCTGAGGCCTGGTACCAATTTTCCATCATCTGTGATGCAATTAGAAAAATAGGGCCCTGTGGTAAATTTTTCAGAAAGCTAAATCTATTCACATTTGGGATATTAAAATATGCTTTATTTATGAAGTGATATTGATAGTAGATAGTAGAGTATATTAATGTCTTTAGTTGGCAATGTTCTGTCAGAGCTGTAAAGTTGTTGGAAAGTTTCCAGGCCTCTGAAAACCAAAGATCTGGGAACACTGCTGTATCTCATGAGGGTGGCACCAAGTCCCCAAAGTCAAAAGCATGTGAGTCATCCTTGGCTTCTCCTTCCCCATCCCTCCACCCCCGCCACATTTAGACACTTAGCAAGTCCTGCCAACTCAACCTCCTAAATATTTCTGGAATCTGTACTCTCCTCTCCATCCTTGCTGCCAATTCCTTAGAACAGGCCTTCTTTACTTTCCCTGTACTACTGCAGCAACAGTCTCCTTACAGGTGGTCTTACCACACTTCCCCTTACCCATGTCATCAGATTGGGCTCTTTGAAAACCATAAAAAATAGTTGCCCACTTTCCAGAGGAACAAAGTTCTTTGTAGCATACAAAGTTTCTCTCCAATGGGGCTTCTTGCGGTGCTCCTGCTCACACTTTCTTTGGTTTCAAGTGCCCTTTCTTTGCCACTTGCTTGGGTAACTCTTGATACTCTGACAGTTAAATTGTCATTTCTTCTACAAAGTTTTCCTCCACATATGGATGGGTTGCTTCTTTTATCATTTCTTAAAATTCCATAGGTATATACATAAGAGACAGAAAGATGTATGTGTATGTGTGTGTGCGGATTTGAATAAGTATATGTGTATACACTTATGTGTATCTGTGTATACCGCAGACATACATACCTCAGCATTTACAGAATAGTTGATACTTTGTCTACTTTTCCCACTAGACTCTGAATAACTTAAGAAATTTTATTTTACCCTTTGATTTTTCTATACCTAGCATCTAATCTAATGCTTAGAAAATAACAAATATTTAATAAACGTTTGCTGGTTAAATGCATTTGTTCAATGCTATCGATCAGATTTTTACTGTGGAAGGCTCACTGACCAGAGTAGGGGATGAGTACAAAGAGTCTCAGGGCATTTGGGAAACAGGATAAAGGCCCTTTGTAGAAAACTGGCCAAGGGTGTTGAGTGCCTGAGCTCAGGGAAGTGGCAGTGGATGGAAAAATATTTAGGTGGTGGAATTGGTGGTTGATTGAACATGTGGGGAAATGAAACAATCTACGATTATTTGAAGGCTTCTGGGTTTAGAAAATTATTTGGATGGGGGTGTGATTCACCAAGGGGAATGAACTGTGTTCTAGACATTTTGAAATTGAGATGTTCAGAGTATTGGTTGAAGTTGTCCAAGAGATAACTGGGTATGGAGTTTGGAGAAAGTACTATTTTGGAGAGAGAAGTTGGAGATTTACCAACCTCTAGGTACTCTTTGAAGCTGTGACCATAAAGGAGATAACTGTCATCTGTTGCTGATTAGATTGTCATAGTGGTGGTGGTACATTGGGGAAGAAGAGAATAGGTCCAGGAGATCTTGATATTGAAGGTCCAGATCAAGAAGGAGAGAGGCCTGTGAAGGTTTCTAATTTAAATCTTGGTTCTGCCTCTTGTCTCTGTTCTATGATGCTTGAACAAATTATTCTATGAATCTTAGCTTCTTCATCTGTAAAATGAGAGTAATAGTATATACTTTATAAGGATATTGAAAGGATTCAATAAGTTTCCATATATTAAATCCCTGCCACAGTCCCAGGCTCACTGTAGGGGCTCTTAAGTGGTAAATTCAAGAAAATGTTCCTCAAGATATGAGCAGTTTCAAAACAAAGAATTTTTTAATGGTTACCCCAGAGATTACAATTAACATCTTCAACTTATAACAATCCAGTTTGAGTTGATACTATTTCAGCTTTAATAGTATATAAAACTTTTTTCTGTACAGTTCTGTCCTTTCTCCTTCATGTTGTTATTGTCACAAATTACATGTTCATACGTTGTGTGGCCATTAACGTAGACTTATAATTACTGTCCTATGCATTTGTTTTTTAAATCATATTTTAAAAGTTACAAACCACTTACCTATGTAGTTAGTTACCTTTGCCAGTGTTCTTTGTTTCTTCATATGGCTCCATGTTACTGTCTAATGTTCTTTTATTTCAGCCTGAAGGACTCCCTTTAGCATTTCCTGTAGGGCAGATCTATTGGCAAAAAACTCCCTCAGCTTTTGTTTATCTGAGAATGTCTTAATTTTGCCTTCATCTTTGAAGGATGGTTCTGCCAGATATAGAATTCTTGGTTAACAGATTTCTTTTTTCTTCCAGCACTTCTTTATTTATTTATTAGAAACAGAGTGTCACTCTTACATCCAGGCTAGAGTGCAGTGGTGCAGTCATAGTTCACTGTAGCCTCAAACTTCTGGGCTCAAATGATCTTTCTGTCTCAGCCTCCTGAGTAGCTAGGACTACAAGCATGTGCCACCACGACCAGTTAATTTAAAAAAAAAAAATCTTTTGTAGAGATGAGGGGGTTCTTTGTGTTACCCAGGCAGGTCTCAAACTCCTAGATTCAAGTGGTCCTCTTGCCTAGGCCTCCCAAAGTGTTGAGATTACATGCATGAGCCACCATGCCTGGCTGCTTCCAGCACTTCCAAATTGCCATCCCACTGCCTTCTGCCCTCCATAGTTTCTGATGAGAAGTAGTTGTTCATCTTATTGCAGATCCCTTGTGTGTGATGAGTTGCTTCTCTCTTGCTGCTTTCAAGATTCTCTCTTTGTCTTTGGTTTTCATAGTTTAATTACAATGTGCCTCATTGTGGATCTTTTGGTCTCATCTGCATGTACTTAGTAAACACTCAAATAAGTGATCATAATAATGGTGCAGAATTAAATGATTATAATTTAATGGTAACAGTAATGACCATGAATCATCTACCAGTTAAACATAATATTGTGCTTAAAAAGTCAAGAAAATGTTCAATGCATGTTACCAAGAATTCCACTAAAACTTTAATTTTAAAAAATAGTTTAGGGAATTAAGATGGGTAAGAATCAATTATCTAAAATATTCACTTACATGGGACAACCAGATGACTAACAGATTATTAGTATATGAGGTGTTCCTGTGGTTCTTTGCAAAAGAAAACGTCTGCCTTGAAATAGATAAACTTGCAGTTACATTTACAAATTATCTCCCACAGTTTTCATTACCGTTAACACCATGAAACATTTTCCTTATTATCTGAGATACTTCTAGAACAAAGATCAAACTCTAAAATAAAATGGACTTATAGAAATATAGCAAATCATAATTTAATTTTTATAAGTGTTTGCACCTGAACAAAACAACCCAATTTTAGATCCTTAAGTTTAGAAGTTGGTAGAAATACCAGTTTTTCCAGCTTCTCCAACTGCAGTGTGTTTTCTAATATTTTAATATAGTTTGCCATTGGTGATCTTAGAATATATTTCTAGCATTTTTCTTAGTTCTCAACACAATAATTCCCAGAAATTTTGCTCTAATAGATCTAATTTAAAAATATAAGATGTTATATTTTAATTTTTATAAGGATCTTTATTTTTGACCAAGCTTTATTTTGGTTGCTTGCACCTTGTTACGTTACAAAGGGTACTGAATTCTACCATGTAGGATTTTTTTTCTTGGTTTATTTAAGAAACATTAGAGTAATCTGAAGACTTTGTGAGCCATCGTTGTTTCTCTTTTGTTTCGTGGTAGTCTGTTACTTTGACCTTTTTCACCAAGTATCAGAAAAATAATTTTTTCTCATATTCTTTTTTGTAGAGTCACTCCATATTGGGAGGGGATTGAAAAGCACATACTTTAATGCGGCAGTAATGCATACATATTATTTTTTCTCTTAGAACAATATTTTAAGATTTGTAGAGATTTCAGGAATCTAAGAGAACAAAACATAAACAAAAAATTTATATTCTAAGTGGACAAACATAAACAATTCTAAATACAAAAGAATTTATGTTTTTACATGTTTGATTTTTAAAACTGCATTTCAGGATTGATGATTAGGATTTCCTCATTAATTCAGAGGAACAGATTGAAGAAAAGTACGTGAGTGGTAGGAGAAAAAAATCTGAATTGAAAAATAGGCTTTTATGATTCTTATTTTTTAAATAATTTTTTTAATTAAAAATTAATAGGTTCTCACAGTAGAAAGTTTAGATGAGCAAATAGCAGAAAACAACCATTCCAAAATCTTATCACCCAGAAATAGCCACTGGCTACATTTTTTTTTTTTTTTTTTTTTTTTGTGATGGAGTCTCACTTACTCTGTTGCCCAGGTTGGAGTGTGGTGGCACAACCTCTGCTCACGGCAACCTCCGCCTCCCAGGTTCAAGTGATTCTCCTGCCTCAGCCTCCTGAGTAGCTGAGATTACAGACATGCGCCACCACACCCAGCTAATTTTTGTATTTTTTGTGGAGAGTGTTTCACCATGTTGGCCAGGCTGATCTCGAACTCCTGACCTCAAGTGATCCACCCCCCTCAGCCTCCCAGAGTGCTGGGATTACAGGGGTGAGCCACTGCACCCAGCCACATCTTGATTTATCTTTCTACCATTATGTTTACATATGTGGAATCATACTGTACACACTCTTTTGAAACTTGCATTTTTAAAAATAATATATTGTGAATGTCTTTCCATTTTCAATAAAGATGTATCAGTACCATTATTTTAAGAGCCACATTATATATATATACATATACATTATATATCATATATAATGTGTATGTGTGTGTATATATACAATATATATACACACACAGAGCCAGATTATTTATATATATATATATATATATGTATACACACACACACACACACAGAGCCAGATTATTCTTCAGAAAGGTTTTTATCAGTTTGTATTCCCACAGTGATGTGGGCTCATTTTCATAAACAAGTGTTGTGCAGTTTTGTCATTAAACAAGTTTGTTTTTAACCCAGTTTGAAAGGTTTAGTGTTTCACTGAGGTTTTCATTTGTGTTGCTTTAAGTTACTAAGGTTTAACATTTTCTTCTATGTTTATGATCAAAAGTTTCCTTAAAAGGAACTAACTTCAGTGATTGTTTTATTAGATCAGTACCTAATCATAAGTACCTGAGTGAATTAGTGCTGGGATGAATTTACTCACCTATTAAGGATGTGATTATGAAAGGTTTTTGGCTTACAGTGTAGGTAAAGCTTGGTTGGCTTTCTTCTAAGACACAGCAGACAGTCTTCATTACAGGCGGCTGCCTAGTTTTGGCTGCTTAGTCATTTTTCCTCAAGAGAGGCCCAAAGCTGGAGAACAGGGCTTTCACAGGTCAGAAATGGACAGAGAACTAAATGTTGAAAGTTGTCCAGAATGTTCCACACTCTATCTGACTTAAGCCAGAGCTGTTCGCTTTGCTTTTAAAAATACACTTAACTCACTTATTTCTGAGATCAGAATCTCTTTTTCAAGCTCTGTCGGGTGAATTGAAGTGTGCCTTTTTTCTAACTAGTCAAGGGAAAAATGTAAGAGGGTTTGGGATATCAGCAGTCTTCGCTTTTTAACATTTTTCCTGTGAATTTTCTGAACTTCTTTTTTTCAGCCCACCATGTAAAGTATGTATTGGGATCTTTTAATTTACCAAAAACATTTTGGCTTTGGCATTCCCACAATGCCTGTCAGCAGGGTATCTCATTTGTCACAAAGTCTCCCCATCACTGACCTCTGCTTCACTGCAGCTCCAAATGGTGTGCTGCATTCAGAGGCAGAATAACAGAGTGGTTAGAAAATCAGATTCTGGAGCCAGACAGTCTGATTTCAAAGCCCATCTCCACTACTTACTGTCTTTGTACTTTAGGCAAAGTATTAAACCTCTCTACCACTGTTGCTGTCCATTTTTTGTTTTTAAACAGCTTTATTGAGATGTAATTTACATACCATAAAATGCACCTGTGTAAGACTTCAGGTCAGTATACTTACTGAGTTGCACAGCTATCACCATGATCTAAATTTAGGAAATTTTCATCACTCCAAGAAGAAACCCAGTACACATTATCAGTCCCCATTCCTCCACACTCTCCCACTGCTCATTGTCCCAGGCAACCACAAATCCACTTTCGATTTCTATAGATCTACCTGCTCTGAATATTTCATATAAATGAAATAATGGAATACATAGTCTTTTGTGACTGGCTTCTTTCTCTTAGCATAATCCCTTTAAGGTTTATCCATGTCATAGCATGTATTTGTTCTTCATTTCTTTCTATTACTAAATAGTATTCCATTGTATGGATATACCACACCTTGTTTATGCATTCATCAGTTGATGGACATTTGGGTTATTTACAGTTTTGGGCTATCACGAATGATGCCGCAGTGAATATTTGTTTACCTTCACTGCGTCATCATTCAGTGAACATTTGTGTCTATTTCTTCGTCTCTAAAATGAGTACCATCTCATACAGTTGTTAAGATTTTTTAATTAACTAGTAAATGCAATATTTTAGTGTTTGAGTCTTCGTTTAACAGCAGTTACAAAATCTGGCTTACTCAGAATGCCACGCTTTCCTAATGACATCTTGAAGTATCCTCACTTTTACTTTATTTTACTTTGACTTTTCCCTAAGTTATAATTTAGAAAAATTTCATTTATTCAATAAATATTTATTGAACACCTATGTATCAGACATGGCTGTGGGTGCCACTGAGAATTGAAAGAAAAGAATAAGCAAAACGCAAAGAGGCACCACTAGTTTAAGGCTATCTTTAGTTTGCTACTCTGTCATCTCTGACCTGCCAGTAGGGCTTGCGACTTGAGTTCCCCTCACCCCATCCTCTCACCAAAAGCCACAGGTTTTGGGGTCTCTCAGTCCATTCACTCTTGTTAGGCCCTTATTTTGTCCATCATATTTATGTTTTTGGAGTGGCTGATTGAAGGTAACTGTTAAGGAAAGACTAAAAGTTCATCATGTCTAGGTGGAGACCTCAAGAGGTAAACAGTGCCCTGTTCCTGATCTATAGCTGAGGTTGGTGAATTGTTCTTTATACTAATCTAGACCTAATAGTTCCTAATTTTCTCCATTGGCAGGTCGCTTCTTTTTGTAGAGTTGGCT
This sequence comes from Homo sapiens, assembly GCF_000001405.40. Classification (NCBI taxonomy): domain Eukaryota; kingdom Metazoa; phylum Chordata; class Mammalia; order Primates; family Hominidae; genus Homo; species Homo sapiens. Next base: position 92,784,355 of record NC_000007.14, on the reverse strand, counting down.
GTGTTCTCTTTGAACTTCCAAATCTATTTTGTATTGGAACTGGACTCACCAAAATTATCAACTGATTATTGTTTAGCTGCCTACAGAAAACAGCTATTGTTTAGCTGTTATCTTTCTCTTGTCTTTGGGGAGATAATGATCCACATGGTTAGTGACTTGGAGTTCACTTAATTCCAAGTAGGATTTTGCCCCTGCTACCATTCTCTTCCCTGCAAGACAACAAATCGCATTTTATGATATGCCTTCTTTGTGGCAGCTCTAAAGCTTTTTTTTTTCCCATAATAGCATGTAGTTAGCATAACAGAGTGATGCTACAGCCTTACTCTTTTCTCTGCCTTTCATTCAGATAAAATGCATTAGCAGTTTGAATAATTGTGTTTGATGACGTAGAAGTGCCTGTAGTGCTTGCTGTATGTAGGACTATGGAAGAAGCTGAATTCTATTATTTAATGTCCAGTTCAGGAATTGATCTGGAATGAGGAGAGGGGTACATAGGCATCCCATATACCCATTAAGCCATCCTAAATAGCTTGTTTCAGGCCCAGCTAGTAGTACATCAGTTCTGTTGCTGATCGTGTGGTAGGAATGTGTTTCCATATACATAGTTTTACTGTTTGCTCTATTTTCAAAATTTACTATAGTGCAAGAGTCACATCTTGTAAACTTGCCCAGTTTAGGGGATTCCCATTCCACATGTAAAACATTTTTTGGTTAACAGATTCAGAAGATATTAACTCCTAGAGCCACAGTGCCAGGTCTATATAGATAGAAGCTGAAACTAGATTAATAGCAACTCTAAAGTTGGAAAGAAGATAAACAATGAAACTTTCTTATGAATACTCTCTTAAAGGCTGTAGGAATAAAATGATTTAGTAAATAAGCAATGTTGATTTTGCCTTCCCTTGTCAGATAATAGCAGCCATAAACTTAACAGTTTAAATACAAAGGATTTCTGTGCTTTAGAGTTGGTTTGACATCCCTGTCCTTTTCCACTTTTCAGCAACAGCTAGTGGGAAAGGGGTTGTTTAATTGAAGGCTTCAGGAGAACACACCTTGCACACTGGATTCAACCTTTAAATTAATTGAACCCTGTATCTTTGTATTATTTTTAAGTTCTTTTTTCTCCTTGCTTCCTCTTACCATTGAGTTCTTTTCTACTCTATGTTTTACATTCCTGTTTGTGATAAACTTGTCCATCTGTCTTCTTCCTTCTGTGCTTTCCTCCATCCAGTGTCTCTATGGTCAGATCAGGAACCTCAAGTAGGGTCTGAGAGGAAGCTGCCTGGCTCCTTGGGAAGGATGGATTGATCTGGTTCTCTGCTGTCGGCTACTTTTGCCCAGTGGACATGCGAATGGAGGAGCCATTTAAGGTGAATAGATTCCCAGCCAAGTCAGAGAACTGGGACAGTCACTTTGAGGACACTGCTACTTCTTTTGTGCTTGAGCTTCACTCATTGTGTCTACTCTGTAAGACGTATTTGAGGCCAGATATTGACATTTTTAAGTCATTTAATCATTTCAAAATATTTATAGATGTCTTAGGACAATTTTTTGTTGCAAGTAATAAAAACCCAACTCAAGCTGGATAAGCAAAACACTGACTTTAGTGACTCACATAATTAATAAATCCAGGGGTAGATCAAACACACTGGGCCCAGGTGTGGAAATAATGTCTTCCGGAATCTCTTGCCCACTGTCCCTTGTTCTGGCCCTCTTCTGCATCCCATAGTAGGTTCACTAAAATGGTGGCAAAGACAGCCATCAGTAGCTGCAGGCTGAGACTTTGCCAGTTTCATAATCCCAGTGTAGAGTTTTACTCTCCCAGAAGTCCTAGCAAAATTTCTGAGACTGATTATTATGCTCCTGTCCACCTCTGAATCATTCATCATCACTCAATCCAGGGTTGTTCACATGCCATCCGTGGGCCCCTGCTGTTAAAACCAGATTGCCAGATTCTAGGACAGGAGTAGTTCCTCAACAGAAAATAAGGGTGTGGCTTCCAGGAGAGGTAAATGGATGGAAAGGCAGAGACCATCTGTGGTTTACTTAATAGGATGTAGAATAAATTTACTTGATGTGATATATAAAGTTGTACATAGTGTTTATAGAATTTATTTGGTACTAATACATAGCCATACATCATTACCTGCATTTTTACTTGTAAGTCTTCTTTCCCACAACTAGATAGTAAAGCTTTTAAAAACAATATCTGTCATATCTATTGGAAACTCTAAAACTGAGTATAGTGCCTGCACATGGTAGGTGCTGGTAAATGTTTATGGGTGCTGCTGAAATCGCAATTTGCTTCTAGCAGCATGCACATTATTGTTGGTGGCAAATACTCCTGGAGCTATACCATTTGGTGCTGGTTGAGAATAAGTGCACACAGAGTCCATATTTAATGAGCAAAAAAGAGAATACAGTGGCCCATATCCGTAGTGTAGGGCTAGTGAGATGTGTGAACATAAATTTGGTGCATACAAGACATAGTCACAGAATATGCTTCATGCACTTAAGAGGAGGAGATTAGATATTTTTAAAAATTCTTCTCGATTCCAAATACTGGCTCTAGTTCAAGCAGAATTTTGTTGTGGCCCTTAGGTAGCTGTGCCAGACATCTCTCAGCTCTTGAACTATTTGATGTCCAAACATTGAAGAGAATGGGGGAAAAAAAAGTGACCGGAAAAAAATCCTCATAGAACTTCCTGTGAATGGGTCAAAGTTTAATCACAGCAAATAAGACAGATTTCCCTTTTATTGTAACCACAATAGAAAGGCAGGGCTTGTGTTTACAAAGCATGTTGTTTGGGAGACCTTTGTAAATTGTAATCTTTGGAAATCCCAAACCTATTGGATGTAATCCCATCCATTAGATGAAGGCAACTTGCCTATGCAATAGTTCCAGAAGAGCAAGTTAAATTGAGAACATGAACAGGAAGTAGTCATTAAGAATTACAATGGGTAGGATGCAGAGTTAATTCAGAGAGATATTTTGTTATTAGATAATTACATCACTAGGACAGCTGGAAAACTGAGTGCTGTGCTGGACTGCAAGCCTTGTTCTCTGCCCTGCAGCTGGCGGGTCAGGACAATAGAGACAGCAAGAGAACTTACTTTGTGGGAGAGTTAGGGGCTTGGCCAACTTAATTGTGAAATGATAACGACCTATCTGCCTTTTTTGGATTGCATTTTGCACAGCTAAACTGAAGGCATAGCCTTAGTTAATGCCAATAACCAGTTTGCACTTTGACTTTTTGAACATTCACTTGGATCACATTATGCTAAGCTCTAATGGATAAATATTTAATGGTAATTTTCCTTTCCTTTAAAAGTCATCTGAGATATTTTGTTCATATTCAATACATTGTGATTACATTTTTCTTATGGAACTGCTGTCATGTAATTCTTGAAATGGTATTTTTGTCAGGTTACAGATTAGCAAAAATTTTTAAAAAAAGGTTTTAGAAAGTCTTAAAATATTGGTCAATATAAGGAATCATGCAGTTGTAGCTATTTTCCAGTTTTTTGGGGTTTTTTTGGTTTTTTTTGTTGTTGTTGTTGTTTTTTGTTTTTTTGTTTTTTTTTTTTTTTTGAGATGGAGTCTCGCTCATTGCCCAGGCTGGATGGAGTGCAGTGGCACGGTCTCGGCTCACTGCAAGCTCTGCCTCTCAGGTTCACGCCATTCTCCTGCCTCAGCCTCCCAAGTAGCTGGGACTACAGGCGCCTGCCACCACGCCCGGCTAATTTTTTTGTATTTTTAATAGAGATGGGGTTTCACCGTGTTAGCCAGGTTGGTCTCGATCTCCTGACCTCGTGAGCCGCCCTCCTCGGGCTCCCAAAGTGCTAGGATTACAGGTGTGAGCCACCGCGCCCAGCCTATTTTCCAGTTTTTACATTCAAGTGTTCAGACCTGTCTGGCTCTTTTGTTTTGCAAGTGTAAGGGTTCTAGGTAGCCTAGCCCCATTCCTTATTGATTTATATAAATACATTACAGATTGTTTACCTCTAGCCAAATACCAGGGATTTTAATTCATGCTTAGCTCAGTTGTTGTATATGAAACTCATTTGTTATATTAAAGTTTCTGGCCGGGCACAGTGGCTCACGCCTGTAATCCCAGCACTTTGGGAGGCCAAGGCAGGTGGATCACTTGAGGTCAGGAGTTCGAGGCCAGCCTGGCCAACATGGTGAAACCCATCCTTACTAAAAATACAAAAATTAGCCAGGCATGATGGTGCATGCCTGTAGTCCCAGCTACTCGGGAGGCTGAGGCAGGAGAATCACTTGAACCCAGGAGGTTGCAGTGAGCCAAGATTGCACCACTGCACTCCAGCCTGGACAACAGAGTGAGACTCCATCTTAAAAGAAAAATAAGAATAAAAATAAAGTTTCTGTTTTCTCTTTATTGCCCACCAAAGTGACTATTATTTGATTTGGGGCAATTCCAGAGGGAGTCATTGTAGACAAAAAAAAGCATCATAAATATTATAGTCTAGCATTTCTAAGATTAATGTTTACAACCATTGATTCAAAATGCATTTCCTACCCATTGTGACTAATATAACTGTTAATTTTTAGTACAATGTTTACTAACCATTAATCAGACATAATTTAAGTCAGACAAAATTTCATAGTTTTGGGAAGAGCAATATTTCCCCAGATGTCTTCCATGGAGTACTAGGTCTGTAGGATGTGGATGGCTAGCCAGCACTGGAGCCAAAAAAGAGAGTATCCTACAGGCACCCTTAGGACTCTGATGTCCCTTGATGCCCTTTGTGAATGTCTGAGAAGTCTCTAATATGCTCCATTTCCTGAATGAAGTTAATAATAATGGCACCTTAAAAATTAAAAAGGATTATTTCCTTGAACCTGGAGGAGTCACTTCTACCTAATACCATTTTTTAAGAATATGCAAGTATATACATTAAAATTTATGTGAAAATGTTCTGCTCTATGGACTATTACACATCTCTTTAAAATTCCATGTTTTAAAAACTACCGATTGAAATGAGTCCTTTTTTCTCCAAGGTTTATCATTTAGGACAATTAGTAGTGGCTTCAGTGAGCTCACCTTTCGTATCTTGAGCATCCATTGAAACTGAGGCCTGGAGTCCAGTTGCTGCAGGTGGCATCAGTGAGTCTTAATATTTTGAAGAGAGCAGTATAACTCTGAGGAAAGCAACTTGGGTGGGTTAGATGTTATTTTTAAATTGTGTCATGCAAAGAGTGCTTGAAAACGGTTTCAGTGAGATGAAGCAACAGGGCATACTGCCAGGGTTGTTAGGTAACTTCTAAGACAACGGTCCAGGGGGCAGATGACTTTTTGTTTCAGCAGTATTTTAGGATCACTTTATTCTCCAGTTATGCCCCCGTCAGAATTTTTTCTCTTTTGGAAATTACTATAATATCTTATATATATATATATATATATATGATAAACTATAAATGCAGTAAGAACTGGAGTTACTAAAATTACTATTGATTCCAGGTAGTGGTAAGCAATGTAATTTTTTCACTAAATATATTAATTATAATGGGAAATATTTTTAAAGTAATGTTTCAGAAACACAACTGAAATGGTCATAGTATGAAACAGCTCTGTGTTTGTATTTGACTTTAGGGACATGCCATTTTTGGTTCACTGCTCTTTTATTTTATTACAAAAATACAAGCAACAGATATAAAGAAAGTTGGGGATTGTGGAACTCCATTTTCTTTTTCAATAGGAAGAAAAGAGTGAAGTTGTCCAAGTATGTGGATTTAATAGCAATAAGCTGGCTTAAAAAAGCCTGTGAATAGTTGTAGTTATCTTGAATTATCAAGGCAAAAGAACTGTTTTGATAAATTTTCCACATATTAAATCCATGCATGATAGCAATCATATTTTTAGAGTGTGAGACTTAATATGATTTATGGTACTATCTTTAATAAATCTGTTAAGAGTTTTTACTTTATTGGAATAATTTTCCAGAATAAGTAACATTAGGGGAAAATATTAAGTTTAGGAATGGATATTAAAACTTAAAAACCAGAATGTTTAGAAGTAGATAAATGTGAGGAAAAAATTTTCAATGGATTCTGGTTAATTTTAATGGAGTTGTATAATTCACCCCAAACTGCCCATAATTAAAAAGAAGCTTGGATCTGGCTATGAAGCATGTGTAGTTGTTGGTGTTCTGTTTTTTGACCTGCCAGATTTAACCTAATTACAGTGGTGGGGTTTTTTTGTTAAGTGTTTTTTGTTTTTGGTTTTGGTTTTTTTTTTTCGTTTCCTTTAAAATTTAGTATAGATTCACAGAGAAGTCCAAATGTGGGGTCCATAAAGCCCAGAAATGCAGAAGGATGACATGGTGAACCAGCAAGGCATTAAAAGTTTAACAGAGGTCCTAGGAATACAACCCAAAAGGGATGTGAAGGACCTCTTTAAGGAGAACCACAAACCAGTGCTCAAGGAAATAAGAGAGGACATAAACAAATGGAAAAACATTCCATGCTCATGGACACAAAGAATCAATATTGTGAAAATCGCCATACTGCCTAAAGTAATTTATATATTCAATGCTATCCCCATCCAGCTACCATTGACTTTCTTCACAGAATTAGAAAAAACTACTTTAAATTTCATATGGAACCAAAAAAGAGTCTGTATAGCCAAGACAATCCTAAGCAAAAAGAACAAAGCTGGAGGCATCATGCTACCTGACTTTAAACTATACTACAAGGCTACAGTAACCAAAACAGCATGGTACTGGTACCAAAACAAATATATAGACCAATGGAACAGAACAGAGGCCTCAGAAATAATGCCACATGGCTGGGCACGGTGGCTCACACCTGTAATCCCAACACTTCAGGAGGCCGAGGTGGGCAGGTCACCTAAGGTCAGGAGTTTGAGACCAGTCTGACCAACATGGAGTAACCCCGTCTCTACTAAAAATATAAAATTAGCTGGGCGTGGTGGCCCATGCCTGTAATCCCAGCCACTCGGGTTGGGAGTAGTACTTGGCTGAGGCAGGAGAATCGCTTGAACCTGGGAGGCGGAGGTTGTGGTGAGCCAAGATGTGCCATTGCACTCCAGCCTGGGCAACAAGAGCGAAACTCCTTCACAAAAAGGAAAAAAAAACAAGAAAGAATGACACATATCTACAACCATCTGATCTTTGACAAACCTGACAAAAACAAGAAATGGGGAAATGATACCCTATTTAATAAATGATGTTGGGAAAACTGGCTAGCCATATGCAGAAAACTGAAACTGGACCCCTTCCTTATACCTTATACAAAAAGTAATTCAAGCTGGATTAAAGACTTAAACATAAGACCTAAAACCATAAAAACCCTAGAAAAAAACTTAGGCAGTACCATTCAGGACACAAGCATGGGCAAAGACTTCATGACTAAAACACCAAAAGCAACGGCAACAAAAGCCAAAATTGACAAATGGAATAAAATTAAAGAGCTTCTGCACAGCAAAAGAAACTATCATCAGTGAACGGGCAACCTACAGAATGGGAGAAAATTTTTGCAATCTATCCATCTGACAAAGGGCTAATATCCAGAATCTACAGGGAACTTAAAACAAATTTACAAGAAAAAAACAACCCCATCAAAAAGTGGACAAAGGATATGAACAGACATTTTCTCAAAAGAAGACATTTATGAGGCCAACAAACATATGAAAAAAAAGCTCATCATCACTGTTCATTAGAGAAATGCAAATCAAAACCACAATGAGATGCCATCTCACACCAGTTAGAATGGCAATCATTAAAAAGTCAGGAAACAACAGATGCTGGAGAGGATGTGGAGAAACAGGAATGCTTTTACACTGTTGGTGGGAGTGTAAATTAGTTCAACCATTGTGGAAGACAGTGTGGCAATTCCTTAAGGATCTAGAACCAGAAATACCATTTGATCCAGTGATCCCATTACTGAGTATATACCCAAAGGATTATAAATCATTCTACTGTAAAGACACATGCACACATATGTTTATTGCAGCACTGTTCACAATAGCAAAGACTTGGAATCAACCCAAATGCCCATCAATGATAGACTGGATAAAGAAAATGTGGCACATATACACCATGGAATACTATGCACTCATAAAAAATGATGAGTTCATGTCCTTTGCAGGGACATGGATGAAGCTGGAAGCCATCATTCTCAGCAAACTAACACAGGAACAGAAAACCAAACACTCATGTTCTCACTCATAAGCGGGAGTTGAACAATGAGAACACATGGACACAGGGAGGGGAACATCGCACACCAGGGCCTGTCGGGGTGGGGGGGTTAGGGGAGGGATAGCATTAGGAGAAATACCTAATGTAGATGATGGGTTGAAGGGTGCAGCAAACCACCATAGCACGTGTATACCTATGTAACAAACCTGCACATTCTGCACATATATCCCAGAACTTAAAATATAATAAAAAAAATTAACGGAGGTAATATGTAAGCAGGATAATTGATAGTCAACCCTGTGCATCAGTTATTGGACTCTATGCACATTTATAGTTTCTTTGAAGAAGGCATTTATTCAATTTTTTTTAAAAATTAAAGTAATATGAATAGTATTTTATTAGCTTTTTCTTAGTATTTATATTACATTCTTGTTAAGAAATGTACTTACAGCTTGTTTATGGGTAGTTTAATTCTTCAAACATTTGGTGAGAATCTGTTGTGCTAAATAGTGTACTGTGGTTGAAACGAAAGGAAATTTTGTCCTTTGGCTTGAATATTCTTTTGACTCCTGAAGGCTTAGTTTTTAAAACTTAAATTTTGTCTTATTTTAAGATTTTTATGGAAGAAACTGGATTCACCCATCCAAAACATTTGTTAATCTGTTGCTTTATTATTTAAGGGCAATATAGTTTACCAATGCAGGTCCCCCTACCCCTGAAAAAAAAGTTTAAATTTTACAATGTTGATTAACATGGTATTGGAATTTTAAAAACTAAGAATGTATGCCCTTTCCAGGGAATGATTTGACTCAGCAGGATGAGGGCTGTCTTAGAAATAAACTAAATTTCTCCATATTCCATCATATTTGTTTTCACAGACATGGTTGTGACACCTTAAATTCCAGGAAAATCTTGATTACAACATTCAGCATCTCCAAAGGATGCTCAATCTATCTCTAGTAATTCTCAAACTGTGAGCTAAGAAGAAACATATTTTGCCTAGACATCAAGTTTTTGAAATTATCCCCATTGGCAAGTTCTATCTAAGGTCCTAACTAAGGAAACTCTCCAAGCGTTCTTGTGCTCCAAGCGCGTTGCTTTCTCATTGTTACTATAGATGTTCTCATGCTTAACCGCACACTCTGAGTGCCCCTCTCCTGAACTTCATGTTGTTATTAAAGTATCAGATCTCATTTGATATCTTTACATATGATCACAAGAAATGATCAACACTGGCCTTTTTTTTCTATTATGAGACCAAATTGAGCGATATGTATAAAACATACAGGTTACTTCTTTGCTTATTGCCACCTACTTAACCTCTTTGTTTTTTCTTCTAGGTTGTTTGATGTGTGCACAGTGTCACGAACAGACAGAGAAACCAAACTAACTTTAGTGTTTGAACATGTCGATCAAGACTTGACCACTTACTTGGATAAAGTTCCAGAGCCTGGAGTGCCCACTGAAACCATAAAGGTATCAAGAATCATCTTCATGTCTTATCAGGCAGTCGACTATTATAGTCTGTTAAGCAATGGCTTTCTTTCCTTATGAAAATTGCCACAATTACAACTTTTAGAATTCGGTATATAGTTAAAAAAATCAAAGAAAATGTTCAAAGATTGGGATATATTCCAGTTCATCAACTAAGTGAGATGTTCAAAGTACAGACATATGTATTCTAGTTCATTAATTTTAGAACTAAGTGGAAAAAAAAACCTTTAGTTCTAATGCATATTAAAATTATTTAAAAATACTTAGTTGTAGATTGTCTTAGACCTTAGGAAACATAGTTTAGTAAGTATAGCTCAGTCTTCTTCTGATGGTTTATTGTCTATGAGAGACATAATTTGAACATTATTCATGAGCACATTGTATATTATGATTGTATAATAACTCCGGGACAACCTATGCTATGTGAATCTGAAATATTACTTGTTAGGCCCTCCTTCTTTCTTCATTTTTCTTATTCATAAAACGTTTATAGGGAAGCCTAAGTAACCAGATACTATGCCAAACTCCTGGGATTCAAAGATGATTGAGACATGCTTTCTATCCTTAGAGGTCAGTAAACTAGATGCAGTATATTGACTGGAAGTTCTTCCTACCTTTAAGTCTAATGGAAAATGCTGCTGATAAAGTTTTGTTGTTATTTGCATTCTGCTTAACTGAACTTCCCCGTAGATCTTTTAGATTTATACACATCATGTGCGGGTCTTCATGAAAACCTTTTTGTCTGTGTGAATTAGGTAGCTTAAACAGACTCCTGCCTTATCATTCGTTGTTTAGAAATGAGTTATAGAATTCACCATCATTCTAGATAGAAGTTAATAGCTAAAAATAGTTTATCTTCTCAACAGACTAAGAAATGTCTTTAGTGATAGCTAAATGACGTTCTCAGATACTGACTGATACATTTAGAATTTGACATACTGAATGATTTATTCCTTTTGTTTTAGATTAATATTGTATTTTTTCCCATCTGGCTCTCATTAAAGAATCTGGTGCTTAACAATAGTCCCATTTCTTCCTGAGCAGTTTCAAGGACATTAAGGCCCTCCAAATGTAGGTATGCCTGATAGTTACCTGTTCTTGGCCATCTTCTGTCTGTGCACCCCTCTTTCCTCTGGCATTCTATTCCACCCCTGAAGCTTTAGTTCTCTCCTTTATGAGTTTGTCAGAAACCCTGTGTTCAGCATGCAGAGCAGGGCATAGTCCTTTTTCTTATACAGTTTTCTAGGCAAATTGGACTGCTCATCATTCTCTTGGTATGATCTGTGATTTTCCACCTTGGTGGCCTTCCTTCTCATGCCATTTCTTTTGCTCCTTCTCACCAGGCTATCTACCTAAATTTTTCAAGTGCCGTCTCAAAAGCCATTTGATCAACTCTTATAGCTAGATGTAATCTCACATGCCTTATAACACTTGTTCTGCATATCTCTACCTCTTTATCTTGTTTTCTGCCTTTAATTGGGATTTTTTAATGTACATATCTCATGTATTCAGTCATCCTCATGTCCTGACAGTGTCTTACACAATGATTTATACACATAGGTACAAAGTAAATAAGACACATTGTCAAGCTTTCTTTAGATGTAAGTATTTTCAAAATTATTTTTAAAATGACTTTCAAAGGCTTTAAACATAGACTATCAAAAAATCATTGACATTTTCTGATACATTTCTAAGTTCAAAGTTATTTGGGGAGTATCTTTTTTTTAAAAAAACAGACAGATGAGGCAACCATATATTTTATATCTTACATTACCACCTACATAGATCTTTTGAGCATTATATTAAATTATCCTAGTATATTGGAGGCTACTGAGTGGAATCATTTGCAAAGGCATCTGTGCAGTTAAAATGTTGATAAGCCAGAGTGGTTTACTAGACTCAGGTTTGATCAGGCAGGAGTAGAAATGAATTGGAATGGGGGGAATCTCAAGGGTGAGGGTGGAGGGGCAAGCAGGATAGGAAAAGGAACAGGCAGAAGGGTGGTCACCAAAGTAAGAAAGGGGAGGAGAAGACAGGGGGCAGTGGCTGAGCCAGGATGGAGCTGGAGGCTTGCTAGAAGGGGGTGATTGTTGCCAGAAGCTCTTGAACAAGGTGACATTAAAAGTTAATTTTTTTTTTTTTTTGAGCTTTTTGTCTATCTCCAGGAAAGGGAATGTCACTTCATTCCGTGTTGAACAGGGATTGTCCTGGAGGCTGTTAAATTTCTTCAGCCATTAGGATCAGCACCCCTTGATCCAAATTGTCAGATACGAGGTGGAGTTGGGGGCAAGGGGCTCTAGTTATTGAAGGTTTGTGGCTAATGTTGTATTGATGTTTTCATAGTAAAATAAACCATAGTCAAATGAAATATTTCAGGCAGTTAACTTACATGTTAGTGGTTAATCAAACATTTTTTGCTAACTTAAAAGCTAATTAGAAGACTCTTTTATCTTCATTCTTAATTTAAAAAAAAAATTCTGAACTATACTAACCTACTTTCCTTCCTTATTAAATATAAGGTTTTTTAAAAAATAATTTGAGTGTTTGTGATGCTTTAAGGTCATTGTTGAAAACTTGAATAATCATTTAAAAGCATAATAAAACCATCAAATGGATAGTTTTAGGCTGAATATATAACTGATACAAAATTATTTTTAATCAACACTCGTATCTTTTGTTTCTGTGATTGACTTGTTTTTAAGAATTGGAATGCAGAATAAACAGCTGCTAAGTAGGAGAATCTGAATTCTGGTTAATTGAAATTTTAAAGCACACAGCCAGAGAACAGAAATATTTTGTTGTTATATAGGCTCATTTATGGGAAGCCTTAATAACTAGATCAAGCAAATATTGTTATTCTGAACAACCTATTGGGAACACAGAAATTGATTCTTTATATAGAATGCTCTGTTGGAATAAGAGCTTCTCTGACTATACTCGTACAGATATTTATTGAATATTCACTCTGTGCAGGGAGGGTTCTGTGCTAGGCAGTTCAGGGACACAAAATTGAATTAGGCATGAGAAAGAGAGGACCTGCTCTGAAGGACCTTTAGAGTATAAGAGAAGAGATAAAATGCAAACACAAGCCTGTGGTACACATTCTGTATGGTTATTTAAGTAGTTTAGGGGTATTTTCAAGTCAAGAACAGACTACTTATGTATAAGTAAGCACAGTCTATATTGTGCCAAACTATTTTTTAAAATACTTAAATTTAAATTACTTTTCAAAGGATCCAAATCATAGGTATTAATATTGACATTGTCTTGCATAGATTAAAACGTATCATGTTGTTAAATAATTATACATATCTAAGATATTTTTATTTTTTTTTGAGACGGAGTCACGTGTCTAAGATATTTTATTTTTATTTATTTTTTTTTTTTTGAGACGGAGTCACATATCTAAGATACTTTATTTTTATTTATTTATTTTATTTATTTTTTTTTTTTGAGACGGAGTCACCAGGCTGGAGTGCAGTGGCGCGATCTCAACTCACTGCAACCTCCACCTCCCAGGTTCAAGCGATTCTCCTGCCTCAGCCTCCTGAGTAGCTGGGATTACAGGCACGGGCCACCACGCATGGCTAATTTTGTATTTTTAGTAGAGACTGGGTTTCACCATGTTAGTCAGGCTGGTCTCGAACTACTGACCTCGAGATCCGCCCACCTCTTGGCCTCCCAAAGTGCTGGGATTACAGGCATGAGCTACCATGCCTGGCCAGATATTTTAACATGAAATATATATAAAATAGAAAATCAAAACAAGACCTCATCTAAGATCATTTAAGCTCAGGGGATTTTCCTCTACCCACTTTCCTCTACCCAGTGTTGTGTTTTCTGTGGCACTGTTTACCAGTTAACAGGCCACTGAAACTCAGGATATTCTAATGCACATTCAGGACATAAATTGCATTAGTTGGGCAGTACTTGGATAAAACTAGGATGCTCCATGGTGTCTTACTAGATATCATAGGGGTAACATCATTTTGCTTATCATTTCATCAACACGTTTGTTAGAAAAGAGCCCATGATGATCTTACTTTTCTAGCTTACTTATATCACCTAACAGTTTTTGAAGTGCACTTAAGTGCCATTTGTTTTCGAAAAATAAAAAAGACATTAAACCACACCATAAGCCATAAGTACTAATAAAGGTTGATAGTTGGGTAAACTTATTGGGGAAACTCTAATTATTGCACGGTGCTCATGTGGGACTTTAATAAAGTACATTAAGAGTATAGGCCTGAACTGAAAATTTTCATTGAGAAGTTCATGAGAATAAAATAAAATCATAGGTGATTCTTTCCAACATCATTAAATATACCTTATTCTAAAAAAAAAAAAAAAAAAAAAAAGCATACATAGAAATCACATTCATACTTCATCTTGGGGTTTTCATCACATTATTTAACCTCTTTTCTTGATGTCCTTTAGGTGCATCCATTCTTGGTTGACAATGACATTTGCATAAAGCAGCCTGTTGGCTGCTGTCCTGTGAAGTCAACAGATATTCTAATTTTCCCTCATAGACTTATTGTTGACATATCTGGCTTTCCTCTTTCTAATTCAGGATATTATCTTTGGGTCTGTTTACTTGTGGAGGAGTTCAGTGCCATCTTTATTAAATTTTTATTGGCTCATTTGAGATTTAATATTGCCTTCCTGGGTTTCCATGCTGAGATTTATGAGGCAATAATTGACACCTTAATGATTGTGTTATTTTTTCTTTTAGAGTACGTGATAAATTCAGAGTATCTATGCTTATATAGCACCTTCCATTTATGGAGCTTTATGAGAAAAAAAAACAGCTCTCAGATTTTTATTTTTCTCTTTCATGCTTTCATCTGCCATCCTATGAGAGAGGGTCAGAAAGAACTGTAAAGAAATTTGCTCACCATTTTTCTTAGTAATTTGTAACTGCCACCCAGAATAAGAACTGTACACTGCAAGATACAGATGGAGAGAGACTCTTATGTAAAATATTCTCCTGTACAGGCTTTTCCAAATGTAATGCCCTCTTTTACTAAATCATTCATTTGGTATTTAGTCTTGTCTGTATAATACATTAATCTTTCCTAGGATATGACCTGGCTTCTCAACTATTTTATAAACTCTTTGAAAACCTAAAATTATTCTGTGGACATTCTGTGCATGAAACATGTTTGATAAAAAAAAATGTTTGATGCAATTGTCAATATAGTTTCACAAGTTTGAGGCACTGAAAGGTCACACAAAAGAACAGCAGCCTCTAAAATAGGACAGGGTTCTTTGAGCTCAAGACCATATGGCCTCTTTTGATGATTCAATCTTGGAATAAAATTTTTTTTATTTATGTATCTTTATGATAAATGAATTCTATAGAGCTTGAGAGGGCCAGAAAAGCTCCAGGTTCATGTCTGTGTGGGTCGTTTTCTCTGTGAATTAGATTTCATTTTATCTTCAATTGAATGTTTCTTAGAGTTTTCTATTGGTTGTAATATTTTTAGTAAGAGATAAAACACACTATTAGGTTTATTTTACAAAACCCAGACTTCAGAAACTGACACACACTGTTAATAGCACCTGTTTTTTGCCTCTGGGAAATGTCTGTTTTCATGAATAATATCTGCTTGCAGTAAACAGTGGCTCTGATGTCAGTATGGGATGCCCAGGGCTGATTCATCTTTCTCAGTTTGACATAATGCAAAGTGACTGACTGGTCCCTGTACTGCAGATGAGGAAAGCCTCTCAGATCTTCTTCTCTTCTCACTCCTAAAGGAATCAAGCCATGGCCCCTCTCAGCTCCTGGTGGTCTCCATTTTGCCTGAATTACGAGCAGGTGATTTGTCTCATCTTTGCAGGACACAGAGCAAATTAACATGAAAATATCGCTTCCCAGAAAACAAGGCAGGCTTGAATGCCCTGTCGCTGCTGGTCATTAGCCATCTGCCACCGACACTCATACTCTGTTTATCACATTTGAAATTCAGAGCAGATGTTGCATAATAAGGTGATCCCAAAAACAAGGCAAGAAATTCAAAGAACAAATACTCTACCATAATGATAAAGATCTTGGAAGGAAATTTTTTTCAATCTAATATCATAGCTGCACTAATTGAATAGACCATGTTTTTAAAAACACACACACATCTCTCCTGGTATTTGATGCAAACTACTTTTCATAGTAACAGGAAATAATTTTAAAAAGAAAGTACATTTGTGAAAGACACCTGAGAGGACTGTTCAATAAAGTCTCTTTAAAGAAGCAAAGTCGAATGTTGGAATAACATAGTTCTGGTTTAAAAGACCTCATAGATCAGTGATGCCATCTTTTACTGTAAGATGGGCCTTAACCTACAGCAATTTGACTTAAAATAGTTCACTCCTCACAGTATAGTAGATCTTTCAAGGCTTTTAACTTGCGAACGTGGTTTCCCAGTTTATTTTCTTTTTGGCACTCAAGACCCTGTGTTTTCTATATCCTTTGTTTTCACTGTTTACCCCTCTACAAACTCCCACCACCGCTATCAGCCTCCCACCTTCAGCATCCCTTGTCTCTCCAGAACTCTGCCCCAGCTTACCCTGGCCTTAGGCTCTCTCCAACCTGAGTCCCAAGATTCTTTCATTTTTAGTTCTTCTGCCCTTCTCCATTAATGTAGCTTTTTACAGTATTGGTTATTATAATGTTTTACCTAGTTGATTTATGCACATTGTAGACCCTTATTATGCCTTATTCAAAGTATATCACTTATAGTATATTAACTATGGTGTTTAGAGACATTCTGTTTTTTTTAAAAAACAGGCATCCAAACTTTTACCAGGAATGTGACCTATATTCTGTGGAAGACGAGCTTTTAATATAGTCTTTTGACTCCAAAGAAATATTTTCTCCACAGAAACCACAACTTTACTGCCCCTCCCCACTCTGCACCCCTCTGCCCCCACACATACTGAGAGTTTTGAAATTTGGGGTTTTTTTTTAAAGACTATACTGCTAAGCAAAAATTAAGCAGCCAGCCTGAGAGTAGACAGGGGGATAAATCAAAGCAGTGCCAGCAGCTGACCACTGAGTGGAATAGGAGAGATGATTTGAAGGATGGAAGAATAGTGAGTCAATACTGAGTATATTCCAAATTCAGGGGGAAATGTAGAGTGAGTGAGCTCTAACAACTGTGGGAGTTTATACTACTAAAGTCAGAAGCCCAGATCTAAAGTGTAGAGAGAAATAAAATCTTCAGTGTAACCTTTCTAATTAGTAAGATTTCAGTGTAATCTTACTAATAATTTCCATTTGTTTCCCTCTGCTCCAATCAGGAACATACATATTGTGCTTTCAAGTATCTTTCATTCCAAGGGAAAACTCAGTAACTCAAGCAACTTCTTAAAGGAGAACATTTTTATGCAGTCTAGATTCTGAAGACTCTCAGAAATAAATCCTTTTGCAAATTCCTAACCCTTATAGTAGCTGAAAATATCAGAAGAGAAAGAGGACAGAATTATGCATGTGTATGTATCCTAACAAAAAATATAACAGCTATTTAGTAGGTTTTTTAAAATCTCCAATCCTATAAAAAGCTACATTAATGTAAAAGAGCAGCAGAACTAAAAATGAAAGAATCTTGGGACTTAGGTTGGAGACAGCCTAAAGCCAGGGACTAAAAGGAAGCTGGGGCAGAGCTATGCAGAGCCAAGGGAACCTTTGGTGGGGTACAGGGGGTTGATAGTGGTGGTAGGGGGATAGGAAATATGGGTTTAAGAAAAGCTAGTTTCTTTCTAAAGGTACTGTAAGACTGACTCACTAAATAAATAATGACTCACTAAATAGGCAAATGACACTTAGATTCAGCTAATAACAGATAAGTTAGAATCTCTTTAGAAAATGCTTCCTCACCCTAGGCATTGAATCTGTTTACAAAGTCCATTAAAACTTGCAGGTAGTATATACCCGTTTATATCACCATGGCAACAGATAGCAGAGTGCTCTTCTGCGTAGAAGGAAGGCTATTTCTCATCTAAATTTAGCCTGTGCTAAACTCCTTGGTTGCAGTCTCTTTTTTTGGCTCTTCTTCCTCTAAACATGGGAACATCCAAGGCTTCACTGTCAGCCTTCTTCTTTTCCTTGGCTACACTTTCTAATCAAGTGATGTCATTTAGTCCAGAATCTTCAAATACCTATTCTCCAGCCTGACGTCTCCCACATGCTCTTGGTACAGATAGTCAGCTAACCATGTAAAACATTGACCGAGAATCCTCTGCCAAACTCAAGCCTTCCCTATCTGCCAGTTGTTTGAGCCCCAAGTTTAGGCATAATTCTTGATTTTTTGCTTTCCTTCACAGTCTTCATCCAATCCATCAGTAAGTGCTTTTGGTGTTATCCCCAAAAGATATCCCCAATCTGACTACTTCTCAATATCTTCATTGCTATAGTTCTAGTTTAACCCATCAACCAGCTTCCTAACTCAACACACCACTTCTGCTCCTGCCCCTTTATGGACCATCCTCTGTATAACAACCAGAGGGACCTTATTAAAGCAGAAATAAAATTATCTAACTTCCCTACTGAAAACTTAGCTCCAGTGGTTTCTCATGACCTGTAGAATAAAATCAGAAGTCCTACATGATCTAGTGCTCCCCACCCCCTGCCTTTCTGATCTGCCTCCACTCTTCCTTGGGCCCACGGTTCTCCAGCCACAGTGGCCTTCTTTCTGTTCCTCCAGCTTGCTTCTAGCTCGGCATTTGTCCGTGCTGATTTTTCATCTGTTTGGAATGCTCCACACCCTCTAGCTCATGTCATGTCTTCATCATTCCTTCTCTGACCCTCTCAGCTACAACTCCACATCTAGTTATAGTTTATCACATTACACCACATTATCCTATTTTATCTTCTTCTTCATAGCACTTAGCTGAAATTATCTCATTTATTTTTTATGTTTGTTTTTTAATCTTTCCCAACTAGATGAGACTTTAAGTCAAGACTCTAGTCCATTGCACTAGCTCCAGGGCCAGCATACTGCCTGGAACATAGGGGATCCTCAGTAAACATGTGTTTGTAACTGTACTAGGTGTTTATCTTCTAATTAACTCAGAAATGTATGCATCAATACCACCATTGTACAAGCCAGGAAATGGTACTTTTTCAAGGATAAAATTTTTAAATATTTATATTACAGAAAAATAAGCTGAAGGTATGTTGTATCTTGGCACATTCACTTTGCACTTGCGCATTCAGTTCTCTGTGGTGGGCCGGGATTCTGGGATTATCTGTGTTGTAGCTAAGAATATAGCTTGGTTTAGAAATAGTCTAAAACCAATAACTGATCCTACCAAAACTATAAGATATATTCTCCTTAAAATAGTACTAATTCCAAAAATACTAACTGAATTCCAGAAATTGTTCTTCCCCGGGGTGGGACGCTTAAATATGTTTTATACCAAGGATGGAGAACTAAGCTCAGTGAAGAGACGGATGGATGTCATGAATTTTAGACCCTATTCTCGTATCTCAGGAGTATATATCTAAAAAATAATTTTGTAGTGATACATGTTTTTCATTTTAAAATTACTTTCCCTATATCCCAATTGTATGCTGTCTTCCCCATTCCCATCACGAGAACTAGAAGCTTCAAAGGAATAAGTTATTTTTTTAAATCTTTGAAGTACTATACTATATTTATTCATTTGGATTTTATCATTCTTACCCAGAAATTTCAGATGCCCATATATATTAAGTTGAAAAAAAGGACCATTCTACTAGAGCAATTGCCAACAATTTGCAATATTGTCATTACAAAATTTTAAATCAGTGAAAGGCATACAAAGTAGGTATCCATCAGTTATCTGAGATAGTATCTTATTCCTCATTCCTAAGCAAGGTGGAAAAAATTAAACAATCGTTTCATTGCAGTTAAGTAAGTAATTACTGGTTCTAGTAAGTAATTGTTGAATGAATATGTGGTTTCACAAAAAGTTGTATAATGAAGCCTTGCAAACCCCATAGTGCCAGTTATGAGAATCTGGTGTCTTCAGTATGTAGAATAATGTTGTAGTTACTGTCATTCTGTTCTTCCTCTTCCTCATCATCACCCTCTAGAAGCAAAATTGTCCTGAAAGATTGATTCTTACGGTAAATCAAGTGAGGAGGAGAGGTTGGCCTGAATATGGATTCATATATTTAATTAAGGACTTAGCATCTGGGCACTGTGACACTTGGAGTTTAGGGAGTAAAAGAGAATTCCTTGAATGTCAGAAATGACAAAGTGGGCTGGGCGCAGTGGTGCACACCTGTTATCCCAACACTCTAGGAGACCAAGGAGGACGCATCACTTGAGCCCAGGAATTCAACAATATGGCAAAACATGGAGAAACCCTGTCTTGACAAAAAATACAAAAATTAGCCAGGTGTTGTGGTGCATACCTATAGTCCCAGCTGCTCAGGAGACTGAGGTGGGAGGATTGCTTGGGCCTGGGAGATTCAGGTTGCAGCGAACCATGATCACACCCCTGCACAGCAGCCTGGGTGACAGAGCACAAGACCTTGCCTCAAAAAAAAAAAAAAAGACAAATAAACCTTGGCTACTACCATGTAATGGTTAGATTAATTAGGATGCCTGGAAAATGGACTAAACCCAACAGGTTTTTTTTTTAAACCCAACAGATTTTGCAAAAATGAGTAACTATCTAATAAAGGGTTGATAAAGGCTTTGTAAACACTATGCTTTGTTTCTCCAAGTGTGGTCAGTGAATCAACCACCTGGGGTGCTCACTTAAAATGACAATCCTGCCCTAACTGATTCCTCATTGTCAAACATAGTCTCAGGAGGGAGTTTCTAATAAGTACCCTCTGGTGACACCAGACACTGCAGCTTAAGACATACTCCCAACCCCCGCAGTATGTCATATGACACAAGTGGGAAATGGAAAACATCTCCCTTACATTCTGAGATGACTCAGACATCTGGAATATTTGCTTGCCTGTGCATTGGTAACCCCAGCCAATCAGTAGGTTTAGGCAATCTAAGCCCAGGTGAAGTCAGGTGTGGTGCTTTACTAACGTCATTGATATGTAGGAAATTTGTTTAAAGGCACTGAAGTTTTATTCCTTAAAATGTTCTATTGAAAAATACTTACTCATTAATAGGAGATATAAATTAAAGAGATGCTTAGGAATAGGAGAATTCCAACTAAAAATTTTTAAGCCACACAAAAATCTTTCCTTTAAAAAAGTGTTCATCACTCATTCATGATTTGACCTTTGAAAGTTGCTATTTGTTTCATATACACTAATGATTTAACAGTTCTCTAGGGTCTTAAATTAGTAAACCATTACCAGACTTGCAAGTGTAATGGGTCAGAATTCCTACTCCTGTTTTATTGGTAAGGAACCAAAACTATATTAAATTTAAATATATCATAGTCATAGGTTTTTAGTGCTGACACCAATGTGGCTAAACCTAGTACTCTGAGGCTCATATATTGAAAGCCATGAGTACTCAGAATCTAATTTTCTTCTAATTGTCATTCTAGGCCTTTAGCAAATTTAAGCTAGCAGTTTTGCTGATTTTTATATTACCAGTGTTCACTGTTGTCACTGGCCATACTTGTTAATTTTTTATTTCTTGGCCAAAACCAAAGAAAATATTTATCATTCTACTGTAGTATAGTCATACCACTTTTAGATTAGAATGTTAAACCAAATGTAGCAAAGATTGGGGACTGCAAGGCATAAAATAATGTTTAGGAACTGCAACATTAAAAGATAAGTTTACTATTAAGCAATCAGATTTAGATCAATCTGGAAATAGCTATCCTCAATTTAAGATGTTCTAGGCCGGGCGCGGTGGCTCACGCCTGTAATCCCAGCACTTTGGGAGATTGAGGTGGGTGGATCACAAGGTCAAGAGTTCAAGACCAGCTTGGCCAGTATGGTGAAACCTCGTCTCTACTAAAAATACAAAAAAAAAATTAGCTGGGCATGGTGGCACATGCCTGTAATCTCAGCTGCTTGGGAGGCCGAGGCAGGAGAATTGCTTGAATCCGGGAGGCAGAGGTTGCAGTGAGCCGAGATTGTGCCACTGCGCTACAGCCTGGGTGACAGAGCGAGATTCCATCTCAAAAAAAAAAAAAAAGGTGTTCTATGAATACGGTTAGTATGGAATAAACACTTGTTAAAATTTTAATTTCACTAATATATCATATGTTAATATTTAAGTCTGGAACTGAGAAATTCACCATTACTCATAGCTGAAGACTTGAAATGTTTGTTGAGACTAAGATGGTATAAAAGCTATGAGTGAGGGCCCTGCTTCCCTCTGCTTCCTTCCTCTACCAAAATATATTCCGGGTCGGGAGGATGGGGTTCAAGAATAGGGAAGAAATAGGTTGGTGATCACAGGAAGAGAATTGGTTGAATGAGTCACAAAAAAGAAGGAGAGATTTATTTACCATAAATAAACCAAAAAGAAAGTGCTTTTTTAAAAAGCATGTGATTATGCTGAGTGTAAGTGCCTGAAACATTACATTGCTAATTCTTGTCCCCCCCATTATGATTATTACTCTGATCATAGCAATTGATCTTGTAAACCTCAAGTCCTTTAATATTTCAACCAGAAACTAAAGATGAGTTGACTTATATCTTTAGTACAAAACTATGTAAATTGAAATAAACACCACAGAAGGACATAAATATCAGTTAAGTTTTGTCTTTGACATCATCTTTTCTTAATGTTGCCACTATACTAACAGCCCATGATATGCATCTTATCTTTGCTGCAAAATCCTAATAAAAACACTTGGGAACTTGGAAGGAAGTAAAACACAAATTACATTAGAGTGAATTAAGAAAAAGAGTTGCATTTTGGTATCCTCCCAAGTGGGGAGATTTATGAGAGCATCACACATGAAGAGAAAGGACTTCTTTTTTGTTTCAACTCCACCATCACTTTCTCCACAGTTTCACTGGACTTCTTACTTTATTTATCACCAAGTTCTATAATTAACATATGGTTCATGTTATTGATTTCTCAGGTTTCAAAGTAAAATAAATTGAGCTTTCTTCCACATTTAGAATATACAGTTTTTTTAAGGAACTCTAAACAAAGGCACACATTATTTGTAAGTTGGAGAGCAGCTGCCAGAAAACAGAAAATTAGGAATGGAGTCATGAGTGAAATAATGGAGATACTGTTCAGAGGTAACCCTTTGTACAGCAGGAAATTTTCCTTAGAAAAGAAGACAGCTGAGTTTGCTTGTAAATTTTGCTAGAAACAGGCCTGATTTAGTAACATTTAGTGCTGGTTAGGAGGCTGAAGACAACACTTTCAGCTTTGGATACCAAACGAGTGGCCTGTTTTATATTTTGTACACAGTCTAAATACTTTATAGTTTCAAAAGATATGTGTGTAGGAGAGAGCTATTATTAATTTTTTAAATGATATAATAATATGTAAACAAATATTTTTCAGATCTGGTAGTAGAGTTTTCTAAGTGCGAAACAGTAGAAAATATCGCAAAGGAAATGATTCATGCATTAGACTATAAAAATTTTAGACTGAAAATATTATAAATAAAACTAAAAAGCAAATGATAAAATATTTGCAAAAACTATGGCAAAGGTTTAATATCCTTAATATATAAAAAGCTCTTACAAACCACTAAGAAAAAGGAGATTACCCAGTTTAGATATGGATAAGAACATGAACAAATTTGCAAAGATGTACATATATACAGAACGCTGGTAGACATGGGAAATGCTCAACCTCCCAAATAATTAGAGAAATGAACAATAAAAAAATGTACCATAGGGGATGATTAAATACATTATGAAAATTTATCTAGCAAAATGAATACATCTCATAGGATGATTTTTCAAAAAATCTCATATTGTTGAAGAATAATTGCCTAAAGAAATACATATATACAATATGATCCCATTTTGGGAATGTATTTCAAATACATATATTAAAAAACTAGCATGAAATTATTAACAGTATATATCTCTGTCAGGGTATTATGGGTTCCTTATAATTTATTGTTTACAATGGGTTAGTGCCATACAACATTAAAACCCTTTGACATTCCCAATAATTGACTGGTTTTGCCCTACAAAAATGACAGTTTCATATAATTCAACCCAATATTTTTATAATCCAACAAAAGGCTGTTTTAGCATACATCTTATTGGGGAATGCCCTCTATTACAGAAAAGTTGAAGTTCTCACATCTGAATCTTTATAGCCCAACATAAGAATTAACAACATAGTGTCACTTCCTTTGCTCTTAGGCAACACAAAGGGACAGGTTTTGTAAAATAATCAGTGTGTATACATTAAAAACATTCAGTACATGTTTACTGATGATGATGATATTGATAAAATAGCAAACATTGAAGGACTAGGAAAAATGATATGATAAGTTTTCTAATGAGATTTATTGACACCATTGTTATCTCCTTTAGTCTTACAAACATTTTACCATTAAATAGTATAATTGGGCTATGGAGAAATTTCACTTGATTGTAAATGGAAGCAATTGCTGATGAGAGTAAATTTTTAAATTAATGTCTGTGTACAGAATACAGTAAAGTTGCAAGCCTATTTTTACTACAATGACAGTTACTGATACAGGGATTTCTGTAACAATCTCTAGGCTTTCAATACTTTTAAAATCCTGGATTAGCAGGTACAGGGAGATTGTCCGTGAATAGATAAGATATTATGAATGCTGAATTGGTTTAATGAAGCAGTGTTAGATGTCTTTCCATTTTCAGTTTTTCTTGAAGCAAAATATTTAATTTGAGACTTGAAGTGCTAACAGCAATCTTCATTGTATGTGCATGGCCATACAGCAACATGTTTGTATATAACTCCACTGTCCACTCAAGGACAATATACATTTCTTTCAAATTAAATGGGATAAAAGGGGAAAGTGATGCCAAACAAAGGGAATTTGTGTGTATGGTTTTTTTTTAAGCTTTCTTTTTTCTTTTTTTTTTTTTTTTTTTGCCTTAAAGTCTGTTGTTCCATCCTACTGTGGCCTTTTGAAAGTATGAAGGTGAAAATAGACCAGTATGGATAACAGTAAATGAAAACTGCTGAGGACACATCACTTGCAGAAAGATAAATACCCATAGTTTTGGTAATGCCCCTGTTGGATTTAGAAAACTGGCCCCACCACACACATTTTTTAAAAAAAATAACTTTTATCCCAGACCAAATCATTTCTATAGTAGCTAAAATTGGTGTGTTCCAGACTCGTCCTGTGAGCCTATATGCCATCAAAGCAGATACACTTAAGGTGGAGGCAGCAAGCCCTGATGCTAATCTGAAACACAGGTTAAAGGAGAGTCCTATTTCACTAAGACAGAAACCACTAAGCTTTTTTGCCTCCAGCCAAAATAACAAAGTCCTAGCCTTTGGTGATTGATGAGCATGTTGCCAGGGGAAATGGACTGGAAAATCATCGCCTTGTCTTTTACTTGCCACAGGAAAGCCATAACAGAGATCTCTATTCTTCTTGTTCTGATAAGAGACCTAAGGAAGCATGAAGAAGGGCTAAGAAGCCTGGGTGTGTGTTATATTCAGCTGCTTGCTGGATTGCCTTTTAAAATACAATTTGTAGTTCCCTAACTCACAAATAGAACATGGATAGTTGGCTAGCCTTTGACAAGCCATGCAGCTTTTTAACCACAGCTTCAGCAAAGTTTTGGGGTATAAAATCAGTGTACCAAAATCGTTAGCATTCCTATACACCACCAACAGACAAGCCAAGAGCCAAATCAGGAAGGCCAGATCCCATTCACAATTGCCACAAAAAGAACAAAATACCTAGGAATACAGCTAACCAGGGAGGTGAAAAATCTCTGCAATGAAAATTACAAAACACTGCTCAAAGAAATCAGAGATGACACAAACAAATGGAAAAACATCCCATGCTCATGGATAGGAAGAATTGATATCATTAAAATGGACATACTGCCCAAGACAATTTACAGAATCAATGCTGTTCCTATTAAACTACCAAAGACATTCTTCACAGAACTAGGAGAAAAACTATTTTCAAATTCATATGGAATCAAAACAGAGCCTGAATAGCCAAGGCAATCCTAAGCAAAAAGAACAAAGCTGGAGGCATCATGCTACCGAACTTCAAATGATACTACAGGGCTGCAGTAACCAAAGCAGCACGGTACTGGTACAAAAACAGACACATAGACCAATGGAACAGAATAGAGAGCCCAGAAATGAGGCCACACACATATGACCATCTGCCCTTCCACAAACCTGACAAAAACAAGCAATGGGGAAAAGATTCTCTATTCAGTAAAGGGTGCTGGAATAACTGGCTAGCCATATGCAGAAGATTGAAACTATACCCCTTCTTTACATCATATACAAAAATCAACTCAAGAGGGATTAAAGACTTACATGTAAAACCCAAAACTATAAAAACCCTGGAAGACAGCCTAGGCAATACCATCCTTGACATAGGAATGGGCAAAGATTTCATGTCAAAGACACCAAAAGCAAAAATTGACAAGTGAGCTCTAATTAAGTTTATGAGCTCTGCACAGCAAAAGAAACTATCACAGAGTAAACAGACAACACCCTACAGATTGGGAGAAAATATTTGCAAACTGTGCATCTGACAAAGGTATAATATCCAGCATCTGTAAGGAAATTAAACAAATTTACAAGATAAAAAAATTAAAAAGTGGGCAAAGGATATGAACAGACACTTCTCAAAAGATGATATACATGTGGTCAACAAGCATATTTAAAAAAAGCTTAATATCACTGATCATTAGAGAAATGCAGACCAAACCCACAATGAGTTACCATCTCACACCAGTCAGAATGGCTATTATTAAAAAGTCACAAAATAGCAGATGCTGGCAAGGTTGTAGAGAAAAGGGAACACTATACACTGTTGGTGGGAGTGTAAATTAGTTCAACCATTGTGGAAATCAGTGTGGCGGTTCCTCAAAGAGCTAAAAGCAGAACTACCATTCGACCCAGCAATCCCTTTACTGGGTGTATACCCAGAGGAATAATGAATCATTCTACCATAAAGACACATGCATGTGAATGTTCATTGCAGCACTATTCATAATAACAAAGACATGGAATCAACGTAAATGCCCATCAGTGACAGACTGGATAAAGAAAATGTGGTACATATACACCATGGAATACTATGCAGCCATAAAAATGAACAAGATCATGTATTTTGCAGGAACATGGATAGAACTGGAGGCCATTATCCTTAGCAAACTGATGAAGGAACAGAAAACCAAATACTGCATGTCCTCACTTGTAAGTGGGAGCTAAATGATGAGAACTTATGAACACAAAGAAGGGAACAACAGACACTGGAGTCTACTTGAGGGTGGAAGGTAGGAGAAGGGAGAGGAGCAGAAAAGATAACTGTTCAGTACTGGGCTTAATACCTTGGTGATGAAATAATCTGTACAACAGACTCCTGTGACACAAGTTTACCTATATAAAAAATCTTCACATGTACCCCCAAACCTAAAATAAAAGTTAAAAATCAATATTACAGTACTTTGTTATCAGAAAGCACAGATCCTTAAAGACTATATTGGCAGTGAACTTTTTTAAAAGGCTCGGGTTGCATTATATAGTATATTTTGGAAATGTATTTGTTTAAGAGATTAGCATTTCCAATTCCATGACTTCTTCCTTTGTGTTTTTTTCCAGGCCTGTGTTTCAGTTCTGGGTTAGAAACATTTTAAACCTTTCCTAAATTCAGTAGCTCTCTCACAAATTATATTTAGAAAAGAAAAGCCCCACCAAAGTTATTCCCAGATCCCTTATCCAGTGGAGGTGGGTATGCATACTCCGTTTCTTCCCCCTCTGGTCTTGCGCTTCTTGCCCAATTGAAATGGAGAATTTTGTTAATCCCATTTGTTATTGGAAAGATAGATTGCCTGTCCCTTTAACAGGATGGCCAAAGAATGACAATCCTGAGCCCACCACTCTAATGTTGCATTGGAAGAGTTCCCCTGGAAGTAGAAGCATACATCTTCCTTCTATTAATACCAACAGTGAACCTGATACAACTCTTTAAGTTATTGCAGTCTCTTCTCTTTTATTCTCCAACAAATGAGAGCCCTGTCTAACCTAGATCTAAACCTACATTGTTCATTGACTGAATTCCCTGGCTTCTGTGAGGGTTCCTTATTTTCCCAGAAACTGGGTAAAGCCGATTCACATCAACTGGTTAAAACTTTGAATAGAAGAAAAAGTGAATTAAATAGATTCTTGTTTTTATGAGCTTC
The DNA here is from genome assembly GCF_000001405.40 of Homo sapiens. NCBI lineage: Eukaryota > Metazoa > Chordata > Mammalia > Primates > Hominidae > Homo > Homo sapiens. The sequence goes on along the minus strand of NC_000007.14, from coordinate 92,756,400 downwards.
TCCACTACTTCAGAGCAGCAAAATTTCACTACATGCCATGCCCAGCCACAAAATTGAGGAGCCTGTTTGTTGTGCCTTTTTGAAATGGCCTTAGGGCTTCCCAAATTTGTTGTAAAAATCTTACCAATGTAATTTTCCCATTACACCTTTCCCCCTTTTCTCCTTAAACTTGACTTTTGAGTTGTACACAAGATCATAGTTAGGTGAGTTTTTTGCTGGGTCTTTTTTTCTTTTTTTTTTTACAATTTTACATGCCTCTATTCACTCATCTGTGCCTAAATCAGCAGGGCCTAATCTATAACAGAGCCACCTTTTTAAGTGACCGCCAGCTGAGTTTGATCCCTTATTATATTAAAGGGAGAAAGTGGACTTTGCCAAGGTTGGGGCAGATTCTCCAACCTTGCAAAACGTTGTGGGCAATTAATGGGCTTGAACATGAGGTTCTTTTGTGTGTGTGTTTGTATGTGCACTTGTATGTGCAAGAAAGAGTGAAAGAGATACCCATGCATAGAATTTTTAAACCGGGCAGCTCTGTGGTAGTTAGCTAGAGGCAAGAGATACCCTGTTGGCTCCCAGACCTTCCTGGAAGCTGACTGTTGGAAAAGACTCCTTGGAGATAAATCTCATGTGGTTCCCTTTTGCCTGAATGGTATCCGCACCCCAACTTATACCTTAGGAGGCTTTGGAAGAGGAATACTTTTTATATCTAATGCACTTTGGAGATTGGAGTCCTGCAGCAATTTGCCACTCAGGAAAATAAACTAGCATATTAACTCCCAGCAAATGCCACCTCCTTGGTTTGAAGCGGTTTGTAAAGCATTTTCTTCCTGGTTTGTGCGCACCACATTGTTTCAGCTCCTCTCATCACTGACCAGCTGGCTTGTTGGTGAATAGAGCTGTGGGCCCCTCGCCATGTTTCATGTGAGGTCTTGGCTGGGTGGCAAACAGGCAGCCTGTAGCCAGTGTCAGCAATTCAGGAGGAATTGGCACAGCAGTGTCCCCATTAATTTCTGCTTGTCACATACTGTCATGCAAGTTACACCAGAGAGGAAATGACCGTTAAAAAAAAAAGGTACCCTTGTGGCACTGGGTCCCCTCCAGACGTTCCCCGAGGTTAAACAAGTGGATACAATTAGCCCTACACAGACAGCTGCGGGGAAAGGAAAGCCTAGAAGTGGGCCCCACAGCAATGTGTCTTTCCTGTTAGCAAGGAGTGTCGGCTATCAACATCTGCCATATTTTAACCCTTCAAAGGGACCAGTAAATTAAGGGGAGCTATTATCCCACGCTCTGCTGATCATTATCAATCATAATGCCTTGGGAAATTACCACAGTGCTGCTGCCTTGGTGGCAGGTTTTGTCCTTTGGGGGATCGTTTTTATGTTTTTGCTGAGAGCAGAGAAGAGTGGTAGGGCCAAGAGGGTGAAAGGAAATGGACTCTGTTAATTGTTGGTAATTTACTGCCACAGGGAAGGGGACTAGAGCGGCAATAAACTCCTCCTCAGCTCAAACTGAAGTAGTTAAAATTGGTGGGCTCCAGACGGCTTCCATTTCCAGAAAGATCCATCTTGCTGACTGTCAACCCTTCTTTACCACAAGCTATGGTGACTTTTAGGGAGCACAAACAAGAAGAGACTTTGGGAAATGAGAACCAGTTATAGAGGAGAAAGGCAATCCAAGATGAGAAAAGAAACTCTAAAATACAGGCTTCCAAAAACTGTTGTTTTATTTTTTAAAGATTGAATTAAGCTGCTGTTATCCAAATAGAGTCCTGACTAACCTTTATAAGCACATACTGTGCTTTGGAGTGGCTTTGTCTAGTGAAATTCTGATTACCAGCACAGAGGGATGGGTGACTGAGATGGTCCTGTGTGAAATTATGTTTGTTCCAACTTACTCAATTGAACTAATCATTAAAACTGTTTACAGAAAGAATGGGGGAAAAGAATGGTTTCTTACCATGTTTTAACTTCAACAGGTTTTGCGTTCATTTATGTAGACCTGGAACTTTCTCCTCTGAAAAGAGACCATTTTGCTTTGGGGGCATAAAAATGACAGGAGTTCTGAAAATGATCAATACTAATGAGTACAGGAAAATGAGCTGATGTTCATCTAAATGATTGCACCAAAGACAATGCAGTGCAGGGAATAATCATCTTCTGATTTTACTGAGATGCTTCCTGAATGTTACTGAGGAAGATGCTGGCACCATTTAAAATATTTAAGTGAGGGATAGAAGCAACCATTAGGATAATTGAGTGGAAGTAACAGTGTTACTGTGTTTATTGAGACTTCATCTCTTCCTGTGTGGAAGAAGTGACAGGATCACCAAGCAGAGCCTGGAGAGATTGTCAGTGATGAATGTTAGGGCTGTTCCCATCCTATGACATTATCTAGTCTGAGACCCTCATTGTATATGTTAGAAAACAGAAATCAGAGGTTAGGGACTTGTCTATGATCTCACAATGAAGCAGAGGTGGAACACAAGGTTTCCATTCCCAGGTGAACTGTTTATATCATTCCATGAGCTGACTCAGCACAGGAGTTATGACCAATACTAGCAGCAACAAAGGGGTCCTCCTACCTCATTGAAAGCAGGGAGTAGGAATGAACCACAAATCTGAGGTAGAAACGGCTTTCTTCAATACTTCTGCCATGATGTCAGGCAGGAAACTTGAGGCACCAGTTTTAGTTGGCCCTCTTAGAGCAAGAGATGCCAATTTCAAAAGGTAGTCTTCTTACTAGCTGGGCGTGGTGGTGTGCACCTGTAATCCCAGCTACTCGGGAGGCTGAGGCAGGAGAATCGCTTGAACCCAGGAGGCAGAGGTTGCAGTGAGCCGAGGTTGCACCACTGCACTCCAGCCTGGGCGACAGAGCAAGACTCCGTCTCAAAAATAAATAAATAAATAAGATAATCTTCTTATGCAATTTTAAGTATATCTAAAAATTGAGAAATAAAAGTATTTCTCAAAATAATGTGTAGATTCTGAGAAATTTGCCTCATTCGGTATTTATAATTTTTCAAATGTTAGATCACAAAGGAAAATCAGTAAGGTACACATAAATGCGAGCCCTCATGAGTATGGGCTCAATCACTAATTATGGGATCTCTGGTCTTACAGATGGGTAGACTGTAAATGATTTTTCATCTACTCTTGTTGCTGATCTCTGATTTTAGGGGATCATCAGTAATTGAATTCTATTTGAGATTAAATCCACTTCTGAACATCAGGTTGTGACATTTATTAAGTTATTAAATCATATGCTTCAGTATTCACAGGTGAAGCATATAATTTAATAACTTAATAAGGTCACAATTTGATGTTCAGAAGTAGATTTAATCACCATAAAGTAGGTTGTTTCTTTGGTTAAATATGAAAATATAGAGAAAGTAAATAAATTAGGCTTGCTTCATGTTTAAAAAGCATTATTATTTCAGAATTGTTTCTTTGGCCTAATTTCAGGATCTGTCGTATAATGTCAGGCTTCAGTTGAAGCAGTTACCTGAAGATTGTGTAGACTCTAGAGGAATACCAGAGGATTGGAAATAGGAATAGCAGAGAAAATACCAATTTAGTGAACAATGATGAGCCAATTAGACAAAAAAAACATTGGCTTGAACTTCATGGGAAGGCACCGAATCATTACTAACTCCTGTGGTATTCAGAATAATAACATCAATCATGATGAACTGCTTTGGTAGTCATATGTCTGTATGTAATTCCATAAAAATTCTCTTAGTTTTGGCATTAATTAATAGTGACTGTATTTTATAAAATGGCGTATTTCATTGAAAACACTTACGTTTAAACATGTCATCTAAGAACTTGAAAATCTTTCCTAACATGCATTAAAATGATAATTACTGAGTTCTCATGGGAAAAAGTAGTTTCTCATTTTAGGTCCCAAAGTTTCAACAGCATTTGGTATAGCATTTCATTTCACTTGTGGTCCTAATGACTCACTGCATTCTTTTCACCAGAACTTATCCCCTGTTTACTCTCAGAGTTCTGTCTCATGTAGACACAAGCCTAGTAGTGAATCAATAACATGACTATTTTCATGAACAGTGGAATAGTTCAACCTCTGCAATGCCATTGGAAGACATTGTCTAGTCTGCAAGTTTAAGGAAATTTAACATTTCCTATACCTTTATATCTTGATTGGGTTTGGCTTTTTTTTAAAGATTAAACTCTGAGGGAAACTTCTCAAAGCTGAGCCTAGGACATTCTCATGCAGTTGGGAAGCAGCACTGTCCTTATTTTACAGATGGAGGCAGCTGGCATAAATAGCTACTTAATGATTTGCCCAAGTTCACACAAGTATAGAGCCAGGAGCTAGATTTGTGACTCTTGCACAACCCATTAGACTGTTTTCATTTCATCTAAGTCACCATAGTAGAATTAAATATAATTTTTATATCTTTGTCAGTGCTCTTTAATGAGTTAACTCCTACTTAACATAAATGTTTTAGCATTTCCGTGCCCTCTGGGCCATTAAGGTAATTTATTTTTATAATTTTAATTATTATAATCCTCTTAAGTGTATAAAATAAATTCAGAAATGAAATGAAGACATATATTTAATTGTATTATTATTAAACCACATGGTATAAATGATAGGATTCAGAAATAAAAGTTTTTCATTAGATTTTGGCCATTCATAAAATATATTGTTGTTTGCTTAACATCCCTAAAATTATTTTCAGAGTTAAGGAGAATATACTCTTATCACTGCATATTTACTTTACAACCATTGAGGAATACATACTGTGTGCTTTACAAAGATACAGCCTAATTTATTTGCAAAAAGTTAATAAAACTGCGTATGTGATAACAGTTTTTATGCTGTTTCCTCACAGATCTCTGTTAATTGTTACCTGTTTATGGTTACTTTTGCTGTATTGTTATCATTGAATTAGGATAGTCTCCAGTTAAATTATCTTCTCTCCAATGAAAAAATCCTGCTTAAAAAAAATCTGAGGGTATGATGTACAACTTTTACACATGATACATGAACTTTAACACAATTGTGAATTAGAGCCCAACTTAGTTCAAGACAAAATGTATCTCGAACACTTCTTTTCTTCTTAAAATATCAGCAATAATCTAGTATCCAAAGTAGGAGATTCATCATCACCTTAAGACTTCTTAGCAGTTTTTCTTGTGTGACAAAATATTTTACACCTTTATTTGAGAACAAAGGAAGATTATGAGAGACCACTAGAAATGGAATTTTAGCATTTCGAAGGAATTTTTATATGACGTTGTTCCTCTTGGCAATTCAGAAAGCACTCCAGGAATTTGTCTAGTTAGTGTTTTGTATATATTAGAATCTGTGTCTATTTCCTTTGTAAAAAAATACGAAGACCTCCCAAGTCATAACTTTTATTATCAATTCTTGTAATGATCAAATATGACGTCTGTACAGGAAATAAATCGTGTAGTAGTTTAGCTGGTAATCCATGTTCTGCCTCAAAACCTAGGAATGAATGGCTTATTAGCTGTTGAAAACTCTGTCATTAAGTATCATTAAATCCTTTTTTTAAAAACTTCCTTTATGCCAGGTAAATTTTTATATTGCGAAAACTGAATTAAGCCAAAGAAAGGCTTGCAAAAACCAATTCAGATCACACTGTGACTATAACAAGACATTTTCAAAACCAGCATTCCAGTTGTTCTGTCAGGTCATTCCATCAGGTCTCAAAAGGTGACTAGGATGCTGAAAAAGGTTTGCCTTCCACATTGTGACGTAAATTCATTTATTTGTGTTACTTTTGTTTAGAAATGGCTTGTTACAATAAGGTTTTATCACTGTGACTCATAGATCATGTAAAGTCAGCCCATTCCCGTTTTACTCTTTCTTGTAATTTTCAAAATATGGCGTAGTGGCAACCCAAATTGAAATCTTGAGAAGCTGGCAAGGTTGATCAAAGTGGAATCCACAAATTAGGATTGTAACCAAAACTGGAGGAATCATTTTTAACCTACTCAGGAGGCCATTTTAGAGTCCTGAAGGTATCACTTATACACAAATCAGTGAAATTATAACATTTTTAGAGTTGGAAAATTCCTTGGAATATATGTAGCCCAGCCTCTCCCCACTTTATGTTTAAGGAAGTGGGTCCCGAAGAGGGTGGTGAGTTGCCCAAAGTCATGCAGTTAGTACTGTGCTAGGACTGTAACCAAGTTCCTATTATTCTAGTTCGGTGGACTTTCCAAAAGCCATATAAATGTGTTTTTCTCACTCATGTAGAATTATTTCCTAGAATAAAGACCTATATTTAAAACATCTTATTACTGGTTTGAATGTGTTACTATACTTGCTTGTACATTGCTCTAAAAACAATGTTAGTTTGAACTTTGCCCTCATTTGACTGACCTACCCCAGAATCAGTAATGCTCTCTTCACTAGAACTTTCATTCTTAACATTTTATTCTCCTCAACTAGAGCCTCATTCCAAGTACAGTATATATTTTTTCTCCATGAAGAATTGTAATCATTTATGTCTCTGCATTTCATTTCAGTAGTGCTCACTATGCACTATCAAAGTTATTATCCTATTTCCCTGGTAATCACTTGCGTATTTGTCAAATAAGGGTGTATGTTGAATAAACATGTGGCTTTTATTCAATTTGGTAAACATTTATTGCATACCCTCACAGGACTAAAGAAGGCTACAAATCAGTACAGCAGAATGCCTTCAAAAACTTACAGGACACACCCACCAAGTGCTGCAGAGCAGTCAGAAGTTCCCTATGAGATATAAGTGGAAAAGAGGTTCAGAGGATCAAAAATGTACATGTGATTATAGGAATGAGAATTTGATATGAATACCCTGAAGAATTTCAGGTTTGGTTTTGGACATTGGCATCTGTTTTTTCTCAGTTGATCTTTTGTTTGTTTGGTTTTGGTTTTTGGTTTGTTTTTGTTTTTGTCAGACAGAGACATTTCCATTACTCAGGCTAGAATGCAATGGTGAGATCATAGCTCACTGCAGCCTTGAACTCCTGGGCTGAAGCAATCCTCCCAAGTAGCTGAAACTACAGGTGCACACTACCACACCAAGCTAACTTTTTAATTTTTTTTGTAGAGACAGGGTCTCGCTATGTTGCCCAGGCTAATTTCAAACTCCTGGGCCTAGGCAATTCTCCTGGCTCAGCCTCCCAAAGTGCTGGGATTTCTTTTTTTTTTTTTTTTTTTAGGCAGAGTCTCCCTCTGTTACCCAGGCTGTAGTGCAGTGGTGTGATCTCAGCTCACCACAACCTCCGCCTCCCAGGTTCAAGCAATTCTCCTGCCTCAGCCCCCCGAGTAGCTGGGATTACAGGCATGCGCCACCACGCCTGGCTAAGTTTTGTATTTTTAGTAGAGATGGTGTTTCACCATGTTGGTCAGGCTAGTCTCAAACTCCTGACCTTGTGATATGCCCACCTCGGCCTCCCACATGCTGGGATTACAGGTGTGAGCCATCGCGCCCAGCCGTGTTGGGATTTCAGGCATGTGCCACCACCCCTGGCTCACTTGATCTTAAGTTGCAAAATCACATTCATTAATTCTATAGGTGTGGATGGGGAATGGGAGTGGGATATGAGTAGTCATATATTTGCCTTCCATGGGGCCTCAGGAAGCAGTGCCTCAACTAGATTTAAGGAAGTACTGTAGTACTGAGAGGTCTTAAGGCCAAAAGACACCATCTGCTTATTTCATTTTATTTATTCTATGTTATGAAAGAGAGTCCCTAGCAACAAGACACCTGGTTACTAGCCATGTGACTTGAGCAAGTCACTTGACTTTTCTGAGCCCTAGTTTTCTTATCCATAAAACAAGGATTAAAATATGCAAGTCAAATGAGTTAAAATGTAGAAAGTATTTTGTAGACAGTTCAGCATTCTATGATATAAAGGATGGAGATTCTTCTCTTGTGTATTTTCTAGTTACGTCCATGTGCTTTTCAACTGATCATAGAACTATACCAAGGGTCTGACCAGTAATAATACTGGCATATCAAAATTGCCTAAAGTGATGTCAGCTAGATTTTGCATGGAGCCTTTAATGGCCCGCCAAAATGACTTGATCTACTTGGTGTCCCTAAAGGCCTTTCTTCCTTCTGGTTTGAGCGTTTGTTGACTATAAAATGCCTTTTTTGCATTTCCTGCTCCTTCTTGCTGATGATATAATAGTTGCTTCTTGAAATACTATTGAAAATCTTCAGATTCTCTGGAAAGCCATATTCTGTAACCTGTTATCTGTAAAAGTTCTGAGTATAGAACATGCAGTATGCCATTAGAACACACAATAAGTTTAGAGATTTAATTTTAAGAATTTTCCATTGTGTATTGAAACACTTAAAAAGTAAAAGCCCTGGGAATAATATAGTATATTACCATCTGCGCATTTTCCCTCAATTCTTTCCTGATGGTAGCTGATGAAATTGAAATGGTAATTTTTAGAATGTTCTAATATTTGATGTATTTAAAATACATCACCTTTTATTGGCCTGCTTTATATGGGAACAAGAAAGCCTACCTAGCAAAGAAATACAACCTAGTTTTATATCTTATTTATTCTGTAAGTCCTTGTGCAGCAGCATGTTAATGTGGACACACAGCTTGTAGATAATTTAAAATCTAGAAAGGGAGAATGAGATACATAGAGAAATAGCCACCACATAAGGCAGTTTATGACGAATACAGTGTGTTACAAATGACAAAAGCCACAGGAATTCAGAAGAGGGAAAAATAAGGACTGGCTTCCTAAAGAAAGTGGCAATTTTTTTAGAATATTGAAGCTGTTACTCTGAGGCATGAGTGACACAAGCCAGCAGAAGCCAGAGATTTGAAGTCTTGCTCAAGATTTGCTGGTTTCCACTTGGGGAAAGACACCATTAGGCTGGGTACATCTGGAGAGATGAGTGCAAGAAGCCAGTTAAGCAGGAGAGAAGTGGACTTGATTGTGGAGGCACTGTGTTTCAAACTCAAATTAGGCAGCTCTTGGGTGGGTGGCTGATACCATTGTTGTGTTTTCAGCTGATTAATCTGGTAGCAGTGTGCTCGTTTAGGAGAAATTACAACAGGAGATCAGTCAAAGAGAATGGTCCTCTGGTTTGGGAATGAAATAATCAGGGCCTGTACCTGGAGTGGGGCAATGATGATTAATTGGAAGGAAATGAGAAATTGAGAAGACTTGACAGGACTTGGTTACTCATTGTCCGGAGTAAAGGAAAAGCAGAAATAGGTAAGTTAATTATCAGTTTGGGGAAGGTGATTATATAGTTTAGTCTTGTTGAATTTGGCCTGGAATAGGAAGGTATATCTCAGGGCACTGCAATAACTTGTGGCTGCAACTTCTGAGCCCCATGTAACCTTTGAGGAGTCATGGAATCTAGGAGAGGTGCCACAATACTAGAAGTGAGAAATATTCTGTGTTTTTTTAAAGATAGGAAAAAGATAGATTCTACAAAATACAATCCAGCAAAATTGATACTGATTTTAGGTTATTAAAATAATAAGTTGTGAGCATATAGAAAAATAACTGGTTAAGAAGTATGAAAAAATGCCCAAATCTCACTACAATAAGAGAAATGAAAAGTAAAATGATAGTAAATATTTCCCCCATCATATTGAGGCAAGCAAAAAAAATAAAAAGTTTTATAATGTCAGGTGTTGGTGAGACTGTTAAGAAATGGATAGTCTCGTACACCAACTGTTGGGATTATAAATTGGAACAGATTGAGTATCTCTTATCTGAAATGCTTAGGACCAGAACTGTGTTTTGGATTTTGTATTTTTTCAGATTTTGGAATATTTGTGTATATATAATGAGACATCTTTGGGATAGGTCCCAAGTCTAAACACAAAATTATTTTTCATTTATGCTTTATACACATAGCCTGAAGGTAATTTTATACAATATTTATACTTCTGTGCATGAAACAAAGTTTGTGTTAAGTACTTAAACGTGGAATTTTCCACTTGTGACATCATGTTGGCATTCAAGAGGTTTTAGATTTTGGAGCATTTTGGATTTTGGATTTTCAGATTAGGGATGCTTTGCCTTTAAAGCATTTTGGAGGTAATCTGGAAGTATCTTTTAATATTAAAAATACATATGTTCAGCGACTGAGACTTCTCACTTCTCAGAGAAATCCTGGTACAAGGGCAAAAGGAGGCATGAATAAGAAAATTTGCTGTAGCATTAATTATAATGGAAAAAATGGAAATAATCTAAGTTCATTAGTAGAGGGATGGCTGAATAGACTGCTATGTATAGAATACTATGTGACAATTAAAAAGAATGACATAGACCTATAAGAAATTATCTTTAAGGCACAGTGTTGAGTTGGGGGAAAGCCATTTTTTGGACTGTAGGTACGGTCTGGTTGGTTCCATTTATCTGAAGTACATGTATATCTCATATAATTCACAGAACCAAACCTGGAAGAATATACAACAAACTGATAATAGGGACTACCTCTTTGGAAGAGACTAAGATTAGGGTAGGTGATAAGTTTGCCAGATTTAGCAAATAAAAATAGTGCTTAGTTAAATTTTCATTCTTTTGCTGTATATTCAGTGTTTATTGGATGGCTGGATTGATAAATATAGTATGAAGCAGATTTGGGGCCCAAAGTGAAAAAGCAGCAGACTTATCAGCAACACAGGTTCCTGGAAATAGCGGCTACATTTAAAATTTTTTCATGGAAAGTTATTTTCAAACTCAAATACTCTACCCTCAACCTTATCTAATTTAATCTTTATCATATCCTGTGAAGATAAATATTATTTTATTAAAGAGGTTCAAAGAGCGAAGTACCACATTTGATCAGTTCTAAGATGCCCATTTTTTCACAAATGGGCCTTTGAAAACAGAACACATTTTGAAGTCACTGTTCGCAGGCATCAGTCCTGATCCAGTGGTGATTGCCTGCCCACGTGCCTGAAACTTGCAGAGTTACTCAATGGCAGGCATGAAAATCCTCGAGGTCATAGTAGAGTTCTACTGCTCTGTCATCAGTGCCCTTCATGGGACAGAAGACAAAATTGTGTGGAAAACACAGACATCTAACAACTCTGAGTAGAAAAGGATGTGAAAGAGCAGGACTCTGAATGTGAAGAAATTCTTGGAATACCTTCATCAAATTATTTCATTTCAAATTTAATTTTTAATGTATGTTCAAGAATGATAGATAAAATCCAAATGTGAAGAAGTCTGCAAGAGCCCTTTTAATGGGCATAATTAAAACTTCTGAATGATAAGAAATTGTGTCATGTCAGTTTGACAGTCATTTGTCTTTTTTAGTAGTACATTAAGATTTAGATTCGATAAAATGGACATGTTAATTAGCTTGATTTAATCATTCCACAATTTATACATTTATCAAAACATCACATTGCACCTCATGAATATATATATAGTTATTATTTGTCAATTAAAAATAAAATACACAAAATTACCCAAGGTCGCCCAGCGAGAAAGGTAAGAGTTAGGACCATAAAGCCTATACCTTGAGTCTCTTGCAGTGTACTATAGAGTGAAAGGAAGATGACTATACACTTTTTGTCTTACTTACAAACTTTCCACTCTTCGTGTTTCAAGAAATTGAGAACTGTCCAGGGAGTTGGCAGTGATAAAAATGTTACATATTTAACATTACTTGGAGAAATTTGGATTCTTCCAAATGCTGTAAAATAATAATGTGTACATTCATATAATAGTTTTACTTTTCAAAGCAGTTACACACATGCATATTACCTGATTAATAGTGTATGAGACAAACATAGTATCCTCCCATTTACCAATGAGTAAACTGATGTAAATGGAAATTAGGTAAAGTACTACTAAGAAGCAGCAACAGATCCCAAAGGAAAACTGAGGTCTCTGTTATGGTTTGGCTGTGTCCCCACCCAAATCTCACCTTGAATTGTAGCTCCTATAATTCCCATGTGTTGTGAGAAAGACCCGTTGGGAGTTAAGTGAATCATGGGGGCAGTTTCCCTCATACTGTTCTAGTGGTAATGAGTAAGTCTCACGAGATCTGATGATTTTATAAGGGGAAGCCCATTTTGCTTGGCTTTCATTATCTCTTCCCTGCTGCCATGTAACATGTGACTTTTCTCCTCCTTTGCCTTCCGCCATGATTGTGAGGCCTCCCCAGCCATGTGGAGCTGTGAGTCCATTAAACCTCTTACTCTTTGTAAGTTACCCAGTCTCTGATACGTCTTTATTAGCAGTGTGAGAACAGACTAATACAGTCTCTGTGCCAGTCCATGAAACATCTAATGATTAGCCTGCCAGGGAGGTCCTGAATAGCATACCTGTACTGAATAACTTCCCAGATTTGGACAAATATTGGAAAGACAATAAATTTTTTTTTTAGTTGCAGAATAAGAGATGTAGAATAAAGTGGGTGCACTAATCTCAAGCATACAGTTTGATGATGTTTTACTAGTGTAACCATCCAGATCAAGATACAGAACATTCCAGTCTTCCTTATGCCTTCCCCAGTCTATAACTCCCTCCCCCAGATGTAATCACTACACTGACTTATTTCATATAAAAAGTATGTGCTTTTTGTGTATAGCTTCTTTTACTGAGCATCTTGTCTGTGAGATGAATTTTTGTTCCTCTCTCTGCCAAAATGTTTCCCAAGTGGATAGACCATTTGTGTTTCACCATCAGTGTATGTGACTGCTCTCCATCTTTGTCAACTCTTGATATAGTCAGTTTAAACCATTGTAATGATATCTTATTGTGCTTTTAATTTTCAATTCACTGATGATTAATGAGGTTAACCTTTTTACAAGCTACTGGACTTTGGGTTTCCCCTTTTGTGAAGTGCCTGTTCACATCTTTAACCCATTTTTAAATATTGGATTGTGTGTCTTTTTCTAATTTAGTTGATGGAGTTCTTTCTTTTTTGAGACAGAATTTCGCTCTTGTGTGTCTTTTTCTAATTGAGTTGCTGGAGTTCTTTTTTTATTATTATTTTTATTTATTTTTATTTTATTTATTTATTTTTTTCTTTGAGACAGAATTTCGCTTTTGTCACCCAGGCTGGAGTGCAATGCCATGATCTTGGCTCATGGCAACCTCTGCCTCCCTGGTTCAAGCGATTCTCCTGCCTCAGCCTCTTGAGTAGCTGAGATTACAGGCACCTGCCACCACGCCCAGCTAATTTTTGTATTTTTAGTAGATATGGGGTTTCACCATGTTGGCCAGGCTGGTCTCGAACTCAAAGTAGCAGGAGTTCTTTATATATTGTGAGTATAAGTCCTTTGGCAGATACATGCAGTGCAAAAATCTCCCAGGATGTAGGGATTTGAATGGGATCCTTCCCCTCTCTCTTCACCGAGAAAGGGCAGCAAACTAATGGTCTTATCACTTGGACCTCTCTTCTATCTGAGCACTTAAAAAAATATAGAGAGACAAAATGTTTCCCTACTGCCTTTTAGCCTATTTTAGCAATTCATAATATGGAACACAAACATCCCATACTTGTACATTTTAAGTCTCCAGTAAAATATTTTTAACTGCGAACTCTAAATATGTTACAGATAATGAAGCCTCATAGCTAGGCTTTTAAATATTAAACACTTTCAATTTCCAGCATGCATTTTATCTTCCAAAAAAGTACAAAAGGGGTGTGTGTGTGTGTGTGTATATATATATGTATACATTTTATACATATAAAATTTTAACTGGTAAATTCAGAAAAAAAAGAGTTTACAAACTTTAAAGAAGAAAAACAATTTGTTTAGCCTACCATTGTACTACTTTGTGAATGAAGAGTCTAAGGTTGTGTGTGTATGTATATTTTGGGATGAGTGTAAAAACTGTATTCCTCTTAGATATATAGTTAAAGTACAAAATAAAAACAAACTACATTCAAATATAAGTGTTAAAGAAACACCAGATAGCACTGGTGAGCCTGATACCTCTTGGCAAACCAGCAAGTGTCATGTCTGACACTCTGAGATGACCCCAAAATCTGTGCTAAAAAGTTGCCTGCTTACAGCCTTAGCAGATAAAAACCTTCAGAAAACATTTTTGAAAGGTGCTGTGTGCTGATTCTGACAAACATAACAGAAGAACAGAAGCAGAGATTGGAAATATTCAAGGAAAGAAAGTACAATTTCTATTTCAAAAGAAACTTCTTACTTAGGGTATTTACCTTGGTTATTTTGCCTTTAAACTTTTGATTAAGCTTTTCACTCTCAACCTAAGCAAAGTTCAAGTTGTTCTGAGAGGACATTATTGATTTAGTTTTCATTCTAAAATATTTTAAACAAACTGAGTAAATCTTAAAAACAACCCAGTACTTATTTGTATCATTGTTTGTCTCTAAAATGGTTCATTTTATTGTCTGTCAGCACCACTTCTAGCTTTTACTTTTCCAATAATTTTATGCTTTAAATATTAAAAGCATAAAACTTATTGAGCACCTATTCTTCCCTAGAATCTGTCAGGAAGTGGCAGTTAAGAAAAACAAAACAAAACAAAAAACCCTGAATAACTTGTACTTACTATCTTCGAGTAGCTATAGTCTGTTGAGGACATAAAACAGTGCTGTTTATAATTTAGAAAGTTATGTGCCATTACTTAGAAAACTCTGAAGTACTATGCCGTCTGTTTCTGTGGAATATTTTTTTAATGGTCCTTAGAGGATTTATTTCACAAATTTTACCAGAGACTTACTACATTTTTTTATTTTCTAAAGACTGCTGGCTACTAACTTAAAAAGTAGGGTTGATTAAAAGAAACATTAATATATATGTATAATTTTAACTGGTAAATTCAGGAGAATCCAAAAAGTAAAAATCACCCATAATCCTACCATTTTCAACACCTGACAGAGGTAGCAATCTTTAACTGTAGCTATATCTCTTTCCAAACATTTTTATATATATTCAGACTAAAATTGCCAGATTTAGCAAATAAAATAAGGACATTCAGTTAAACTTGAATTTCGAAGAAACAACAAATGATTTTTTATTTAAATATGTCCCACATATTGCATGGGACACACTTAAACTAAAAAAGTATTTGTTGTTTATCAGAAATGCAAATTTACCTTAGTGTCCTACGTTTTATCTGGCCATCCTAATGCAAACATAGCCACACATACATAAACCTGTACATATATCTCTTGTTTTGTCAGAATAGAATCAAGCTGTATATATCACTCTAAGCCTTACTCCTTTCTCTGTCGATTTATCTAGTTTACATGTCAGAATTACCCATGTTCTTTCTAATTGCTGCTTGATATTATACAGAGAGACACATCATCGTTTATTTAACTATTCCTCTAATTGTGGATATTTTAGCTGTCTTCATTTTTTTACTCTTTCAAGCAAAACAGCACTGAATGTCTTTGTATTGACTCATTGTAAACTTGTTGGTTTTGTAGCCTGAATTCCTAGAAGTTGAATTACAAGGTTGTAGCATATTTTTAAAGCAGCATTGGGTCATTCCTTTCATACTTAGTGCCTGAGGCTGGAGACTTGAGGAGTTGCAGAGGGGCCACGTGTACCTGGGCACGAGGTGAGGAGGAGCTTAGGTTTCTGATGATATGGGCCTTGTGTGTGTTAGGCACCTTTCTGGCTTCTCAAATTCGGTTTCCCGCCTTCACTGTTCGCTCCATGAGACAAGGCATCCTTGTTCTCCAGCCTGCCACACAAGTTGGCTCATGATACAAATGTAGAATGAGTAAATGAATATGAATTTATTCAAGGGGTTGCTGAGAAAAATAAATGAAATAATGTATGCAGAGTACCTGGGAAAAAAATAATGTATGTAAAATGCCTAGGATGCTTCTTTATTTTTCTCATCCCACCCCCATTTCCAGTTACTTTCTTAGCATCAGGAGGCTGTAATCTAGGGAGGGTGACATTACAGTTAGAGTAAAGTGGAATAAGTTCTGTGCCAGAACTATGCTCAGAGCATTGTGAGATTATACGAGGCGGGCACATAACCTGTGCCTGTAAGGAGAATTGCCCAGGATGTGGCCAAAAGTTACTTAAAGTAAGCCTTGAAAGACAAGTTGAAAGGAGCCAGACAGACAAGATGTGTATGTTGGAAGATGTGTGTATATCGGGGGATAGGACAATGGAGCAAGCATTCCAGGAAAAGCAAATAGCATTGCAACAGAACAGAGATATAATAGAGCATGTTACCCTCAGAGCATAGTAACAGGGATGTAGGAACAGCTGGAAATTAATCCAGAGATAGTTAGGAAGCAGACGTTAAAGTGCTTTAGGTAACAATCTAAGTTTTACCTTTGTCTTATAGTGAACAGTGGGGGACTTCTGCATGACTCAGATTTACCTTTTAGGAATATCACTTAGGGCTAGGCATGGTGGCTCACACCTGTAATCCCAGTGCTGTGGGAGGCCAAGACAGAAGAGTTACTTGAGCCCAGGTGTTTAGACCAGCCTGGGCAACATAGCAAGACTCTGTCTCTACAAAAATAAAAATAAAACATTAGCTGAGCATAGTGGCATGTGCCTATAGTCCCAGCTACTCAGGAGGCTGAGGAAGGAGCATTGCTTGTGCCCAGGAGTTTGAAGCTGCAGTGAGCTTCACCACTGCACTCCATCCAGCCTGGGCAACAGAGTGAGATCCTGTCTCAAAAAAATAAATAAATAAATACCACTTAGTGCAGTGGAGAAAAGATTAAAGATGCAAAAATCTAAAGACAGGAGTTCTTTGTGTCGGAACACCATTGTAGTAATCCAGGCAAGAGATACTGACTACTTGGCAAGGGCCATGGAGATGGGAGAGAAGGGCTTATTTGAAAGGTAATGTAGGAACTATAATTACCATGATTTCGTGACTTGTTAGATATGTGTTTGGGAGGAGAGAAAGAATCTAAAATGTCTGTCAGATTTCTGAATTGATCATTTGGGTGGATGGTGGTACCATTATACCAGATAAGAAATACAGATGGAAGGACAGGTTTTGGTGGGAGTAAAGAAACTGTATTATTATTTTGGAACAGATGGAGATTACAGTTACCAGGGACTATTCTAAAAAACATAGCAGGAAGCATGTGTACATTTGCACATGCAGAAGTTTGCACATCTGGAGCTTGGGAGAGCAGCCCCAGCTGCCTTATGACTGGGGATGCCTCAGAATGTGACTAAATGTTGAAGCCACAAATGAATGGGAGATGAGGGGTGGAGGCAGAATTTAAAATTTAAGACAGTCTTGAGAAGTATAATTGCAAAGGTAATTATGGAAACACAAACAAATGGTGAATGTTTTTGGTAGCCATTATAGACAATAGCAAAGGGAGCTTACTAGAGACCCAGAGAAGGCAGTACCGAAAGCCCAGATGAAGTTAGAGACCATGATGTGCAACCACTTCAGACTTGTTATGAACATTTTCTCTCAGCAGTCCTAATTGTAGAGATGTGCAAATTGTTCTGAGATTAGGCCTTAGAGGACCAGTATAAGAAAAAGTGGAAGCCAATTTTTGGTGCCTGGAAAAAGAATAATACCAAAAGCTGACTGGGGGTTTTAGGTGGGCCAGGAAAAGTTTGAAGGCAAGAGGCGCACGTTTAAGAAAACAACTAGTTCAAGACATTTTAGACAGGGGTATCCCTAAATCAGAGTAGCACTGAATACATAAATTGTATTTGCAATGCAAAAACTTGGATACCTGTACTCTATTATGCTGAACACTAAGAGTTTCCCATCTATAGGGATGCCCATGTTTCCCTGGGCAATTCCTATTGTAATACCAATTTTTTTTTTTTTTTTCGGAGATGGAGTTTTGCCCTTGTTGCCCAGGCTGGAGTGCAGTGGCCGGTCTTGGCTCACTGCAACCTCCACCTCCAGGGTTCAAGCGAGTCTCCTGCCTCAGCCTCCCTAGTAGCTGGGATTACAGGCATGCACCACCATGCCCAGCTAATTTTGTGTTTTTAGTAGAGACAGGATTTTACCATGTTGGTCAGGCTAGTCTCAAACTCCTGATCTCAGATGATCTGCCTGCCATGGCCTCCCAAAGTGCTGGGATTACAGACGTGAGCCACTGTGCTGGCCTGTGATACCAATTTTAACATTAGCTGGATAAATTCTTCTTTGTAAGAGTCATTAGATCGTTAACCCAGTTCTCAGTTTTGCCTTGGTGGGTAGCTCTTCAGTTCCATTTGGCCTGAAGATCCCCCTTCCTCTGCACCTCCATGCTTTTCCTGACTAGTTGTGACCACCCAGATCCTCTTCCTCCAGCAGATTGAAGAAGTTGTTAGTGAGGAGTACATGGTCCTCCTTCCACTGGAGATACATTGGCTACCTCTATCATAACTGACTTCAGTTTAAAAAGTCAGTCCTTGCAACAACACAAAATAAAAAATGTTGAAGTCCCACCTCTATGGAGTCCCCATAAGCAGCTGTGCGTGCAACTCTACCCAAAACAGATAATATGCACAGATGTGTTTATGGGAAGGAGGCACAAGGACTTTCAGTGTGTTGTTTTCAGTTTCTCACCACTACAAGGGTTTCTTTTCTTTTTCAAGGAGGTACATTGTGGTAAGCATGTTTTATGACCCATAATAAAAACCCTTGTAAAGACCATTTTTTGACCAAATGAAGCTAAGTGTTCTTTTCAGAGTCCTTGTTTGCTCCTCTCCCCCTCTCTGTATTGGAATGCACACAGTTCAGCATTAATGGATAACATAAGGAAATAATGTCACAAATTCTAGTTCTTATTTGTTAAGTTGAGAAAGCAACCAGAGTTAACTATGTAAGAAAGTTCATTTGTAATGTTTTTCCCGTTTTGGTAGTAGCTTCAGAATATATATGTTGATTAAGTAAAATGGTATATTTCATGCTTATAGTATCCGGTTATTATCCTATAAAAAGCACCTAAGGACAGTTTCGGGAAATCTCAATAGTCAGAGAGGCCTACAGAAAAATCTGTCCAGGTATAGGGAAAAAGCAACTTAAAACCATTTTAGCAAGTTGGGTCATTTACAAAATGAAACATGTAATACATTCAATGAATAATAACAGATAATTTCTAAGGACCTAGACTTTCAAAATTAAGAACAGACCACATAACATTTGATTTAATTAAAACAACAGATATTTTAAGGATTATATTATAAGTTGTGTTTGTTGATCTTAATAGAGTGTTAGGGAAGATAGAAGGCTATCCACATACTAACTGGGGAAAATTCAGTGGATCTGAACTTATAGTATTATCACAGCCTCATCTTCATTTAGTGGCACCAGTGCTGAACCCATTACCCAAACTGGGAGGTTTACACATTGTTTACCCAAACTGGGAGGTTTACACATTATTTTTAGTTCTTGTAGCCACCCTACAAGAAAGTGTTGTCCCCATTTTACAGATGAAGAAACGAAGGTTAGATGCTAGCGGAGGGAAGATTAAATAACAGGCCCAAGATCACACAGTGTGCAACCTGGAAATGTAGCGGAGCTCTCCAAAGATGGGCCATTAAAATTGAACTGTGAGAACAAATATTAATATATCACATTTGTCTCTTGAATTGCTTTTCCCCTTGCTTTTTGTTTCAATATTCTAATTTAGACCTTCTCTATCATATGTTCAGAATAGTATCATAGCCTCCTTACACCACCTCCCATCCATTATGTATGCTAAAATGTCAATAATAACATGCCATGGTTTTACACATTTTTACTACTTACCCACTGAATATAAGATAAAACACTATAGACTCCCTGTGTCCACCAGCAATAAATCCCTTTGCAGTGTGGTCCCATTTAGCAGTGTGCCCTCTTTAGGACCCTGCCTGCTGGAGCTATAGCTGGTGTACAAACACGTAAGCACTTCCTCCTCCTCTATTAGTGTCCTCCATGACAGATGCTTCCCCACACCAAAACTAATACCAGCCTTCCTCCCAGATTGGCTTAGATGCTGCTCCCTCCTTGGTGCTTACTCAGTGCCTAGCGCTCTTGTGCCATTTGTGGTCCTTGGCACATACTGACATGAAGTATGTAGGTACATATTCTTTTCTCCCTGCTAGAGTAAGAGCTCCTTGGGACACTCTATTCAGGTGCTTCCGTGTAGCATCACCTGACACAATGCCTTACACATAGTAGGGACTTCATAGTTCTTTTGAATAAGTGGTAGCAATTTATTATGTGTATGAACTTTACAATAAATAAAGTGCTTAAGCATAATATCCTATGTCATATATATAACCATAATACACATAATCATATATAAATATATATTACATAATCTATAATATATCTTGTTTAAATCTTTTTGTGGGGTCATTTTCTCAAAAATAGATGTGAAAAGCAAGGCCCACGAAAGTTGCAAGTGACTTGTCTTAGATTATCTAACTTGCAAGTACAAATTTGGATCCAAAGCTTTTAGCTCAAAACCCAGTGCTCTTTCTTTTAAATCATACTGCCTTCAAAAATGGAAATTTACATCTCATGTCTAAGTGACTCACTTAGGTTTATACGTACCCAAAAGAAACTTTTTTAATACTTTTATGCCTCCACTTGGCAAGCAGTCAGTAAATTCTTAGTGAATAACCAATAAGCCACAATGCAGGATTATGGCTTTTTTGCTAAAGAAAGACTCAGGAATCAGTTTAATCGGTGAGAATGTTCTATAACTCCTGTACACAAAACCAAGAGCAAAGGTCACTATAATTCATCTTAATGCATATCTATAGACTATTGGGTGATTCATCCAATCAAGTAAAACCAAAAGATTTCTATGTATAACGTGCCTTGTTCGATTCTTGGAGAATATAAAGATGCATTGCATTCCTGTTCCTCAAGGAATTTGCAATCTAGCTGGATAGCGCTTGGCAGTTTAAAAAACAAATCAAATCTATAATATAAAATAATCAAATGTCTAGGTTCTCTCCACAGTTCTATGACAGAGGCAGGGCAGGATTTATTCTGGTTTTTATAAGTGAAAACCTGAGGCTCCAAAAAATTGGGACTTCATAGACACTGGGGACTACTAGAGGAGCGGGGAAGAGCTGAAAAACTACCTATTGGATACTGTGCTCACTACCTGGGTGATGGAATCATTTACACCCTTAGACATACAAAGGTATGAAATATACCTTTATAACAAACCTGCACATATACCCCCGATTCTAAAATAAAAGTTGACAAAAGTAAAAAATGAAATAAAAAATCTGTACTATTACAAAAATGATAAGAAGGAAGGTGGAACTTGCTTAATCAACTGACTAGTGGCTGAGTTGAACGGAACTTAGTAACACTGGAGTAAGAGACTGTACTTTGAGAAACTCTGATATGATCATATGAAATTAAAGTAGTATTAGGGGATTTGGCCAATAGTCCAATTCTGCATCCAAGTGAAGACTCAGGCAAAGTGATTTGATCTGTGGAATACTTCTCTTAGAGATGGGAGAGGATAAGGTACTTAAGCTAGTCCTACCCCAAGCTGTGGAACAATGTGCTGAAATCCATGTCTCTTGACCCCTGGGCAAGTTGCTTCTGAAAGAGATGGTAAGATAGGAAGCATCCTTCATTGTTTTTGTTCAGTGTGTCAGTGTTCATTATAGTCATGGGAGTTTTATATTTCTAAAATAATGAGCCCAAAGTCTCAACACATATGAACATGTTTTAATGGCTAAAAGGTACGAATACTGATTTATATGCCATGCCTCTTTTGTCCCTATCCCGTAATCCAAACCTGCTCTTTCTGATTCCCCTGGAGTTTTATCGCATTCCTCCTAAAAGGAGTCAGTGAGTTCTTTTTAAGCTAATGGCCTTCATAGATTTCATGGTCATTTTTAGTTTTGTTTGGGCCCTCACTTCTTTATGAAAACTCATTGAGCATTTATTGACACCCATTAGTACAATGTGGTGGGAGGCCAATAAATCTAGAGGAAGAGCAATTTAAGCAGGACCCTGCCAGGAGTTGGGGCCATGGGGCAGTAAATGAGTAAAGATGGCAGAAATCCACAGAGTACCAGGAGGCAGGGCCAGAGAGCTAGGTGGGCTTTGGCTGAGGGGGCTGAAGCAGGAGAATTATCTGATAGGATCAGGTTTACACTTTTAAGGGTTCAGTCTAGACAGAGAGTACAAGATGGATTTGAGGACTGAGATCAGTGGGGAAAGGCTAGGTAATGGTATATGTGAGGAAGGAGAAGGCGGACCAGACCCGCTATAGTGGGAGCCTCAGAGGTGTAGGAATTGTATTTAAAAAGACACGACTTTACTGAGGAGCCCAGAACAAGACTTGAGTAAATGAAGAAAAGGAAAGACTCAATATTGTAAAGGTATCTGTTATCCCCAAATCAATTTATCAATTTTTAAAAATCATTGAAAATACTAAAAGGATTTTTGGAAGGTGTGGGCACTCAATAAAATGATTCTGAAGTCAGTTCATAATCATAACATATAAGAATATCCAAGAATGCCAGACACGATGGTGCACACCTGTAGTCCCAGCTACTTGGCAGGCTGAGGTGGGAAAATAACTTGAGGCCAGGAATTTGAGGCCAACCTGGGTAACATAGACCAGCCTCTAAAAATAAATAAATACATATTTTTATTTTCAAAAAATATTCAGGAATGTTTTATAAAGAGTGGAAAGAGAAAACTTTCCCTGCAGATGTTAAAATTTACTCTAAATATTTAATAATTAAAGGAGAGAGGTACTCTAAACAGAGCCAGAAACAAAGAGCAAAAGTCCAGAAAATAACTTCAAGTAATTTAGAACATGAGAAATAGTGGCATTTAAAATTGGTGGGTAATTTAATGACTGCTTAAACCCTTTTGCTAATCATAGAATATAAATAAAAATAGAAAAATATAGAACCATTAAAAATTAAGCTGTAGATCTACATTGCCAATAGATCTACATGCAAATGAGTTCAGTATACAGCATGATGTGAAAAAGACAGTTACAAAATTGTATGCATTCGCATTCCATTTAGAAAACAGAGACTAACCATCTGCATGAGTATTATGTAGATGGCAAAAATGGGATGAGGTTAAAGAAGTCAAAGTTCTGAAGCTAATATTAGCTGGGCATCCTAGTGATGTTGGAGTCCTGCAGGAAGACGTTGAGTGTGGGGTAAACAGGATGAGCCATGGTTCCTGGGGAATATAGAGAGTTGACAGTAAATGATAGTGATGGCAAAGGCGATATTATAAACATTAATGGAAGGAGGTACACACCTCAAAGAGAAAAGGATAACCACCTGAAAGGGATGATTGCCAACAGGAAAAGAATGTTGGTACAGGCCCCATTGGGTCTGTACCTCACCCTGGGGTGAATCATGGTGGCTATAAATGAAAGATAATGTTCATAACATATTTAAGTTAATATAATTTTAATTAAGTTAGATTTGTTAGAATAATTTTCAGCTGCAAATTACAGAACACTCAATGAAAAGTGGATCCAGATAAGGGCATTATTATATACATAACTACAAGGCTGGAGGCAGACAGCCCTAAAGTTGATGCAGCTATTCATTGATGTCATCAAAGACCCAGACTCTTTCCCTGTTTACACTCTGGCCTTTTATGTGTACAGATGATGTTTCAAGATGGTTGCTACAGCTCGGTAGCATTCAGTATAAGACGTGGGTGAGGAATGGGAGATGAGGAAGTACAGCAGAGAGCATTCTACTGTGCACCTCTTATCAAGGAGGAAAATGCTTCCTGAAACTCTCTAGCCAATTTGCCCATACAGGACTGGGTGTCATGTTCATCCCTGGATCAATTCCTAGCAAAAGGAAATGTGATTGCCTTCATTGGCCTGGACCAGGTCTTCATGGCTGACAACCAGCAGTATCTTCTATATCACACAAATAATTATCTGTTCTACTCTTGTGGAAAACCAGCTCCTCTAAGCATTACCTCATTTGAAGAGGAAGGAAGTACAGAGTGAGGGGAAAATTCTCAAAAGAGGGAATTGAGAGGAAGAATGTGGAAAGATAAGAAAGTATTTTGTCCAATTGCAGCCATTAGAAAGCTTATTAAAATTTCTTCTTCTGTTTTTGAGAGCTGTCGCCCAGGCTGGGGTGCAGTGGTGCAATCACGGCTCACTGCAGCCTCAACCTCCCAGGCTCAAGTGATCTTCCCACCTAGGCCTCCCGAGTAGCTGGGTCCACAGGCATGAGCCACCATGCCCAACTAATTTTTTGTTTTTTGTAGAGACAGGGTCTCCCTGTGTTGTCCAGGCTGGTCTCAAACTCCTGGTCTCAAGTGATCCTCCCACCTCAGCCACCCAAAGTGCTAGGATTACAGGTGTGGGCCACCACACCTGGCCTAAAATTTCATTATAGAAAAGTGTGTGTTGAAATGGGGAAATATTCACAGCACATTGTAAAATGTTTTTAAAAGCCTCACAAAACAATGTGTATAGAATGATAGCCACTTGGGTCATTACCCAACAACCTAGGAACTTGGGCTTCATGTTTTCTTACTTCTTTACCCAGTGCTGATTTTTATCTCCTGCTCTGAAGAAATTATGTTTAGCATTGCATATTTGCAGTTTCAGTTCCTGATGATTTTCCACAGTGGGTTAAAAATAGCCATTATGATGAGGTAATGATTTATTCTTTCATGTTGTTCATTTAAGTCATTACATTGTTCCTCAAACACCAACATTTTCAGGCTTGGTGGAAATGACTTATTATCTTTTTTTTTTTTATTTCCAGTTAGTTGAGACTGATTCTTTACCTTCTCAGCATTATCATCACTTCCAGGAATGAATAAAAAGTGGGTTCTGTTCTCATTTCAGAATACATATTTGATTATTAAAATTTACATGCAATGCCACTTTATTACACTTTTATCCAGTTGCCTAGAAGCAGTAAAAATTAGAAGCCAGTGTTTCCATTTAGGGCCCATGCCTTTGTTTCTCCTGAGGGGCCTCGAGGTGATGTGTGCCTGACTCATCATGCACAGTGGCAAAGAGACGGGTACTATGGCATTGCTGGACTATGCTTTGCTGTGGAACAAAGCTCATGTGTGACTCTTTTAGCTTGCCAGTTAATGGCTTGCTTTGAATTCACCCATTACAACTTTCCAGGTGATATGGAAGTTTTAAGGAATCCTCTTGAACCCTCCTCTTGGTTTCTCAGAATTTGTTTGTCTTGTTCTTTGTGATTTTGGATGAAGCATTCTTTGGGTCCTCCTGAGGACCACAGTGAGAAGTAGGGGAGACCTGTTTATAAACAGCCTTTGAAGCTCATTGTTCATTGCTCATTGCAAATTGATCAATGAAAGCACACGGGAACCCTGTCAGGTTTTGAAATAGAGTAGAAGCTGTATACATACAGCAAGCTTGATGTGGGGACCTGCAGTGTAGATTCTCCCAGAATGCAGACAAAAGTGGGTGGAATCTCCAAGGAGTGAATCAAGCCACTTGGCTAACGCTTTAGGACCTTAACACGATGCTGTTAGTCACTATTTCATTGCTTAGGTAGCAACAATATACCACATTTTATGGGAGAACCATGGTTTTAAAACATTCTGGGAATAGATCCAGCAATTCCACTTCTGAGTATATATCCAAAAAAATTGAAAGCAGAGTCACAAAGAGATCATTCTACACCTGTGTTCATAGCAGCAATATTCACAGCAGCCAAAAAGTGGAAACTACTGAGGTGCCCATCTATGGATCACCAGATAAACAAAATGTCATATATACATACAATGGAATATTATTTAACCTTAAAGAGGAAGGAAATTATGATACACACCACAACATGAATGAACCTTAAAGGAACTATGTTAACTGAGGCGAGCCACTCACAAAAAGACAAATCCAGTGTGATTCCACATGTATGAGGTATGTAGAGTTGTCAGATTCATAGAAACAGAAAATAGAATGGTGGCTGTCAAGGACTGAGGGGAGGGGTACATGGGGAGACATGCGAGAGAAGTTATATGCAGGCTCAGGTGACCTTTCCCTCTGTTGCTATAATCGTAACCCTCACCTTAATTCAACATGTTCTTATTGGTTTAGTGTTAAAAAACCTTTGTTATATGTGATACATTTTAGTCTGTGGCCTCCTCTAACACACTTCATAGGAAACAGACAAACCACTATGGAGAGAGTTCTGTGAAAACTTGAATAACAAATTTGAAAAGACTGAGGTTTACAGAGTATAAGGAGAAAAATAGATTATCTTTGCCTACAAGTTGGATATGTCCTGTTTTTAATTTTTAAATAAACTGAGGATTATACATTTTTGGTGCTAAAACTTTGAGGATGTGAATATATCACAAGATATATCCCTATATCCAGAATTGTCTATTTAAAGTTGTCATTCTGTGACTTATGATATGACTTGGGTGTTTTTAGTGTCTTTTGGAAATAATCATACTTTCTTGTAATGAGAAAATAAGGCCCAGGCCAGGTGCAGTGGCTCACACCTGTAATTGCAGCACTTTGGGAGGCCAAGGCGGAAGGATTCATGGCTCGAGGCCAGGAATTCAAGACCAGCCTGGGCAACATAGCAAGACCCTGTCTCTACAAAAAGTTTAAAAAGTAGCCAGGCATGGTAACACACACCTGTAGTCCCAGCTACTCAGGAGTATTGTTTGAACCTAGGAATTAGAGGTTGCAGTGAGCTATGATATGATGGCACCACTGCACTCCAGCCTGGGTGGCAGAGCAAGACCCTGCCTCTAAAAAGAAAAGAAAAAGAAAAGAAGGCCCCATGATCAACCTTTTCCCATTAGAAAAGCCTGAAGTCGTTTTTTAGTTTGCTTGTTTGTCTTGATTTTAAATAAGAGGATTAGAGCTCTGGAACACCTAAGAGAAACAATTACAAGACTTCAAGGATTTCTTGTATTCAGAAAGGTCCAGAGTCTTTTTAGGGGCATTGCCAAGATAAAGCCCCACCTAAGATCTCTCGGAGCCAGACTTCATTCCACAATGGTGTCCTGTTGAAACATGCTTGCGAGTCGCATGTTTTAAAAAGATAGAGTGAGGGTCCCAAGTGACTGTTTATCATAAGTATGACTAAATGTTCAAACTTTTTATACCAGACTGTGCCGTATAACATAAAAAGGGAAACTTTTAAACCTGCGTTTAACTGAAAGAGCCTTAATTGGTGGTATCTGTAGTTTCATTGCATTGCATCACTAGGGTTACTGTGAAATATTTGAGTCATATATGGTACAGAATAATTTAGATTAAAATCTTGAGCTAATTTAAGAGTATGCCTCACGATACTATAAACTGAGATAGAACAGATCATAAGCTTACGTAGAGAGTCCTTTGAAATGTCTTTGATGAAAACACTTCTTGTGATTCTGTAGGAAAGGTGTTTTTTTCTTACCTCATTTAATGTTGTAATTTATTTATTTATATAATCCTCTGGAATTGGGACTATATCTTATGATTATTTGGGACCAGAGTTCCTGACGTAGCTGAATGTACTTCACCTTTGAAATTAGGTATTGCAATAAAGGTTGGCTAAAGACTGAGAGGGGTTCCCCAGTCATGCTTATTACAGGTTCACAATGCCCAACAACCTAACTCGTGGTTGAATTACTGAAGGTCATGAGATGTTGGGCAAGATTTTGTTTTTTAAGTCGTTAACTCAGTGTTCATTGGTTCAGAATTCCAATTGTGTCTAGATATTGGAGATTTAAAAGAAAAGCCATTTGCTAAACAAAAAAAAAATTTAAGTAGCCTAATAAAATCTAAAGAATGGTCATTCTTATGTAGAACCAACTTACATCTATAGGCATCATACACATGGAATCAACGTTAGTGCAGTCATGTGGATTCATACTGCCTAACCCATGCTTTGGTATGATATTAACAAGCCCTTTTAATCTACTCTACCTTTAAACAAACAAGAACTAGACCTGTAGTATAAGTGCCAAAGTAACACAACTAAAACTGAATAATAATAATTATGGCATGTCCCAGGGTGAAAAACCATGCAGCCATTAAAAATCTCATTGTATAAAAAAAGTCATATTGCAGAATTTTATTAGTGGCAAAATGTTGATAATGAATTGTTACATGTTTTTAAAAGAGCTACAAAATAATGTGTACAGAATAATAACCACTTTTACTTAAATATACTTATACATCCAAATATAATAAAATACGTAATTTTTAAAAGACAGACTAAAAAGACACAAAAAAAGTTATATTAACAGTGAAGTTTTCTCTGTTCTCCAAGTAGTGGAATTTTTTAGTGATTTTTCTTCTTCTCTGGATTCTTAAAACATTTTATTAGTTTCTGCATTAAGCATGCATCTATACATCTTAGCAATTTTATAATTAAGAAAAACATAGTGTGTGTTATAACACAAATAAAAACGATGTGCATGTTTTTAAATTTGTATACTGCTAATTGGCTGCTAAAGTTGTTTGAACACTGCAGCATGAACCAAACAGATTTATTCTTTATACTGTTTTAAATGAGTGACACTTAACTGTATAGAGGCTAAAGATGATGAGCCAACAGGACATTACTTTAGGTTAGTCATGCTTTTTAAAATTCAGTGCTTACAAGTTGTGTGCATGTGTTTCCAATAAAGACTTATTTGCCAAAATGTTCCTTGAACATTTTGTGCTACATTTTCACACTCCTGTTTATTCATTACAACTTATTGGACCTGCAGTGCTTCTCAAGTCTTGAAGGGCTTTTCCTCCCCAATGCAGTCTTCTCCAGGGTTTTGGGAAGCTTAGAAGGTCACCCCTGCCAGTTCAGAATATTCACTCAGGGGGATCTCAGAAATGATTCTAGATCACTGCATACCCCCTCTAAGTGCTTTGTTCACACCGACCTTGTAGCAGTGGTCATGTTTTCTTTTAGTTGTTTGTGAATCAGTCTCCCCCAGAAATCAGGACACTTATCTTGGCAATAATCATCCTAATAATTACTGTTTGTCAAGTGCTTACCATATGCCAGAAACTGTACAAGCACTTGGCATACATTACTTCATTTAGCCCCCTTAATAGTAGGAAAAGTAATCGCTACTTTCTCCACTTTATAAAAGGAAAAACTAAGGCTTTGGTTTTGAACAAGCTAAAATATAAAGACAGAACTCCGAACTCTAAAGGAAGAACCAAAACCATAAACCAGTAACCAAATATACTGTTCTCGATGAGAGGATTCAGTGGTCCGGCCAATGATAAGTGTATCCTCACAGCCCCTTCCAGCTCTGAAATCCATGGTGGTACCCAGTCATTTTTCTAACCCTTGTATTAACAAAACAGCTCCATCCTCCCTTGTATACACCATTCTTATAATATTTGGGTCAGGGGAGTAGGTCACTCTTAATTTCCACACATTTCAGAGGATTATGACATCATGGCCAATGTCTTAGTTCCTACCTTCAGACACTGTCCCTGAGTATTAAATCTTGTGTATATTTGTATTGGTCCTAAAATTAGAAAAAGATCTGATATTGGTTTATATCCTGAATGATCCGCTCCTCCATACTGGTTAATAATAACAGTAATAAGCGCTGCCATTTACTGAATATTAACTATGGTGCTAAGTGCTTTACAATGATCCTATGATAAAGTGGGCTTTGTTACTGTCCCATTTTACAGACAGGGAAACTAAGCCTTAGAGAGGTTAAATGGCTTGCCTTATTTTACGTATTCATTTGTTCATTGATTTGATAAAGGAATACATTGGAGATTTGAATCGAGGTTTTCCAGACCCTAGTTTAAATCAAGACTCTGTTAATATTCTAAAACAGTTGATTAAGACTGGGCATGGTGGCTCACACCTGTAATCCCAGCACTTTGGGAGGCTGAGGCAGGAGAATAGCTTGAGCCCAAGAGTTTGAGACCAGCCTGGGCAACATAGTGAGATCGCATCTCTGCAAAAACTAAAAACATTAGCCTAGCATGGTGGCATGCACCTGTGGTCCCAGCTACTTGGGAGGCTGAGGCAGGAGGATCTCTTGAGCCAAGGAAGTCAAGTCTGCAGGGAGCCGTGATCACAGCACTGCACTCCAGCCTGGGCAACAGAGCAAGATCCTGTTTAAAAAAAAACAAACAGTTAATCAGCACTCTCTTGCTAGTATGACTTTGGGCTAATTAGTAGCCTACATCTGTGTATCAGTTTCTTGACCTGTAAAATGGTGTAATGATATTATTTACCTAAATGTTGTGGTGTGGATTAAATTATTTACTAAGTGGACAATGCTTAGAATAGTGCTTGATATATAGTGAGTGTTTAGTACTAGGTGCTATAAAATAATAATCACCATTAATAACAATATTATTATTCACTGGATTTTAATTGTTGAAATGGCACATTAAACAATAGAGAAGCAAAAAGTGTCCCCTCACGACCTCCTCCTTCCTCTCCCCAGCATGAGCCACTGAAACCAGTTTGGCAGATATCCTTCCAGAATGTTTCCTATTCCATCAAAAACTATTTTAAAATTGTCCTTTCATTAATAAAATACAGGTTGAGAGTGAAATTTTTTGCAGTGTTCTTGAAAGTGTGGGAGTGGAAAGGCAGGAAGGGAGACAATTCACTCATTCAGCCAATACCTGTCAAATGCCTGCCGCATGCCAAGCAGCCACAAAATGCTAAGGATTCGGCGTCCAGCATAGCAAATGCTCAACTTCCGTTTTGAGTGTTTACTGATTTTCTTTTTTTAATTTTATTAGGATATGATGTTTCAGCTTCTCCGAGGTCTGGACTTTCTTCATTCACACCGAGTAGTGCATCGCGATCTAAAACCACAGAACATTCTGGTGACCAGCAGCGGACAAATAAAACTCGCTGACTTCGGCCTTGCCCGCATCTATAGTTTCCAGATGGCTCTAACCTCAGTGGTGAGTGAGAGAGTGCTGTCCTTTTATTAAACTTATTTTTCCTATTTTGAATGACAGTCTGTCCCTCTTCCATGTCTCTAATGTTAGTACTGCCCATGACTAGTTGGTGGATAGAATGTCTTTGCCCATTTTTATATGGCAGTGGGTAGGCAGAAAGCATTCTGCTTACAGCTACAGTCACATCCAGCCTGGGCTTGTTGTGGACAGGATCCATTGCAGAAATAGCCTGTTGCATCTTAGCCACTGGACAGGAATCAGTTACAAGTTTCCAAATGCTTTCTGCCATAACCACTGTTTTCAGAGCTGTATGTACAATGCCTAGGGAACACACAGCTCAAGGTCAGGGAAGAAAGAGCACGAGCAACGTTGACCTGTCTGCAGCATCATGGTTTTGAGAAACAGAGTGCCTACACAGGTTTGTTAATGCACTCATCTGAAGCTATGGTGCCAGCTGTAAAGAAGAAATCAAATTCACAGTGAACTTGGATGATGCATGAACGTAGAGCACCGCCATGCCAGGTGAAGGCTCATATAACCCTGAATAGAAAGAGCGAACCCAACGGCCCTGTTTTGGCAAAAAATAACAGTTATGATACCCTGTTTCTTTTTGCCATTCAGCTGCAAAACCATAATAGCTATTGACATTGGTTAGCTTCTATTTCTCCATATAGTTCATTATTTCTCAGATGGATTTTTGTGAAATTCTGCACCCCAAATACAAAAAGAGCAGCCTGGAAATAGGTATTAATACCCTTCTCTTTGAAAGACCTGTTTTGCATACAGTAAATTCATGCCTTACGTACAGTAAATTAAATAAATAATATATAGCAAATTAAGTCTTAAGAAAAAGAATTTTAAAAAAGAAAATATCTTTGTATATTCAAAGAAATAAAAAAAAATAATCCGTATTGTCCATCTTTAGCCTCAAAGTGGTTCTCACATCAGGGACAGCATGGCCCTGTTGTTAAGTAATGATTGGCAACATCTTTGGTCATTCTGCACAGCAAAAAATTGTTTCCCTAAATTTCAGTAATACTACAGCTGATAAGTAGAAATTCAAGAGAGGAGTTAGAAATTCTCTGAGACAGATAACTTGCCTTAGGAAAAAATCCAATTTATAAAAGTGTTCCCCACCCCCTGCCCCCAGTCAAAATAGGGGTGCTACCACCTAGACACGTAAGACCAGTTACTTTCCAAACATTATAGACTTTTCCTAGGGCATCAGAACTTTTGATGCAGAGGATTCCTTGGAAAATGTTGCCATTGTTAGAAGATAAATCCTACTCATTTCCTCTTTGCCCAGCATACACCATTGCTTTAGAGGAGAAATGGCACGAGTTGATGTTTAAAAGATAGGCCTCAGCTTTGAGCACGGTCAAGCAAGCCCTTGTATTCTTATGTAATCACACCAGAAAGGGCTGAGTCTGTGTATTTCCCCAGTGGGAAGGGTGAGGTAGGCTTTGAGTTTCCCTAGGAAGTTGTTGCGCATGTTGTTTTGGGGCCCTGGGGAGAAGCTTGAATAGGCTTTGTGATCCAGAGAGTCATCAGGGGAGTAGATGGAAGGAACTTGTCTCCTTGGGTACGTTAATTGAAGGAAGGATAAGCTGTAACTGAGATGGACGCTTTTATTTTAATCCCCCCAAATGGGCACTAATAACCATAAATAAAAACAGGAAACCCAGTTGGTTTGTGTTTGATTTTTTTTTTTTTTTTTTGCTTATTAAATTTGAGCTTGTGCGTAACATCAATTAACATTCCATTCTTGCTGAAAGTTGATATGTTCAAACAGGAAAATGTAGACAAATTATTTCATAGAGGAAAAGGAGAAAGGCAGTCATAAATACACAATTTTTCAGTATCTAGTTTATACTGCATGCTTTATATTTCCTATAGTGACATAAGTAAAACATGTTAGCAGCTGAGAAGGATTCTAAAACAAAAATCAGACTTTATTGGAAAGAGTGACGGTTGGAATTTAATGGTAATAATAAAGGGTATGTTCCTACAGGGTACTGCATTTTAAAATTTCCCCACTCTTTTGTATTTTTCTATTTAAAGGAAATACCCATTTAATATAGTAATGCGTCGATTTATATACACATGGTGACATAAAAACTTGGAATCATAGTTTTTTAGACTGAACTGGTATGTATTTTTAGTGTCTCTTGAAGAGAAAAAGACTACACTCCTCTTCCTGGAAATACACATTTTTTAGTGGGTTATGTCATACAGGAACTGAGAATCAACTTAATTTGTGGAATGTTAAAGGAATTACAAGTTAACTGATTCAAAACTGACATCTTAAAACTATGAGAAATGCTAGTATTTTACTTACCTTGCAAAGCCTGACTCCAGAGGTACCCTTTCTAGTATCCCCTTCAGAAATTAATTTCTTTTTCCTCTCTGTTTCCAGAGTAATATTTTGGGT
This sequence comes from Homo sapiens, assembly GCF_000001405.40. NCBI lineage: Eukaryota > Metazoa > Chordata > Mammalia > Primates > Hominidae > Homo > Homo sapiens. The sequence goes on along the minus strand of NC_000007.14, from coordinate 92,723,197 downwards.
TTTTTTGTTTGTTTTTGTTTTTGAGACAGAGTTTCACTCTGTTGCCCAGGCTGGAGGGCAGTGGCCCTATCTCAGCTCACTGCAACCTCTGCCCTCCGAGTTCAAGCGATTCTCGTGTCTCAGCCTCCCAAGTAGCTGGGATTACAGGCCACCCCAGGCTAATTTTTGTATTTTTAGTAGAGGCAGGGTTTTGCCATGTTGGCCAGGCTGGTTTTGAACTCCTGACCTCAAGTAATCCGTCCTCCTCAGCCTCCCAAAGTGCTGGGATTACAGGCATAAGCCACTGTGCCCAGCCTATAATACTGTTTTCTGTCTTGTTTTTAGTTATTTGGGAATTTTATTTATCAGGCCATAAGTTCCTCGAAGGCAGATGCTCATCTTATTCAGCCCTAACACACAGTGCCTTGTTTATTTTGATAGGCACTCAGGAAATATTTTTCAGTGAATAAATTGACAAATGCTGACTTGCAGATATAAGCAGTTGAGTCATAACAGGAATAGAGAAGGAGCTATGTTATACATTTAATGGTCTCATTTGATGTGTGTCAATATTCCTCATAGCTACCTGGTAATATTAAGCTGAAGGACTTACTCCATATACCTTAAAATGGCTGAGTCCATTTTGCACCCTAGTCCTGATTGATTTATTGGCAGCACATATCTGTGTTCAAAATCATGAAAGCTATTAATACATGCTGTAGCTCAATCTCAAGTTAGGAGTGAAAAGTTGACGCAAACCCAAGTTCACAGTCTGTGTATTGTTTTTATCATAATCCTTTCTACTGCCTCAGGAACAAATTACATATATGAATTGAACTTCCTGTCCTGAACAGAAAGCTGTAGAGATAGAGGAATGTAGCATTATTGTAATTTTACTTATTTGAAGACTTTCTTTAGCCCCTTGTGTTTTGTTATTAAAGCAAGTTTTAGAAGAGGAGTCATATTCTTCTAAGATAATTAACATCCTCTAAATGAAAGAATGGGTGAATTACTAGACAACTTTTACTATCTATGTTAATATATATATATTTACATAATAAATGATATTTCTATTTGAACAATTATAAAAGCTTGTATTATTAGCTTCTTTCTGAAAACTTCAAAATGTTCTTACATATAGAACTTTGAGGGAGCAGTTAACAGTATTTATTTTCATTTTAAGTTCATGATCACCTGACAGATCCTGAAGTACTACTTCTCCTTAATTTCTGAGCCAGTATGCTCTATGCCAGTATTCAAGACAAGGCATCTTTTGGATTAATTGAGAAATTAGTTGTTCTAGACAGGTAAGCTTTCCAGGCATCTTAAGGTATAACCCTTTATATTATGATCTTTATTATTTTATTTTTCTAGTGAAAACAAGTTTCTTGTTAAGAAACACGAGTTTCATAAGTAGAATATACTTCATATGTTGGCCTTTGGTAGAAATTAATTTAGGACAGTAGCCTGGACCATAGTTGTAGCTGTAGGTGGTATGCAACATCGGGCTGAATGACTTATCTTGTCCTCATCTGATAAATTGAGGACTAATCAAAGAGTTAAATGTCTTTTGCCTAACTTTGCCAGGCTGCCTCCAACATGACATTCTGGTGTCTTTATGGGGTATTGGGTTCTTGCTGCTCAATATAGTGTCTTGTATGCACATGTACCCATACAGAGTATTATACCTTTTTCTTTAAAGGTTGTAGAATTAAGATGTGGATGGTAACAGTGTTTGCCTTGGTCCTAGGCAAGAGGGGCCCCTGACCTGGATCTCATGCTTTAGAGAAGCCTACACTGGCCCTACTCCAGCCTTGTCTCCCTTCATGGAGCACACAACCCAGGGTGCCAAGGAAGCATGTCTCTTGAGACCTCCACCCCTGCCCCATACCGCACACAGGACATTGCAATTCCCTGACTAAATGGGAAGGGCATGGGCTCATCCTTCCTCCTAATAGGGATTTTGCCACTTGTGTGTTCACTCCTAAGCCTAGGGGCAGCTGTTTGCAGCATATGGGCAGAGCTTGGACTTGCAGACTGGAGTGTCCGTAAGCATGTGTATGAGGCCCCTTGTGGTTCAAAGAAGGAGTTGGAAATGTGAAGAGAAGTGGGGCCTGTTATATTTAACACCTGGCATGGGTTATTTTTATCAGAAAAGTTTCTCTGAAACCATGAAAAATTAACTTCTCTGACCTCTATTGAACTATTACATTTGTTCTCATTGGAAAACCAATGAGAACAGGTTACAGGGAAGTTCTTTCCATTGTACATAGCTGATAGGTAAAAATCATGACATGTGAAGTTATATAATGTCTCTGGCAAAAGTGTTTCAAGAATATACACCTGTTCGGTACAATGACTGTTGTGACTAGCTGAAACTATATTTAGAGTCACTCTGAAGTCAACATTTCTAAGTCCTTCTCATGTGAAATGTAGTGCATGGTGCAACTTATTTTTGTGAAGATAAGGGAAAAAGAGACCAGCCACTCAGCCAGCAATTTCAGTCCTACCTCACTGTGCACCCGGGTCTGACATGTCTTAGAGCAGAGCCAGGAACATCATCAGCAGCCCTGGTGAGGGCTCTGACAGTCATGAAGCACTGTGACCAGCAAGCTCAGGAAGGGAGCAGTCTTGTCTTCCCATTTATGATGCAAAATCTTTAATTTTTTTTCTAAACCTAATCATACAGCTTGGAGGGTGATATTGTTGCCATTGGATTTGGTGCTCTTGGAACTCTTTATCAACCATTTCATTTTGAAAAGTGGGGAAACTGCCATTCAAACAGGCAGTGTGACCAGCTTAAGTCTGAATTTACCAAATAGATTGTAAATGGCTTGGAGAATTCTAATGTTTATATTCTGGCTCTGGCCCACTATCCCCACTCCTCTTTTCTCCATACCAAAAATTCAGTACCCAAGAGGGTATCAAACTGTGTTCTGTGGAACTCTCAGATTCTACAAAGGGTATTTAGAGGTTCCACAAATGTTTAGGAGTCCATTTTTAAAGAATATTTTTTAAGTCTTGTTAAAATAATAAAACCAAAAACAGACAACTAGCTCATGCCACATTTTGACACAGTGAGGAACACTGGGTCATGAACTGGTGCCTCCTGGTTTTCTTTTTTTATGTAGACCTCAATAAAACTTTTGCCACATTGTGCACCTGAATGTCTTATAAAAGTATCATTGCTTAGGAAAAATGAAGCATTCTCTTGATTCAGTCCTATCTGTGTCCTCTCCCTTAAAATCACCCAAGTCCATAATTGCAACAGCACATTCATTGTGCTGCTCTCAGTGTACATGGGAATACTGTAAGGACCACCCAAGGCAATGCCAGTATTGATGTTTTTATACCACAGGTGATTGCCAACACCCAGGCAGTTAGAGCCAGCCACTCCCCAGGACAGCCATCATAAAGCCATCCGTGGGTAGAGAGAAGTGTACCCTAAAATGAGGTCATTCTTTTTGGTACCTCAGTATCTTTGTATTTTTGGGGCCTTTATACAATCATTTAATGCTATTCATGAAGTTAGCATTTTTCCTTCAAATGCCTGTGCCAAACACACCTGTATAGTTTAGAGAAACATTCCTCTTTGTACCATAATGGAAGAGTGGGAGTATGTTCCCATCTTTTTAGTGACTTAATAAAATTCTCACTAAGTGAATTATATTCTCTTTCTCCAAGAATCTTTTTTTCCATATTACCTTCACTAATAAAAGATATACATGTTCTGAAAACACCCTTTATTCCATAGAAATTACAAAAAGACAACAAGTAAATGTTAAACATGAGAAGACTTTTATTCGACAGCTGTACAAAGTACAAAACTTAATTTTGGAAATTTTTTTTTAAATCTGTAACTGATAAGATTCCCAATATTGCTTTATTTGAGATCATTAACTTATTTAATACCAGAAGTATTACAAAAATTGCCAGGGAAAGCATCAGGAAGAATAGCTAATGAATACTGGACTTGATACCCAGGTGATGGGATGGTCTGTGTAGCTGACCACCATGGCACACGTTTACCTATGTAACAAACCTGTACATCCTGCACATGTACCCTGGAACTTAAAGTTGAAGAAAAAAAAATTACTTACATCCCCTTCCTGTGCCTCTGATGATATTCCTTCCTTACTCTGACCTCAGTGTTGATAGCATTTAGTAACACTAACGGAACCTCGTGGATTCAGAAACTTTGATAAGCCTAGGGGAGAAAATCAATGAAATGGAGTTGTGGCTTTCAGTCAACAAATAATTACTGATCACTTTCTATGTGCAGACGCTGTCAGTGAAGCTGAGGGATGATGGTGAATGGAAATGGACAAGGTCAGAGAGCTTACAAGCGAGATGGAGAGATAGATCTGAATCAGATAGTCACACAAAGAAATGTCTAGTTAGAAACAGAGATAAATGCAATAAAGGAAAGGGATATGGTTTTATGAGGCCATATGATAAGGCTCAAGAACCTGCCTAGGCTAAGGGCCAGGGAAGCCCTCCCTCCTTACCCAGGTCAAAATGTGGGATGCTTAAAGAGGTCACCAGCATCCTCCTGTTGAACGCGCCTGGATGTGGGCCCTGTGAATGTGCGCGTCATGCAATTCGTGCTTGGGGTGTGTGTGTGTGTTTGGAATAACTCATTCCACGGCACCCAGTTGGCACCACCAAGTGACAAAGTGAAGCAGGACCAGAGATCGGAGAACAATGTCATCTTTTACAGGAGAAAATAAATTGTTTATGCTTGTTTCCTCTTCGTGCGTGTTGTATTTACTATGGAGACCTGGCAGGGTTTGTGCCTCGGCTTGGGCAGCCGAGTAGCTCCCACAGAAGCCTCCAAAAGCTGCCAGTGCATACTGAATAAATCAAACCAAGAACATTACATGAGTATAATGGAAAAAACCCAAAGCCCCGTCGCCTCGGCACCTCAGCGAAAGTGCAGGACACACCTCTGAAGCAGGAAGGGCTCCTGTGACTCCTTCCCCTCTCAACATCTTGCCATGACACAACCAGGTCTGTTTTGTTAAAACATCCAGTTGCCAGTACATATTTCATAGTTAACAATGGAGGGTTTGTGCCGGTTTCGTTTTCACTTTCACCAGTGAGGGAAGTGGAACACAATGGGGGCAGTGCACAGAGCTGGGAACAGGACACGTTTTCTTTAGGATTCCCAGGGCTGGGTACATGGAAAATGCCAGAGCCAAAACAAACATGAAAACCCATCCAGATTCTCCACTGCGCGTTCTCAGTGGTAATAAAACACATTTGAGTTACCATCTGATAGGTTAGCTCTGCCTCCACGGTGAAGGCAAATATCGATGACCACTGTGAGAATTTCTGCCATGTAGAAAGAGAATGTATTCCATACTGCACAGAAAGCTGCTGTTGGTGCATGTGCATGCATGTGGCTATCTAATTGCACCAAGTGGATTTGCGAAGTGAATCAAATGACTGATTCCCTTGTTTATAAAAGATAGTCATTCATTTGACTCACCTAATTCTAGCTCCTTCATAAGTGGTCACTGTTGCGAATTAGTTCTGGACAAAAACAGTTCAACTGTAATGCTACTGCCTGGAGGATGTTTTACTCGGAGAAAGAGCCAGAAGTTCCTTGCTTTTTTCCTACATTTGTTCAGCCAGCATCTATCAGGGTATGATACAGAGAATCTGGTTGTCTGTCTTTCTTTCTTTCTTTTTCTTTTCTTTCTTTCTTTTTCTTTTCTTTTCTTTCTTTTCTTTCTTTCTTTCTTTTTCTTTCTTTCTTCTTTCCTTTCCCTTCCTTTCTTCCTTCCCTCCCTCCCTCCCTTCCTTCCTTCCTTCCTTTTTCCTTTCCTTTCCCCTTCTCCTTCCCCTTTCCCTTTCCTTTCCCCTTTCCTTTCCTTGACCAGGTCTTGCTGTGTCGTCCAGGCTAGAGTGCAATGGCACAGTCATAGCTTAGTGCAGGCTCCAACTCCTGGGCTCAAGCCATCCTCCTGCCTCAGCCTCCCAAGTAGTAGGACTACAGGTTCACACCACCACGCCCAGCTACGTTCTTTTTTTTTTTAAGAGATGGGGGTCTCATTATGTTGCCCAGGCTGATCTCAAATTCCTCAAGCAATCCTCTTGTCTCAGCCTCCCAAAGTGCTGAGATTACAGACATGAGCTACCATGCCTGGGCCTGTTTTTCATACGGACACCCTATATGATGCCATTCAAAATCTCAAAAGCCTGAGGCCAAACTGGATATAAAGACTAAGCATTGTCTTAAGATTAATGAGACCATATGCTTCAGAAAGTTTTTCAAGTAAAGGGCTTCTCAGGGATCCAGAAGATGAAAAAACATTTTGCCTCCTACATTTAACATTTTTGGGAATATGCCTCTGTGCTAGTTTAGGGGCTTCTCTGAAGAGTTCTATTTAATGAGATAATTCCATCTCCCCTAAATTTGCTTAACTCAACGCAAGTGTTATATTCATACTCATAGGAGTATGAGACATGGTCCTTGGAATTGAATATAAAGCAACATTTCAATAATTTGGATTTTTGTGTCCTCTTTAATTCTTTGGACACGTGAGCTGCTTGTATTTTAGAGCTGTCACTGCTTCCTTTTAAGGAAAGGAGAGGTGGCAATATTTTGCTTAGGCTTTGATAATATCATAGTGTAAGTTTCTGAGTCAAGATAATGTTTCTCAAATTCTGTAACATTGGCCATATCCATTTTTATTCACTCAGTCCAAATAATGTATTTTAGCATTTCCTACAGTGCCTTCCTTGCACGAGGTGGGCACTTGAGTACATGGTGAATGAATGAATGAATCCTTACGATTCTCCAGTGCCTAGAGAATGAACTGTAACTCTACAGCATGGCATACAAAGTTTTTTGAAGCTCAGCTCCAACCTACCTTTCTGTCTTTCCATCGCTTCTACCCAAAGTGGTAAGCACATAACATAAGCACATATTCTTTATCAGTTTTTCACTATTCTTTGAACTTAATTGCTTTCACAACTCCCTGCTTTTACAAATGAATCAATGAATGGATTTCCTACTCTGCATTCTCCATGTTGCTGCTTGTGTCATTGCATCATCAATTATAAGCATCCAAAAAAATTTTTTTAATTTGTTTTAGACACAACTTTCAACTAATCTTCCCAATTGCCTGCGTCACTCCTTGATAATAACTTGAGCTCTGAGGGAGTAACATTTACACTTTGAATGTGTGTCTGGGCAGCCATTCATAACCTTCAGATAATTATTGTGCTTCATCCCTCTTTATTTGAGATCACAAACCTTGCCAGATCTCCTGACTTGTGCACTTAGATGTTCTGTATGTTATGCTTTTATTTTAAAGCTAAGATCCCTTGGGATCTTTGGAGAAACCATAGTGTCCCAAGAAGGGGTTGAAAATCTCTGCATTGCAGTTTCCCTTAGTCATTTTATCTAGTCCATTTGGGTCCTTGAGAAGATTAAATTTATGATCCTGTTATCTGTGTAGGTCTCTCCAAAAGTTGAGCTCAGACTTTTATACAATTACTTTGTAGTGCCGGATTTTCTGATGCATTTATTGACTTTATTGCTAATCTTCCCAATGCATTTCTAAATGATAGTCTTTGGCTGCTGAACCATTCCTCTTATTGCTCCTGCTTTCTGCTTTCCCCCTCTCTAGGGATTGAAACCCAGGGTGAGTGACATTGTTGCACCCAGCATCTATCTACAAGGATACTGATGATTTTTAAATCCTTCATAAATTTGAATGTTGAACTTTACTGTTGGCTGTGGAGGAATAATCTACCTTCAAATCTCAGGGAAACATCCAAAAGAGAAAAGGGGAAAGCGTAGGAGAATTTACTTTAGCGCTGCTCATATATTTATTTTGAAGGCTGGCAGAATCTAAAAATGGGGCTGTAAATTTAACAGCTCAACCATAAAAACCCCAAAATAAGGGAGAAAAAGCTCTACTACTTCAGGTTTGGATACTGATATAAAGTTACAAGATTCATTTTCCTCTTCTGTCTTAAATTCTTTTTAAAAAATTTCTAGCACTGTCCTTCCCTTTCTTTTTTCCCATTTCGATTTTTAATAATTACTTTTTTAAATGTTACCAATGCTTTGAAATGTACGGAAGTGTTTTATAAATACATGGCTGGCATATTTCAGTTGATAGATTTCATGGTGACGTTAAATACTATCTGCACCTTATGTAACGCTGGATGATTTCAGTGAGGTAGGGACTGCACATGGTATCAGTTCTTGTGGGAAAATATGCTTCAGTGGCTTACTGGCACTGGTTTTGGAATGTGGCATTTAAAAGTACCTTTTTACAGTGGGAAAGAATTCTGTCAAGAATAAACAGTCTGACCTTGTTAAATGGGCCAAAGTCTGTCTGTAACCTAGTTCCAGAAAACTAGCTTTTACTAGTTTAGAAAAAGCAGATTAGAAAAAGAAAAAAAAAAACTGTAAAACTTTTATAAAGTAAAGCATTTAAAAGCTACTATCAAGAATGTGAAATAAATTCCTAAAATGATGGTCTTCACATATATTCATGAGAATGTCCTTACCTGTCTATAAAATCCCATTTTTGCAGAATGGATGAAAGATCAAGACTACAGTTAGTCAGAAAAGGAGATTTTCTTTTTCCTGGAAAGACAAGACTGGCATGTAGAAGGGAGCTGTGGGAACAGCCATACAACATGGACCACTGTGGGAAACAAGCCCGTTTGGGGAGGTGAAGGAGTAAAAATTCCCAGTGACTCCCCATTGCCCACACACTCAAGTCTGTATACTCTGAGCTCCGGAATGCAGCAGTCAACTGTTCCTAACCTTTCTCTCCATTCTTGCTTTCCCACCCACACCAAACCCATCTCCACACACCCTATGATCTTGCTATCCAGACCTTTTTGCTCCTTCTTGAAAAATCATGCCATTAGATTTTATGCTTCCGTGTCACTAAACATTCTCTCTGCTTAGATTGCCTTTCCCATTCCCAGCCTAACAATCTCCTACTCATTCTTCAAGACTCAGATGCCATCTCTGAAGTCTGCCCAACTCCCCAGGATAAAGTTAAGTACCTACCCTCCCGTGCACTTTTGATTTGCCTGTAATATAGTAGTTCTCATATGGTAGTATCCCCATTTGTTTGACTTCTGTCTTCTATTTTTAAAAGATTAACATTGCAAAATAGCCATTTCAGCACTTCAGGTAACAACACACAGGCACATGGTAGCTGCTCAGTGAGTGTTTATAGAGTATATGTGGGTGGTAAAATAGGAGGTTTCTGAGTAGAGGAGGTAGAGGAGGACTGAGGTTGGGAAGGGATGCTGTTCTTTAAATATTGACTTCCCTGAAAGGTGCCATTGTGGTTTGTATCTGCATCCATCTTGAAATTTAAACACCAAGAATTAAACTTATTTTGTTAGTCACTTTCATTGCTAAAATCTTGTGTTTATATTTAGAAGATATTCTGGAAAACCAAAGTTACTGCATTTTACACAAATGCATGACTAGTCAGCTGGTTGGATATTGTCAAGAGTGCACAAGATCTCAGTGATACTAGTTCTTTTTTTTTTTTTTTTTTTTTACTTTTTTTAAATTTTGAGGACTTAAAACAAATTGACTTGGTATTTAAAGTTATATTTCTTCAGCTTTCAGTACAGAGCAACAGAGTAAATGGAAGCTTAATCAGTGATACTCATTCTAATCATAACCACTTTTAATGTTAAATGACTAATTTATCAATATTAATTTAAGTCAGGGAACATTTTTAATGGAGTTGTAATAGAAACCAAATCTTGGGTTCAAAAAACCAATATAGCTTTAATAAAACTGCATAAATGTTTTAAAAATCAAATATGTAAAATCAAGTAATTTGCATATGGGCTTTGGCAAAGTTTTTCAAAAGCTGCCTATGCATTTAAAATATGATTTACTAGATTAAGATGCATTTTAAAAGACTTTACAGGTTTATGTATATTATGTAAAACTACTTATACTGTCTGGCCACTGTAGTTTTTACTTGATATACATTCAAAAATATTGTATTAGGAAAAGCCACAGATAGCCCATTGTGAATTGTAAAGTGTTAATGTCAACCGGGCGCAGTGGCTCACACCTGTAATCCTAGCACTTTGGGAGGCTGAAGCAGGCAGATCATGAGGTCAGGAGTTCGAGAGCAGCCTGGCCAATATGGTGAAACCCCGTCTCTACTGAAAAAATACAAAAATTAGCCAGGTGTGGTGGCGCATTCCTGTAGTCCCAGCTACAGGCTGGGGCAGGAGAATCGCTTGAACCCAGGAGGCGGAGGTTGCAGTGAGCCAAGATCACTCCAGCCTGGGCAACAGAGTGAGACTCCATCTCAAATAAATAAATACATACATACATACATACATACATACATACATACATACATACATAGGATTAATGTCTAAAGAAGAGAGAAACTCACATGTTCTTATACCCAAACTGTCCACTGTCATGCCTTTTATTGGCAAGTAGATGTTAAAAATGTAGCACAATATTTAAGATTTTGACAAGATTGAATAGTCCATTTAAAGTAAGAAAAGCTTTCAAGAGTGACCTCAGCAATTTTACACAAGTTGAAATAAAATCTTGTCTTTATCTTTTCTTTGTATTTATTGTTCTATCTTTATTTCTATAACGACTTCTTGGTTTTAGGATGTGGGGCTGAAAAACTGCATTTAAAGGTCATGTTGCTGCTACTATATGCACAGTACAATTTGTATTTTCCATCAGCTTATCATTTGTAATTTTTGTACTCCTGTTTTTAAAGGCATCAAATTTTTTCAATAGTCGATTGTAGTTCTCAAGTATTGTTAGTCCCATAATATTTTAGAAAAATAAGATATTCATCAATTGCTTTATTTTTAATTCACATGCATTTACTCAGTAATTTTGTTTTTAGAAATTTGGTCTTAGTAGACAATTTTTTAGAGAGAAATAGCCCCATTTATAAGATAGAGTTCACCAAATCCAGTGGCATTTTTTGCAGGTTCTTCCACATTCCCTTTGTAGCATTTGTATATGCGAGTCCCCGCTCCCTTAAACTCTCATGGTTCTTTTTTTTTTTTTGGGACGGAGTCTTGCTCTTTCACCCAGACCAGACTGCAGTGGCGCTCTCTCGGCTCACTGCAAGCTCTGCCTCCCGGGTTCACAGCATTCTCCTGCCTCAGCCTCCTGAGTAGGAGGCTAATTTTTTGTATTTTTAGTAGAGACAAGGGTTCACCGTGTTAGCCAAGATGGTCTCGATCTCCTGACCTCGTGATCTGCCCGCCTCAGCCTCCCAAAGTGTCACGGTTCCTTCTTCAGTTTTTTTGTCTGCATTCTTTGTTCATTGCTAAAATTATTTTAAAATTTGAACATTCCACCAGTGTGGTGGTTAACGCATGTAATTCCACCACTTTGGGAGGCTGAGGCGGGCAGATTGCTTGCACCCAGGAGTTTGAGACCAACCTGGGCAACATGATAAAACCTTGTCTCTACAAAAAATAAAAAAATTAGCCAGGCATGGTGGTATGTGCCTGTAGTCCCAGCTACTTGGGAGGCTGAGGTGGGAAGATCGCTTGAGCCCAGGAGGTAGAGGTTGCAGTGAGCTGAGAGATCATGCCACTGCACTCCAGCCTGGGTGACAGATAGACACTCTATCTTAAAAAAAAAAAAAAAAAAAAAAAAAAAAAAATTTGACCATTCCAGGTAGGTAAAAAAATGAAAAGGGAAAATCCTCAATGATCCTTCCTTCCAGAAAAAAAGCCACTATTAACAGTTTGTTAAATGAACTTTTATATTTTTTGCTACTTGTATACAACCCTCAGTATGGGTGTGCATGAGGGTGGATGTGGATGTGCCTATAATAGTATACATACAGGTTTTCTGTTTGTTTGGGATTTCTTGTTTACTTGTTTCCATTTATTTATCCTAGGCATTTTGTCCATATCTAACATATATTAGCCTGTTATTCTTTTTCTTACTTTCACTGTGTAAATTTACATAATATTTTTACCCAGTCTCCCAGGATGAACACTTGGGTGGTTTCTCATTTTTTGGCTGCAGTGAACATCTTTGGGCTTATGTTTTTTTCACTGAAATACTAATTTCTTTTAGGATAATTATTTAAGAAATGGTACTACCAGGACAAAGGACAAAGAATGCACATTCAAAAATTTGATAATGCCAAATTGTTCTCCAAAAGGGTTTCAGCTCCTACTCCTGCACTCCTTAACTGAATGTGAGAGAGCTCACTGCTTTGTCTCTCCTGAGTGCCTCTGGCCATTGCCTTTGCTGGCGCTTTCTGCTCTTCCTGTCCTCTAATAAAGCATCCAGCATGTTCTGACTTCAGCCCTTTCTGTGTCTGACTCAGGTCCATGGCTGTAACTTTCATCTCCGTGCAGAGGTGTCCAAGTCATCCGTCTGCCCGGGTCTCCTCTGAGTATCAGCCCTCATCTCTGCTTTTCCCCACCTCTCCATCTGGTGTTCCATGGCAGTAGAAACAGATCATAACAAAAAGATCACTCATCAGCTTCTCCTTTCCTAGGCAATTCTGCTTTGGTCTCCTTTGTTTAACTTCATTACTGGTAATCACCAAAGCTAGAATCTTCAGATTTTTTTCTGGACCCATTTATAGCATCATATATTTAGTTACAAGTACAAAATATCCAATCAAAGTGTCTTGAATAATAATAACGTTTAAATCTGATATAAGAAGTCTGGAGATAGGTAATTCTGCAATTGGTGCTGTTGCTTGATGGTATCATCTTGGTTCCGATAACCGAATATTGGGAAAATACCATTCCTTCTTCTTTGGTTAGTTGAGAGTGTCATCCCTCAGGGCCTCAAGATGGCTGCCACAACTTCAAAAGCATTATATCACATACAACAGTATTCTAAGCAGTAGGTGAGGAAGCAGGGGCCAAAAAGGGTTTTATTGTCTCTTTAATCAGGGAAGACAATCTTTTCCAAAAGCTCTTTTCAAACTTCCACTTTAGGTTTCATCACTCATAATTGAATCCCGTACCTACCCATTGACCAATCAGTCTGTAGATAAGCATATTGCTACCCAAAAGAAAATCAGGTTATGCTAGCCAGGAAAGCAGGGGATGGCTGTTGGGTGAACAACGAATGTACAGGCCCTTCATTAGTCTAGAGATACACCCCCACCAAGGCAGCAGGGCCACTGTATAGGTAGGAACATCTGCTGTTGGTTTCTTTCAGAGGCGCACTGATATATTCACCAATCTCTAATAAAATGTTTTATAAAGCACAGTGCATTTTTCCTTACGTGCTCCACATATGTTGAAAGCAGAAAGCTTTAGAGTTTCATGGAAATGTTGATTAGACTAAGAATGATTGCTTACCACACCCACCAGGACTATGATTCCTTAGATTCCTTAATAATAGCAATCAGCAAACACTTTTTGAGTATGAGCCATCTATCAGCAATCAGCAGGTAACATTCTTCTCAGGCAAATTCAGGAAGCTAAGGATTGCTTTTAAAAACAGTGAGGCAATAAGAAAAATTATGTTAAACTAAGAACTTTTAAAAAGATGTGAATTTCATTAATATTATTTACGTAATTTATATTACATAAATAGTATGTTTGTTATTAATATATTCATATGATTAAAAGTAATATTCAGTATTTGGATGCATAAATAAAATACATATATGTATATATGTGTATGTTTTTTTAGTTACATATATGTATATGTAAATCTGAAGTTGCCTCTACAACTCTTACCTAGCCAGATAAACCCTGGTGAATCTAGGAGACAAGCATTGTTAGATCTAGGAGAGTCAGGGAAGGCTTCTCAGGGGAGCTAATTTTTGAGGCAGGCTTACAAGTGAGGAGGAGTTTGCCTGGCAAAGCACAGGGAAAGGTGTGTTCTAGGTATGGGGTTGAGAAACATCAGCTCATGTTCACACACACAACGGCAAAGCAGCAAGAAGTATGTGGGTTGTTGAGCAGAGTGCTTTAAAACCTTTTTTACCCTAAAAAAAAGCAGTCTACTACAATGTGATGAGTGGATTGGTAGGGAGGATTTGGTGTGAATTAAGAAATTGATGGCAGGGAAACCAGCGTGGAGGCTGTTTTAAGAAAGATGTGTGACGAGGGGCTACGTGAGAGCAAGAATGAGATGGGACAGAAACTGGAGGCTGTTAAATGTAGATCCGGGGAAAACATGTTCATGTCAAAATCTGATATGAAATTTACTTTATGAGATAAATAAGAAATAAAAATATATTTATTTAAATCAAATAAGTGTCTCTGGTCATAATTGCCTTCATACTGTACTGTTGTGGATGTGTCCTGACACATGCTCAGAACATAGTAGCCACTACTGATGTAATCACTACTATTTTTACTGGCAGTGGTATTGAATATGTATAGTAATTTCTCCTGGTATGATTAACATTTTCATTCAAAACGGAACAAATTGTATAATGAAGAATCTCTATATGACATCTCACTAGTAGTTGTATAAATCAGAAATTTTCTAGTGGTTTAATGTTTATCCCAATTGTAATTCAGATGAATCTATCATGAAATGACTTTTTTTTCTTTTACAAACAGAGCCTTTTAAAAAATATATTTCTTTTTATCAGGACTTAAATGATAGATGTTTTACTTTATTGGGCCTAAAGTGCCAGTGACATGGTTATGTTCTAATTAATTAGCCACCTATCTTTCTGTTTCTCCTTTTTCCTCCACATAATCCAGATTTTGCTAAAGTTGGCAAATTGTATACCTCACTTGTGGTCGTTATATGACTAAACCCTAATGAGGGTTATGTAATGTAAACAGCCACAAAATACCATAATTTACTTTTTTCCTTAGACAACAAGCACCTTGAGGGAAGAAACGGGCGTCACATAGATTATGCTCACCAAATAGCAATTGGTAATGATGATGCACTTTGAAGCTGTTTATGTCTATTATAAAAGTAATATATACTCATTATAGTCAAATTTGTGTGGTCTTGGTTTATCTCCATTCTCCATTCTTGGTTCACCTCATCCATTCATTTCTCTAAAATGGTAACACAGATTAGTTTCTCAATTTCAAAAGTCAGATAATCAAACTGGGGTTTCAAAGAAAGTTGTAAATTAGTAAAGAAAAGCGTCAAATTTTTTTTCAGCCCTTTTTCGATTTTTCTCTCCTTGGGGCTAATTACCTTCATTCACCCGTCTTCCCTCACTATTCCTAAAGAATAACAAGTTTAGAAATTAGATATTGGATATAATCCAGTAAGAGTCTGTTCAGTTTGAGGATTTTTTAAACAACTAAATATGCCTAAAAATTTCATCATCACCACTGTGTGTCTTCCTCCATCTGCTCATCTGCTGCCCATAATATCATACACTTGATAATGGCTGTTTCTCTTAAGAGAATAATGTCATGTTCTTGAGGCCAGAGATTGTTAAGTTGGAAGAGTCTGGGAAGACAGCAGAATTTAAAACATTATATACCTAGCATTCTTTCTAATACTACATTTATTTATCTTGTGAGAGAGAAAGAGACTGTGAGTGTGTGTGTGCGCATGCACGCACGTTTTCTATATCTCATCAGGTATTTGTGAATAAATAGTTCACACCCTTCCAAGAGAATAAGTCCTTTCTTTTCTTTAAACAGTGACTCCATTGATGTTGTTTTAGAATTTCTTCCCTTGTTTCTCACTTCCTTCTTGGCAACATTGTTTCTGAAGTCTTGAATTGATTCAAGTGTTCCTGGAATATTACTTTTTCTCTCCTACCATTTTCAAATATAGGCAAAGAGATAATTTTTTTGAAAAACATTGCTTCCTTCAAAAAGCAGTATAACGGCTATTATACACAGTATAATACCACAGTACATGGTTAAAGGGACGTATTCTGGAACCAGATCTTTTATACAAAGTTATTTTGCAACTTAACAAGCTGTGTGACCTTAAATAAGTTCTTTAGCCTCTCTGTATCCTGGGTTTCTTCTCTGCTAAAATAGAGAAAATGACAGTACCTATCTTAATAGGATTGTTGTGGGAATTAAATGAGTTAATACATGAAAAAGTGAAGTCCTATAATTAAATTATGTAATAGTAATACTCATCTTTGAACCTGAATATGAAGACAGGTAAAGAAATGAATATAAACCAATGAAACCATTTTATTACTGTTAATCAGTTACTTAGAAATCACTTTTACTAAAGTTTAGATTACTAACATCTTAGGGAGACCATTCTCTCTTTTTTCATTATTATTTCTCAAAAGAGAGAGTGTTTCTGGTATTCCTGAAATGATTATGCTGAAGAAATCTTTCCATTATCAGTTATTTAAACAATGTTGAAGTCTGGGGAAAAATAAAATGTATTTTTTCCAAGGCTACACACGTATCTATTCTTCGAATACAGGAAATTGAATGCACAAATCCAGACAGTTGCAGAATTTTCACTGAGAATCTAAGAATGAATCAGTGTGTTATTGTGAATGGACTGTATAGGCAGTATTAATTGCTTTGCTTTCAGGCACCATATCTCAGTGTGAGATCTCAGAGTCCCAGAAATCCAGTGGTGTTTCTTCAGTCTTTGTTCCTTGCTTACTTTCAACCACTAGGCAAGTAGTTGAGGATGGCACAGAAAAATTGAGTTGTGGCCCTGGAGCACAGACCTTCATGGTTGTGCTTTTCTTCTTTACCACCCACAGGACAAATTCTACAAAGACAAGAAAATTGTTTTTCACGAAGGACATTTTGTGTATTTAATCTCTATAGAGTGGAAGGCAGATGACTGGAAAGTAACAGCTCATTAATTATGAAAGTAAATTTCTTTCCCTACTGTAGTCAAAATTAGCTTTTTTAAAAAGACAGGGTCTCACTGTTTTGTCCAAGCTGGAATGCAGTGGTACAAACACAGCTCACTGTGCAGTCTCAGCCTCCTGGGCTCAAGGCCATCCTCCCACTTTGGCCTCCCAAAGTTCTGGGATTACAGGTGTGAGCCACCACGCTGGCCAAAATGAGCATTTTAATGTTATTTCTGTACTGAGCCATTTTGTATTCCACCGATCACTTCCTCTTGGGAATAGGTGGTAGTTAATATTCAGAAAGGTTCATTTCCCAAATAGGTTAGATTATTCTCCAGTGAATAAGTGACTCATTGTACTATGGATTAGGAATTAATGTCACAGATAACATACACTTCTTTCACATAGTCTGCTTAAGATGTGTCATATAAGAACTCTTTCAGCTATTAACCTTTCAAGAAAGTTAAAAGAAATTCCTGAGGCTTTCAGCCCAGCCCTTGTATAACCTGCACTGTCTTGTTTTGTTTTACAAAGCCATGCAGGAATGCCCCCCATTCAGAAAAGGAGTTGGTACCTAGACTAATAACTGAGTAGCACATTCAACCTGCAATTCTGGAAAATTTGTATTTAGCATTTCATACAATTGCTTATTCTCTAATTTAGTCTTTAAGAACATTTGTCTTAATATTGCTCTTATCTATCTAGTGCCCAATTCAGGATTCAGTTAAGCCACAGTACCATCTCCAAAGAAAACGTACCCTGGCTTTTTTCAGATTCAAGGTAAAGGTGTGGTTTGGCCACATAAGTAGTGTTGTGTAGAAACATAATTCAGGAGCTTCTGCAACATGACCTGACTGGGATCCACCTTTCTTTGGATGCTTCCTGCTCTGAATGCCCACAGCACTTCTTAAGCCACCCAATTCATCCTTTACATGAAACCTTTCACTCTCTACTTAGGTTTCATGTGATTTCCAAGTTTTTTTAATGCTGCTCAAAGCTCTTTGAGACCAGGAACAATGATTTGTGTTTGCTAAGCATGCCTTAGCATGGACCCAAAACGTAGGAGAAGGTTGGTTACTTGGTGAACAACTACTTGTTATATGCTTCCTCTCTTGGTGCCTGAAGGACATCGTAGTAAAAATACTTTGGATATTCTGGATATTTTGTTACTATTTTGTGTATATATGGAATTCTAAGTACACAGTATACTAATGAGGTAAAGAAATTTTCACAGAAGCAAAAACCAAGAGAGTTTACCACTACCAAGAATTTTCTAAAGGATGTACTTCAAAAAGAAAGAAAATAATCTCAAAAGGAATGCCCGAGATGCAAGAAAGAATGTCGAGTACATAGATTGGTAAAAATGTCCAAACAGATTCTTAATCACAGTAAATGTAAATGGACAAAACTCACCAGTTCGATGGCAAAGAATGTTAGATTAGATTTTTAAAATATTTCTCTAAAACCAAGTCTTTGCTTTTTCAAGAAACACCTAAAACTGATCCTCTGTTGAAGGGAACATAAAATGATACTCTACTTTAGAAAATAATTTGGTATTAACTATACAGTTTAACATGCTTATACCATGAAACCCTGCAATTCCATGCCTTAAGTTACATACCTTAGAGAAATTCCTGCACATGTGTACCAAGAGTCATATTCAGGAATACTCTGCAGCATTGTTTGTAATACCAACACTCCAAACAACCCAACTGTTCATATACAAAGGAATGATTAAATTGACACTGGTATATTCCCACAATAGAATTACACAGCAGTGAAAATTTAAAAATGAATGAGCTATAGCTACAGGCAATAACATGGATGAATATTAGCAATAATATTGAGGGGAATAAAACAAAAATGAAGAAAGTTATAAAGCATATGAAATATGTATAAAGCAAATCTAAATATTATTTAGGTATATTTATAGATTAACATTTTTTAAGGAAGGAAATGAAAAACATGAGACTTAGGATAGTGGTTGCCTGTGGGGGTAAAGAGAAGTAAAGAAGCAAGGGAATAGAATTAGAAATACAGAAGAACAAAAGAGAGAGGAGGGCTCTGAGCACCCAAGTAGCTATCACATCATTAAAGCCTTATGTCTACCTCTTGAGTTCTTATTTAGATCCATACTCTTATTTAAAATTTCTTCAAGTTTTGCTATAGTTTCTGCTGGCCAGTCACTGAGCTGAGAGTGTAGAAATTAATGATATATATAAAATCTCCCCTCATTCTTGTCAGGAAGGTGTATGATAAACAAATTAATATATTAGATAAAATCTCTGGGGCCCAGCAGTGCAATAGAGTGCGATACACCGGGAATCTATTTTAGAGGGGGAGGGTGGTCAAAGAAGGTCTTTTGCGTAGGAGATAGGGACAGAGCATCCTAAGATTCAGGAGAGCATTCTAGTCACAGGGAGCAGTGAATTCAGAGGCCCCAAGGTAGGAGGGAGTTTGGTCTGTCCAAGGAAAGCAAGAAGGTCAGTGCAGCTGAGGCAGAGTAAGTAGGAAGGAGAGAGGTCAGGGCTGAGATCAGGGAGGTAGTCTGAGGCCCCTCTGTGGGGGACCTGATAAATGTGTTTGAATTCATTTTGAAGTGTAATAGGTCCATATTAGAAGCAGAAACTAGAAAAGGAGTTAGGCTGATAAACATAGGGATCATAACAGCAGGAAAAAGGCAATTGATAATAAGACACAAGCAAGAAAAAATTCAAGTGATTAAAATAATACACTTGCAGAGCTTACAAAGAGAAATGTAAGTAATCCAGGAAATCTAGTTACATCTAAGTCTTCATTCATCTTACCAGATAAATGAAATGTTAAAATTTTAGTTGCTTGCATACATAACACACAGATATTCTTTTATATAACACATTCATGTCATAAAACATGTGATGTTTATCTAGAGAATTGAGAATACTTGTTTTGTGCTTTACTTAACCATAGGTCATATTATAATGATTAATGAGGTCATTTGAAATGTATTTTTACCTATCTTGAGATTTGCAGTATGTGTATGAAACATGTCATATCATTAGTTATGCAGTATAAAAAGAGAATTTTTAAAAATATGTCATTGCTTATGACTAAAATTATGATCAGAAGTGGATTTATCTGTGTCTAATGAGTTTTAAGCTTCAGAGCTCCTCACTTTCAGCTCCCATCGCATACCAAGGTTATGGGAGAGGCTCTAGCAATATGGTCATCTGGTGTTTTTTTTTTTAATTGTGGAGGTGAGCTATTTTAAATGCAGCTGATTAACCTTCCACCTCACCCATCACAGTTCTCGTGTCAGGTGGCAATGGAGTGACCATGGGCATTTTTGAGATCTGGCTAAGGGGATGTTGAGTTCATTTGGGTTTTATAAGCTCTATATGGGGTTCACTGGTTACATATATATCAGTGGGTCTCGATTAGGGATGATTTTATCCCCCAGGGGACACTCATCGATGCCTGGAGACATTTTGGGTTGTTACAATATGGGGGAGAGGGATGTTGCTACTGACATCCAGTGGATGGAAGCCTAGGGATACCATTAAACATCCTACAATACACAGGACAGCCCCCTGCAGTAGAGAATTGCCTGGCTCCAAATGCCAAAAGTGCCCAGATTGAGAAACCCCTTAACATAGTTATGCCTGGCTACCCCCGTGTAGAAATGGCCTCCAGGAATTCACTTCCACCAGCACTGTGCTGACTTACCTGGGATTCAGAGGTCATTTCACAATATGACCATGTCCTATGGTCTCTGGCACCAAAGTCTGTGGGTAGTGGAGGAGAAACAAGGTTTGAAACATACTGAGCCAAAGGCTAGTCTGAGGAGAATTCTTCAAGGCAACAGACATGTACCTTGAAAGCAAATGTTTCTATTCTCATCAATGCCTAGTTAAGATGGAAGTTTTTTCATAATAAGAAAATATATTTGAGGCTGACCATGGTAGCTCATGCCTGTAATCCCAGCACATTAGGGGGCCGAGGCAGGTGGATCATCTGAGCTCAGGAGTTCAAGACCAGCCTGGCCAACATGGCGAAATCCCGTCTTTACCAAAAATACAAAAATTAGCTGGGCATGGTGGTACACACCTGTAATCCCAGCTACTCGGGAGGCTAAGACAGGACAATCACTTGAACCCAGGAGGCAGAGGTTGAAGTGAGCCGAGATCATGCCACTGCACTCCAGCCTGGGCGACAGAGTAAGACTCTGTCTCAAAAAAAAAAAAAAAAAAAAAAAAAAAAAAGAATATACTTGATAATGCAACATATTTAATGATAGAAATAACCATGCAATTTTTCTTCTATAAGGAAAGAATCAGCCTTATAAGAATCAGCCAAAATAGATTTTATCAATATTCTATTTGATTATGGCTAAAACCTGTAGCACTACCACCAACAGTGATCACATGTGAAGTGACATGTTTTCTGCATCACAGCTGTTGATAAAAATAATCTTTGATCAACCATGTTATCTTCCTGTAGAAAATATTTCAAAAATTGCTGTCAGATGAAAGACAGTCAACGAGTATGTGCTCAAAAATAACACAGGGCAAGTGAGTTTCCTAGTGGAGGTGTCCGTTTATTAATCAAAATATTGTGATTTTATTTCTGCATTTTGTGGTATTTGTCAGCTTTTTAAAAGTGTGTGAGGTGCTCGCTTCGGCAGCACATGTACTAAAATTAGAACGATACAGAGAAGATTAGCATGGCCCCTGCGCAAGGATGACACGCAAATTCGTGAAGCATTCCATATTTTTTTTGGCTGGGCGCGGTGGCTCACACCTGTAATCCCAGCACTTTGGGAGGCCCAGGCGGGCGGATCACAAGGTTAGGAGATCGAGACCGTCCTGGCTAACACGGTGAAATCCTGTCTCTACTAAAAATACAAAAAATTAGCCGGGTGTGGTTGCAGGCGCCTGTAGTCCCAGCTACTCGGGAGGCTGAGGCAGGAGAATGGCCTGAACCCGGGAGGCGGAGCTTGCAGTGAGTGGAGATCGCACCACTACACTCCAGCCTGGGCGACAGAGCGAGACTCCGTCTCAAAAAAAAAAAAAAGTGTGTAAGCTTTAGACTTCACAAACCAGAGATTGCCCCTGTTAATGATAATATTGTTTGTATTTTAATCAAGTGAATAAACCTTTGAATGTGAATTCCATCAGTGCATCTCTACAACATATACTTGCAAATTAATCTATATTTTTCTGTGCTCATCTTCACTTCTGAGTCTGTAGCCTTGGAGTCAGTGCTCTTCTAATCTCACTACCTGGGCGCTTGATCCCATCCACTTTGATCCTCTCCGGATCCTGGTTCCATCATGTCTTTGCTGCCCCCATGCCTTCAAGCACAGTCTGTACCCACTATTTTCCAAAGAAGCCTTAAAGGGGCCAGAGGTTCTGGGCAGAGTTAGAGGCAAGTGGGAAAGGCATGGTAGGCAGAGAGAGCAGCTTCAGTTGTCTCTGTCGTCTGCCTCTTTTCTTCTGTAACTAAGGACTTCACTCTGGATGTCATTAACCCTTCAATTTTGTGCAGGCAGCCTTCTGCTGCCATCATGTTACCGCAGTGGATATTCTAAAGACCTCACCTTGTTTGGCATCTTCGGGTACATGCATGCTTCTCTATTCGTTATTTCTTGTAAATATCCACCTTGACTTCTGTGACATCGTGGTATCCTGCTTTTCCTTCCACGTCTCTCACTCCTCTCCACTGATTGCCCACCTCTGCCTTCCTCAAAGGTCCTGCCCTATGGCACATAGCCTGTACATGCTATCTCCTTCAACAGTCTCCTCCGCTGTGGAGGTAATCCTGGAGGCAGGGAACTCATGTATGTCCAACTCGGTCCACTCCCTTGAGCCCCAGACCCAAATATCTTTCTGAATATCATCCTAAGTAGCAAGCCTTCCAGTCATTCCCTTCTGGGTCCCTATTCAGGCTGATGGCCTCACCATCTACCTGGCCACCCAGGCCAGAAACCTGGGACTTATCCTAGATTCAGTTAATCTTTCTTTCTCCTTCATTTGACTCGTTTAAAGTTATTCTTCCTGCCTTTCCTCTCCTACTGCTGTGGTTTTATACATCTTCCTCCCAGAGCATCTGGATCATTGCAGCCTTTTCATTGAGATCCCTGCCTTCAGGATCATCTCCAATTTCAATCCTACACAGTTACCAGAATGCAAATGTAGAATAATGCATATCTGACATACACGCCCTGCATAAAACCCTTTAGTACCTCCCCTTCTCCTCAGGATAAAGTCCTAGCTCTGTCAAGTAACACTTGGGGTCCTGTTATCTGGTCCATGCAGTTTCATACTCCTCAACTTTTGCTCATGTTGCTCTCTCTACCAGTCATGCCCTTGCCCCTCCTCGCTGAAGCCTCTAACACTAGATACCCCTATCCTGCACCCCGCCTCACCCCTGTGGAGTTGATGTGTATATAACATTTGCTGATAGCTAAAGTTTATAGAGCCAGGCACCTGCAGAGTACTTTATGTACCTTATCCATATAATTCTCCAGTTGCCCTATTAAGCAGGTACTATGATTCTCCATCTTGCAGGTGAGGAAACAGAGGCATGGAGAGGTTAAGCTATTTAGCCAAGGTGATGTAGCTCATAAAAGAGGAGACAGGATTTGAATCCAGGCTTTTAAATTATTTACGTCTACCTCGCACAGAGCTTGTGCAATTGGTAAGTTACATGTCTGCCTCCTCTGCTCAGCTGTGAGCTTTTGAGAACAGATATGATGACTTCATCATCTGTGTGTCATCTTTGCAACTGAGATCCAATGCTTGTCACCTAGTAGGCACATTTGTATATGTATGAATGAATGAATTAATTGTTGATGTGACATTGTAAATGTCTCATAAATCTCATGAGAAGTGCTACTAAGAATATGTGAGAGTAGTACAGATATATCTGTATTTCACCCACCATGTGTATTGTCCATGAGGACATGAAATAAGTAAAAATGATGTTACTGCCTTTGAGGAGAATTTGGTTTAGTAGAAAAATGTAAATAGTTGAAAGAACTTAAATATGGAGCTTTTAGAAGCCATTCTGATTCCTGTTACCAAGAGGCATTATTAGTATTTATAGAAATCAACTTATCTTTTTAAAGGTTCATCATGTGCTAATAGCTAACAGCATCAGCAGTTTAATTATTGACTTAATCGAGGTCTAGAGTAGAGGACTTCCTAGTACTTTGGGAACTCCTGGCCACTTTTCATGTCAGCCTTGCTTTAAAAGGGATCCTAAAATGTGAAAGCTTTCTGTCTCTCTGATAGTGAACTAAGTTATTAGTTAAAATTTATCAGCCCAGTTGAAGTTGGCAAGATGATTCATCTTACATACATCAAATTCATGCAAAAGGAAGATATCAGTTACTATTTTAAATGCAAAAATAATATGCTTAAAATATAGTTATGGGCATACTGTGGTTTCTGGAATTGTCCTCCTGGAGAATCATTGAGACATGGTCTCTGATGTTCTTTATAATAGTAGCATGCTTATTTCATAAGCCAGAGCCCATATAGGAAAAAGCCTTTTTTCCACCATGCAAAGGCTTATAACTGAATGAGAAAAAAATAAATTAATTACATGAATATTAAGAGGTTACTTATCTATTATAACATTGGGCCACAAGTTGACTAATTAAAAGGAATGCAGGTTGGAAAGCTGCCACAAATCTGCTCCTTTCATTTAGAGGGCCACAGGCTGAAGCCAGTGATTGTGCGTGACAGACTCTGGGAACAATGGTGCAGTGCACAGACCGTCCAGATGAAGCATGCTCGTCTGAATTACACCGACGACAGGGTGGCCTACAGGCAAACAAAATGGTTAAACAATACATAATCAAGTTTTTATTTGGTATTTCCTGCAAGGCTGTACCAGTTGCCAGGGAGCGTACTGTATTTTTTCTTCGGCTGTATTAATTGTTGACCATAGCTGGCAGAACCCCAAACAGGGACAGATAAGGGGGAAAATGGCATCTGGACATTAAAGCCTCAAGTGTACTGGGGGAAAAAAAAGCACAAAAAATTACAGCATATATCAGGAATTTTCCAGCTAACGATGTGCGGATGTGGTAGCGCGAGGGAAAAAGAGCCAAACTGAGCTTGCTTTGTTCGCTAAGAGAGGCCCCCCTGTAACATTCCTTTTAGCTGTGCATATTTTGGCTTCATTTGTACAGTTTTAACTTTATACTGTGTGTGGAGGAGTTCAGTTGTAACTGGTGGTGCCTAATAATTCTATTGCAATAATTAAAGTTCATGGAGAGCTGTTAGGTTATTAGTTCATAGAAGCTGCTTCAGAAAACGGAGTCTAAGCTGAAAACTTTTTAAGTGACATGTCATTACTGTAAAAGATGGCAACAATTATTTTCTTTGATTTCACAGCAGTTTTTTTTTTAAGACAAGATTCATTTATGGAGACAAATAAGAAACAACATCTTAAAAGCTTTGGGTAGGAGTGAGGGGCCCAGACTGGGAATGATGAGAATATGGATCCTGTAGCCTGTGAATAAAACATTTTCCAACTGGCTTGTAAAACATGAAAATTTGTGATAGCATAATTTCATCTGCTACTTTTAGATTCCATTTAAAATGTGAAATTAATATATAAATGTTAGTAAATCTATTGCAGAAACCAAGTATTGCAGCTTCTTCACCTCTGATAGAAGTCATATGTGACTTTTAATTCAGTAATACGATGAAAAATCTCCAACTGAACACAGCCTCCTTCTTAAAAGATTGACATGCCTTGGAGTCCCCAATAAAATAGTAATTGCAATGTACACCAATTGGTTAGAGCTGTGAAATATGTTTCCCGGGGGCTTCTCTGCAGTGGTAGAGGGCTGTCTGCCTGCATGGTTGTCATACTCAGTGGTTACTTGCAGACTCTGGAGTTAGACCTGGGTTTGGATTGTATCTCTGACAAGTGGCTAGTTGTGGGACTACTGTAGTTATTAACATGTTTGAATATCAGTATCTTACCTAAAATATGGGTAAAAAATTATGTGCCTATCTCACAAGTTTTTATGTTTAAGTAACATAAAATGTGTGAAGTCCTTAGTGAAGTGCCAGGCGTACGGAAGACTCTTGATAAACTTCGACTGTTTTTCTTTGGCTATGTCTTCTCTGTTGTGCAGCTCTGGGGTTTCTTTGAGCTTCTCAAAACATTCCTTCTAGTCAGTTTCTGCATTAGAGTAAAATATATTTACTTAATCACCATTGACTTCCACAATAGATAACAAGGAACAGGTTGTTTGGTCTGTAATGAAAGCCAGGCCGATAGTTATGATTACTATTAAGCATTCTTCGAGAAGCTGAAATGTTATTAACTGTCTTCCGAAGCACTTATTAAGAGCCAATTATTAGTCCTGAAAAACAGTTCTCTCAAATATTCCTAAGATGACTTCCAGCTATAGTATACATGTACTTTGTGACATTATAGATGGCTGCCTGGTAACGTAGAGGCCAGGCTTCATCTCCAAATGTGAAGAGAAAATTCTCTCTCTCATTCCTGTCTCATATTTGATTGGATGATTTTAGTAAGACTTAATGACTTTTTTGCGAATCGGTTAAATTTTCTGGTGTATGTTGCTTTTCATTTTCTTCTCCAGAAATCTTAATCCTCTTGAAGACAGGAAATGTGTTAGGAGTTCATAGACTCTGAATATTAGAATTGCACAATTCATGACCCCAGGATTCCATATGCTGTCCATTCAATAAAGGGGTGACACTGTCCATGATGATCAATGTTTAGATGACAAACATCTTTAAATCCACAAAATTTCTCATAGACCAAAGCGTTTGTTCTAGTCCCTGACATATCGAACCAGTTTTTTCAAAGTAAATCATTTGATCTGGTCCCTGACATATCAAACCAGTTTTTTCAAAGTAAATCTTGTGTCCTGAAAACATTTTGAGGCCTTAAATAATACCACTCTTGAATATCATCATTTGAGTAACTTAGTAAAGACTATTAAAAAAATACACATATATGGTAAGATTTTGTAGGATCTTCTTAGCATTAAGAATAAAAGATTATTAATTCTTTCCCCGTGAAACAACAACATATAATAATAAGCTAAATGTGGTCAGCTTTGATTTCATAACGGGAAAACTCCCTTTTCATTTTTACAATTGGTGTTTTCTCTTCAGCTGCTTTTTAAGTTGGCCTGTTAGCAATTTAGCCTGTCTTTAATTTTAAGCACCATTCTTCTAGTCAGGAGATCCCAATAGGAAGCCCACTCTTGTAGCCTCGCCTCTCATTGGCTAGCTGGGAAAAGAGCATTTCTGCATAAATTGGATGCTTCCTTCTCCCCTGGAGACCAAATATGCTCATGTTTCACAATCCCCTGGTTTATAACCTTGAGTCCATTGCCTAAAGCTGGAAACTTTCACTTTGTACAACAGAGCACACTCCGAAACCCAGATCCAATACCGCTGACATGTCCGTGGGTCTGACAGCAGATTGAATACATGCTTCTTTCTTAATCCAGTGTTTCTGAGCTGCTCCAACTGAAATCAGAAACCGATGTGCGTGAGAGAGGTGTCCTTCAAAGAAAGGTATTTCCTTTGTGCAGCTCCAGTGCACACAGAATCCAAGGGGTTAACGTGAGAGCTGCTTTGAAAACAGAGGCGAAGGTCACTGGCGGCAACAGCAAAGACTTTTAAAGCCTGCCGTCCTGAGCCTTTCAGCCTGCCTTCCCCACCCAGGGGATTGTAAACATTGGCTCCCAGCCACCTCGTCCCAAAGCACAAAACTTCTCTGTGCTTTCAGCATATACATTTATGCTTTTTTATGGAAGTTGAAGCAGAGGCGCATTATTGCTGTGAGCCCAGAGAACATGTCTCTGTTCAATGAAAGGGGAGGAATCCTGTCCTGCCAGAATGTGAAAGCATGCAGATACGCTTATTTAGCGGGGCTTCACATGGAACTTAGCCGCTGCTCTTAGTCTGACTTTCTCAAGTCAAAAGAATGTGTAGAATGCTGTCACTTAATCAGAACCCAGAAGAGCTCTTTTATCTGCCATTTGTTTGTAACTTGCAATATTGTCCTTATCTCTTTGTCCTTTAGCTTGATCCAGTGCCCTCAGATATGAGAACTGGAAACATGAAAGCACTTATTACCTTGAGCATTGCTTCTTGATTTTTGTTGGTTTTTTTCTTTCTTTCTTTCTTTCTTTTTTTTTTTTTTACCTCAGGGTCCCTTAATCACCAACAAAGAAGCTATGAGACTTTTTCCCCCTAATTTCTGCCTTAGTCCTAGGATCATATTTGTTTGGTAATATTTAAAAGAAACCAAGATGATTTGTATATTTACACTGCCATTTATACCTGGTTCTTTAAAAGTCTATTATTGACATAACTTTGTATCATTATAACTTTCACTGATCATTTGCATGAAACAGAATGGAATTTCCAGAGATATCATGTGTAGCTTAAATTTCTCCCTCCCAAACTTTTTAATATGTCGTAGGAGGTTAATATCCTTCTGTCTATAAGTAATTTCAGTCATTTGAGATCATCTTTTTCTCTTTGGTAATTTCTAAAGACACGAACCAGAGATATATTTCAATAGGTAGGAACAGAAAAATTATATCCCATGTCATTCCTTTTTGCTGTGGTCTTTTTATATATATATAATTTTCTATTTCAGAGACAGACATGTCTTCTGAAATGGCCACTCTGAGCATATTTTGTAATAAATTTGGATGCTTACCTAATGAAGCGCAATCACTACACATTTCTGTTTGAACAATGATGCTTGATTCTGAAAAGAACACGAGACAGACAACAGCCTCTCCCATGTTACATGACATGCAGACATGATTGTTCTCTAGCCTGTAGCTACATTGATAAGTGATATGTGGCTTTGCCTTTTGCCACTCAGGCTAAATAACTCTTAAAGGTTCTTCACAGGCTCTTCTGGAATTCCAATTTTGCTTTATGGAATCACAAATTATATTGAGTAATTATTAATGTTCTTTCAGTTTTCCTCTTGGTTAAAGTTTGATTTCTGTAAATGTCAAGTTTCTGTGAACAGCATCACTGACCTGGATGTATTGGTACACAGTGCAATGTTCAGATGGTGTCACTGAGCATGTAGAATTTATTTATTCTAATTATAGGATTCTGGAGTTGGAAAGACTTTAGAAATAATCAAATGTGACTTCTTGATTTTGTAGTTGAGAAACTAGGGCCTAACAATATAAAATTACTTTTTTGCAAAGTAATAAATATACAAAGGTTATTTATAACTAATATCCAGAGGTATATCTGGATATAAATATTTATTTAAAACTAATATCCAGAGTATATCTGGAACAAAAACTCAGATTTCAAAATCTCAATCAAGGACTCTTTCCCTTAGTCCATCTAGTCACATACCCCCTATACTGTGTGGTGTTCACAGATGACTAAAGATGAGACTAATAAATGGCCGATATTTAGATCATCTTCAGCAAGTAGATGACCACATAAATGATTATGAACAGACGTTTTGTACACTGAGCATGAGGCAACATGGGGTCTTGGTCTTTACTTATTCCCAAGGGTACCTGGTAACTGACATTTCAACCATTCAGCTTATCAACTTGCCATACTCCAATTTCACTATAAACTTCTCACAATCTGTAAAATCCCCCTTTTCTCTTGCCTATTTAATGTGTAACAGTGACTTCACATGACAACAGTGAACTCTACATCAAAGCTGACAATATGACCAAAGCTATTCACAGAGGCTAATTCATAGCACTAACTGCTTTTATGACTGGAAAAGAAAGATTGACTGTAAATGTAAAAGCCTTCAATCCAAGTAGCACAAAAGAAAAAGAATTCTTTTCAACAAGCATCGATTGTATTTACATATTACTCATTATGAAAAATTAAAACATGTTAAAGTATATAATGATGAATTAATTAGAATATACCTGTATAAACTAGGATGCAGGAAAAGTTTAAAGCATAAATGAATAAATTAGAAAACAGATAATAAAATGGAAAAATAAACCTACCAGTTGGTCCTGAGAGTCACCTTCTAGATCACGCCAGCCCACTTTGCTACTAGGTAATAGAGCTTTTGAAAGAACTTGTGGCATATGAGACAGGATCACATAGGGCTGGGAGGGAGTGCTGATCAGGGTTTCTCTGTGAACTCAGCCCATATCCAGTTATTCTCAAGCCTAGGCACCCCCATTTCTTTCTCTACTTGTATCTCTTTCTCTTAACCCAGGTAAGAAAAACAAATACCTCCTATTTATACATGTTATAGGTTCACAGGTAAACAAAAGACAGGGAAAATAGTAACCTGCAAAAAAGAGAGTTTGGGCCTGTGCAAAACAGACATTCCTATTAATAATTTTCCACTATGCAGATTATGTTTATAGTTTGTTTGGTAGGTGAACCAAATATGGTAAAAATACCAACTGAGAAGGGTACAAGAAGTACCCCGTGAAGAGCAAAGATGAAAAAATATTGTGGATGTACCAGAGATGAAAGTGAGTAAAAATACTTGGTTTTCATTCAGAAAATTTTTCTCTCTCAATTTTTTCTTCTACACGAGGAAAATCAAAGAAAGGCTTAGTCCTGTGTAGTTCTGTTAAAAAATGAATTTATTGTAATATTCACAAGGAATTTGTGTTCCTAAGGTAGTTGTTTTTGTTTTTTGTTTTTTATTTTTGAGACACAGTCTTACTCCATAATTCAGGCTGGAGTGCAGTGGCATGATGATCACGGCTCACTACAGCCTCGACTTCACAGGCTCAGGTGATTTTCCCACCTCAGCCTCCAGAGTAGCCGGGACCACGGGCACGCACCACCACACCCAGCTAATTTTTTGTATTTTTAGTAGAGGCAGGGTTTTGCCATGTTGCCCAGGCTGGTCTCGAACTCCTGGGCTCAAGCAGTCTGCCCACCTCGGCCTCCCAAAGTGCTGGATTACAGGCATGAGCCGCTGTGCCCAGCCCAAGATAATTTTCATACTCTTCATAGGTAGCAGTTTCATAGCCTTAGAAATTCAGGCAGCAAGGTACTGTGATTGGTGTATATGGACTTATCTTTGGAGTAAAACAGGCACTCATCAGATAGTAGCTCTTGCTAATTAGCACATGGACTATTGAAATTCCTTCCTGTTAATGCCAATCAGTCAGATTTTGCTACAGAACACATTTTACAGAACTTTCTTTCTTTCTTTCTTTCTTTTTTGAGACGGAGTTTCACTCTTGTTCAGGCTGGAGTGCAATGGTGTGATCTCGACTCACCACAACCTCTGCCTCCTGGGTTCAAGCAATTCTCCTGCCTCAGCCTCCCAAATAACTGGGATTACAGGCATGTGCCACCATGCCTGGCTAATTTTGTATTTTAATAGAGATGGAGTTTCCCCATGTTGGTCAGGCTGGTTTTGAACTCCTGACTTCAGATGATCCGCCCACCTCGGCCTCCCAAAGTGCTGGGATTACCAGCGTGAGCCACCGCGCCCAGCCTACAGGGCTTTCATATGGGAAAGTTAATACTTTTCAGTCCTGTGGGTCTCTTTAAAGCAATAAGATGGCATCCTTCAGTTTACTCAGTGGTTGCTCTTGCTTTTACGCTTACATTTAATGAGTTTTAAAAGTACAGTTAAAGTACTTCCCTGTATTTGACATCTGTGTCTCAGTACTCAAATTTTCTTTTTTATCAAAGGCATTCTTTACATCTGAAGTCTTACATTTCTCCATATATACTTCAGTCTTTTCTTTGAAGAGGTTTACTCCCTCTGCTGGCTCTAACTGTGAAATGAAAGCACGTGTAATCTATATAGTTCTGATTACCAATCTGAGGGATTGCTTGCATATGATGGTATTGCCTTAGACTTTTTTCTAAAATGTAAAATTAAACTTTTGTTTGGCTCCCTCTGATTCTGAATAATAAAATTGCCCAAAAATCTAAGAAATATTTTATATTCCTTTTGAGAACAATATGAAATTCTATGAAACTAACAGTGATTTGATAATTAAGAAATTCTGGCATGCACATTTACAATATGTAATAGGTGCTCAATAAATATTAGTTTCTTGATTGCAGTCATATTTTTATTGTACATAGACATTGTGTGTGTACTTCATTGTAGGAGCAATAAATCACCCATTCTGTTTAATGAAGTCATCTGTGTTTCTGTAGCACTTTCTCAATGCCTTATTATACTTCCAGCCACACAGTATTACAGTTATTTCTTTTTACATTTGCCTAGCTTGACTATGAACTCTTCCAGGACAGACATGATATGTTATTTGTCTTTATAGTCTCAGCTTCTGTCTTGGTAGGTTGATTGCCCAGTAATTATTGATGAACTTCAACATTATACTACAATAAATGTCTTCTCATTTGCTGTACAGACAGCCAGAAAGTATAAGTAATTAGAATTTGTTCTGCACTCTACTTTTATCGTGAAAAAGTAATTGAAAGTAAATAAGATATTTATTCAGAAAAGCCACTACCTGAATGTGAGCATATCTGAACTAATAAAAATAGTATAGTTAATACAGATATATAGCAAGATGTCCTCACCATCTACATCTGTAATAATATATAGTGGTAATTGACTCCCATAATGGTTATACCAAAGCCCTGAAGGATTCTTAACTTTTACTTTCATTTTTAATGCAAAACCAGGTTTTCATATATTTTGCTTGCTTAAAGCAAGATATACTAGCTCTTATTTTTCTTACTAAATTACATGCATACATATATTTCAAATTTTATTTTAGATTATTTGTGCTCAACCCCATACGTTGTCATAGAGTAGTGCTTTTCAACTCGTTTTCCAAGGATCACTAATTCTGTAGAATGTTAATAGATGTTATGTGAGGGGGAGAAAGTCATTCAGCTTTGTAAATGCTGAATTAAATATTTCTTTTTGAACAAAGCTGGAGGCATCATGCTACCCAACTTCAAACTATACTACAGGGCTACGGTAACCAAAACATCATGGCACTGGTACAAAAACAGACACATAGACCAATGGAACAGAATAGAGAGCCCAGAAATAAAACCGCACACCTACAACTGTCTGATTTTTAACAAACCTAACAAAAACAAACAATAAGGAAAGGATTCCCTATTCAATAAACAGTGCTGGGATAACTGGCTAGCCATATGCAGAAGATTGAAACTGGACCCCTTCCTTATATACAAAAATTATCTCAAGGTGAATTAAAGACTTAAATGTAAAACCCAAAACTATAAAAACCCACAAAGACAACCTAGGCAATACCTTTCAGGACATAGGCACAGGCAAAGATTTCATGACAAAGACTCCAAAAGCAATTGCAACAGAAGCAAAAATGGACAAACGGAAGTTAACTAAACTAAAGAGCTTCTGCACAGCAAAAGAAACTATCATGTTTCTTTTGAGTAAACAGCCTACAGAATGGGAGAAAATTTTTGCAAACTGTGCATCCAACAAAGGTCTAATATGGAGCATCTATAAGAAACATACAAATTTACAAGGAAAAAAAACGATAAAAAAGTGGGCAAATGACATGAACAGACACTTTTCAAAAGAAGACGTACATGCAGCCAACAATCACGAAAAAAAGCTCAACATCACTGATCATTAGAGAAATGCAAATCAAAACCACAAGAGATATTATCTCACACCATCAGATTGCTATTATTAAAAAGTCAAAAATAACAGATGCTGGTGAGGTTGTGGAGAAAAAGGAATGCTTATACATTGTTGGTGGGAGTGTAAATTAGTTCAGCCTTTGTAGAAGACAGTGTGGCAATTCCTCAAAGACCTAAAGACAGAAGTACCATTCAATCCAGCAATCCCATTGCTGGGTATATACCCAAAGGAATATAAATCATTCTATTATAAAGACACATGCACGTGCATGTTCATTGCAGCACTATTCACAATAGCAAAGAATCATTTTCTTTATCATTCATGTATTTCTTTATGGGTATTTGGAATCAACCCAAATGACCATCAGTGATAGACTGGATAAAGAAAATGTGGTACATATACACCATGGAATACTATGCAGCTATAAAATAAATGAGATCATGTCCTTTGCTGGGACATGGCTGGAGCTGGAGGCCATTACCCTTAGCAAACTAACACAGGAACAGAAAACCAAATACTGCATGTTCTCACTTACAAGTAGTAGCTAAACGATGAGAACATGTGGACACATAGAAGGGAACAACATACACTGGGGCCTATTGGAGGGTGGAGGGTGCGAAGAAGGAAAGGATCAGGAAAAATAATGGATATTAAGCTTAACACCTGAGTGATGAA
Organism: Homo sapiens; assembly: GCF_000001405.40. Classification (NCBI taxonomy): domain Eukaryota; kingdom Metazoa; phylum Chordata; class Mammalia; order Primates; family Hominidae; genus Homo; species Homo sapiens. The sequence goes on along the minus strand of NC_000007.14, from coordinate 92,689,187 downwards.
ATAATCAGTACAATGAACCCCTGTGACGCACGTTTACCTGTAAAGCCTATGAGCCTTGTAAGGGCAAGAACCATACCCTAGAATTCACTGGCACTGAGTGTTGGCCACCAAGTAGCACTCTGCAAATGTTTGTTGACTTAAAAAAAATAATTCCTACACTAATTCAGAGTTTCTAAACTACAAGGAAAAAATGGCAGCATGTGTACACTGATTATTGTCCTTCAGCCTCCCTCCGCCAAAATAGTTGCTGTGGTTCCCCATTTTTAAATTCTGTGCGTGGGTGAATGGGAAGACTCACAACAAATGGAAATGTGACTGCGTGACCTCTTTAGAGGGAATGTGGTTTGCCCCTTAACTAAGCTACAGGGCTATAAACTGACAAATATGGTTCTATGTTTAGTGTATAATGATGTTTCAGAATTATGTCCATAGAAGAAATCTAGTAAAAACTACTATCCAACAGCTTCTAAAATGTTTACATTATTAATGTTCAAACAAACATTTCAGAATACTAAGTTCAGTTCTTTTTCAATGCCTAAATTGTCTAAGAACTCTGTGTGTGTGTGTGTGTGTGTGTGTGTGTGTGTGTGTGTGTGTGTGTGTGTGATGTATATGTAGTCTATACACCTCAAGAGGAGGACAAACAGATGCTTAAAGAGTTGGGAGTTTGCTAAGTCCGACATAGAAGGGACAAAAGTCAGAAAAAAAGCCTAATATTTTACAGTTGTCTTGAACTACTGAGTCACACAGTAGTTTAAGACAATTTAAAATGTTAGTCACAAATGACAGACACTATTTATTCTGTCATTACCAAGAAAGTCCAGTTAGTGCTTTAATAAATCCAGATTATATTATCCTTTTAGAATACAAATTATTCAGTCAAAAGTATAGAAAGTACCACTACACACTAATTCGAATGGTTGGGAATATCAACTGTTGGCCAAGATGCGGAGAAACTGTAACTCTCATACATTTCTGGTGGGAGTGTAAAATGGTTCAACCACTTGGAAAACTGGTAGTATCTACTAAACGTTTGCCTACTCCCTGTATATACCCAAGAGAAATGCATGCCTGTATCCAACAAGAGACATGTACAAAAATGTTCAAAGCAGAATGTTTATTTTACTATATCCAAAAACTAGAAATAACCATCAACAGAAAAAATTGCTAAACAAACTCTGGCATAATGATGCAATGGAATACTACACAGCAATGAAAGGGAGAAAACTATATACTGATAACTACAACAGCATACACAGTTTTTACATATTATCTTGAGCAAAAGAAGCAAAACACATGATTCCTTTATATGAAATTCAAGGAGCAGCAACATTAATCTATGGTTATATAAATAGGGGTGCAGGAATGGTATTGCTAGGAAAAATACAAGAGGACCTTCTGTGGTGATGGTGATGTAAGTATTCTATATGTTGGTCTGAGTGGTGTTTATATAGGTGTGTACATGTGTAAAGATACATCGAACATGTTAAGATTTGTGTACACCTCAGTATAAATAGATAAATAAATGCCTTAGGCAATTATACATGTATATGAACCAATGCCAACAGAGGCCAAAATTATTCTTTACAAGAAATCTTTTTTAAGCTATTATGTATAAATTTTATTCTATTGCCGTAGTTGTTAATCTAGAACACTTTTCATACCTTCAGAATTACACAAACACATGGATTTTTTCCTCCTTGTTTTGATTTGCTGCTTTGGACAGAGTTCATTTTTTGGAGTTTGGGGGCAAATTTGGAAGAACTTCTTTATCAGAAAAGATACTTTTCTTGGTCATACATTTAACAAATAGTCATTGAATGCTTGCCGTGTGTCAGATATTGCACTAAGCATTGGGGATCCAAAGATTAGCTAGTAAACCCCAGTCCCTGCCACTGTAGCATTCAATTTTATGGGGGTAACAGAGATGGAAGCAGATTCTTCTGGTCACACCAGATGTCAGCAAGGGCTGTAAGAGAGGTGTACTGCAGGAGTGTGGAGTAGGAATCTGCTTCGTCTCTCAGAATATTCTGGAAGACTTTCACAGAGGGTATCACGAGGCCCTGCTTCTATTTTTGCCATATGTCAGAGTTCTCTTTTAAGTATCTACAATAGTGATTTAAAAGTACTTTTCTTCACAATCTATACTTCCAACAAAGGACTAATATCCAGAATCTACAAGGAACTCAAACAAAATCAGCAAGAAAAAAACCACAAACATTCCTTTGAAAAAGTGGGCTAAGGACATGAATAGACAGTTCTCCAAAGAAGATATACAAATGGCCAACAAATATATGAAAAAATGTCCAACATCACTAATTATCAGGGAAATGCAAATCAAAACCACAATGCAATACTGCCTTACTCCTGCAAGAATGGCCATAATAAAAAAAAAAATGGATGTTGGCACAGGTGTGGTGAAAAGGGAACACTTTTACACTGTTGGTGGGAATGTAAACTAGTACATCACTATAGAAAACAGTGTGGAGATTCCTTAAAGAACTAAAAGTAGAGCTATCATTGGATCTAGCAATCCCATTCCTGGGTATCTACCCAAAGGAAAATAAGTTGTACGAAAAAAATACTTGCACATGCATGTTATAGCAGCACAGTTCACAATTGCAAAAATATGGAACCAGCCCAGATGCCCATCAGTCAACAAGTGGATAAAGAAAATGTGGTATATATATATTTCATTATATATATAATGAAATACTACTCAGCCATAAAAAGAGCAAAATAATGGCATTTGCAGCAACCTGGATGGAATTGGAGACGATTATTCTAAGTGAAGTAACTCAGGAACGTTAAACCAAACATGGTATGTTCTCACTCATAAGCAATGAGGATGCAAAGGCATAAGAATGATACAGTGGACTTTGGGGATTCAGGGAAGGGGCGGGAGGAGGGTGAGAGATAAAAGACTACACATTGGGTACAGTGTACACTACTCAAGTGATGGGTGCACCAAAATCAGAAATCACCGCTAAAGAACTTACTCATGTACAAAAATAAATAAATACATAAATGAGAAAAAAGTACTTTCAGTTACTAAAAGATAGTTAAAATATGTAATACATGTTTTTCTTAGATATCACTGTGATCACTTCTGTGATTCCAACAAATTTAGTTTAAAGATCTCAGTTGGCTTTATTGCAATTCTAGAAATGGGCAACACCACATTCTGTAAAATAGAGTAAGTGTTCCAGTTAGTCAAACAAAGGAGAGTGGCTTTATAGACAGAAAAGGGGCAGAAGAAAGCAGAAACAAAAGAACGGAAAGCAGCTTGGTCATTTCAAAGTTACGTCCATGTAAGGGACAGGGAGACAGAACAATAGATAACTGCTTAACATCAGGTTACTTCAAGTTACTCTATTGTAAAGATTAAAACAGAGGGAACTTCATTGTCATGCTGATTTAAGATAGAAACTGGCCTGTTTGGGAAATTAGGCTGTCTTTCTCTTTTGACTTCTCTGTCTCTCCTGATTTACCCAGTTTTGGTTTGGTGAGCATAAGTGACTCCATTTTAACTTTTAGTCCAGTCTGTTGGGGCCTAGTGCAGGAGTTTAGTGCAAAATAATGGTATGCTATAATTTTTGTGGAATATTTCTTAGGCCATTTTGAAAGCCCTAACAGTTTCCAGGATAAAAGAAGCTACCTGCCACAGGTTTCTAGAAAGCAGTAACATTCTTTGAAATGTTTATAAATGGAAATATAGCGTTTCTTTGAATTAGTTCTGAGTTAGAAGCCAAGTTTTACTCAAACTCAGAGGGTTACTTTTCCTTTCAAGTAGTGTTTGCATGCAGCAACCACACTGCCCCCAACACGCATGCAGCATGAGTCCCTGAGTCTAGGTGAGAAGCCTTCCGCTGGTTTTTATGTTCACACATGTATCTCTCCTGACAGCGGATATACCTAGAAATACTCTGTAAGTCCTTGGTATTAGTGTGGTTCTTCCTAGAAACTGAGACAATTTTAAGAAAAGCATTGTGGCTCATTAAGAGCAAATGAATGTATATATTCTGTAATTATTTAATCAACAGAACTATATTCCCTTTCAATGATCCTTTCTTTCATCTCTGCTCATAGAAGAGATATGAAATGAATTTTAGATTTTGAGGACATTTAAAATTCAGTAAGTACAGCAAAACTGTGTTATAAAAGAAAGAGGAAATTAAATAAAGGGCTAGGACACATATTACATATTAGACCTTTTTTTTTAGCAACTTTGAAATCAGATGGTAAAATCTAGATAATGTCGTCGAGTCCATACAATTGCACTGTGTTCAAAACCAAAGAATTCTTATGTCAAGTAATATGATTTTTTTTAATGTTGCTTAGTGACTGTGTTAGAAAATGGTGGGTCATAGTATTTAGGTTCCCTAAATTGTGTATTTTCCTTCTCTCCTATTTCCACAGCTCTAGTCTTCTGTGCATTTTGTTTTTTTGTAAACAAGAAGGCACCCTTTTTACACTACATCTGCATAAATGGGTGAGGGGTGATTTTGAGGAAGAGCCTGACATGGGCAGCTGGTGAGATGGTGGTCTCATTTGCAGAGATAGAATACAAAAGGAGAAAATGTTAGGGAGGAAGGGTGATGCCTGGTCTTCAGGGAAGGGATCTAGGGAACAGCATAGACATGCCTGTGCACACAGTGCCCGACTTCTGGCTCCTGTGCAGAACATTGTGGGTAGGCAAACCTTCCCTACCCTCCATCCAGGACCCAGTCATTTGCACATCCATGACCCTGATCCCTCAACTGGCAGCTATCTTGGTGAAATCCCTTGGGGTCCCATTATCTTAGAAAAACAACTTCTTTTGTTTTTGTCAGCTTTTCTGGTAAACTGCATTACTATGGAAATGTTGACTATTCTGGAAATACAAACTTTTTTATTGTAATTAGGCTTAAGACCAAAAAAGAAAAGACCTGAGGTCATTTAGACTCCACAGTGAGGAGAATGAACCTGAGTTCAATAAGACCTGCTTCAGATCCTGGTTCTGCCATTGGCTCTTCTGTGATTCTCAGCTTCCTTATCTGTAAAAATAGAGTCGTTGATACTCGCCTCACACCATTAAACTGAAGATTATATAAGACAACAGATAAAGTTAATTCAGCGCAGTACATTACATCTTCTGTGCTTTACAAATGTTTCCTTTCTCTCCTTCCGTAGCCCCCTACTTATTTACACTCAAAATAAAAATGAAAAGTTTTAGAGAAGAGAAAACATTACAAGGCCCCACAGTAATCCATTCTGGTATTTAACAGTTCTTATTGTCAGAAAATACTTCCTTCTGTCTAACACAAATTCCTAATGCTGCAATCTAAGTCCTTCTCTCAGATGTGTCCTCCTTTTCTGTTTGCAGTTTTAATCTTGCTAAATGAACAGCATGAAACACCCTAATCTTCAGAAGCATATTTTCTTTATGTCTTTCCTTTAATAGCTTAAAGCACAAAATATAGTGGGGACCCCCCCCCCACCACAGTCCTCTGTAGACTATAAATTCATTTCTGGTAGCCTGGATTACTGGGAAATGTTGTGGCTGGTTTTATTTTCCTGCATGCATCTCGATGACCCATTTCAGATGGGAGTGTTTGAGGAGGAGAGCGTACTGCAGAATGAGCTGAATGAGCTATACCTTCATGACTGCTTCCACCTGACAATCTGCAAATCCTCCCCATTTAAGGAAGGCAGTGCTCATGGAATTTTAAAATGTTGAAGAATGTGTGTGCCTGAACTTGGATTTTAAAACTATGCTTCCATTTCCCTCATCACTTGCACTAACCATATAACCTGCTAGTACTCATTTAGTAGGTTTGCTTGCAACCTGTGTCAAAAGGAGCATAGTAACCAATGAGAAAGAAGGCACGGACCTTAGAGGCATTTGACTGTTTCCATAGCAAGGAAAAACCCAATTTTTAAATTCTTTTACAAATCTGAGTAATAATGTGGCCTCTCAAAGCAAATAGATTTCCTTAAGAGTTAAAACAACTTCTAAGAGGAAACAATGAGCCCTGCAGCCTGCCATATCCTGTGTTCAGAATAATTTTCATTTCTACTTATCTGTGAAGGTTGAAGGAATGTCTGCAAATATTTGCTTGGTTTCTATGGTGAAAGCAGAGGGAGATCAAATGTATGATTGTTTAGTGTCAAAATCAAAACTATACTATACTGTACTTCTACAAAGAGAATGAGTTTGTTACTTTAAACATAATAGACGTTTAATAAGTGGTAACTATTTTAAGTTTCACGAGTTCAAGAGGAAATTTAAACAGTGCAGCCTGAAGGAAAACATAGGCCCTTCAGGCATTTTAAAACTTCATTTTACAAAAATAAAATGGTCCTTGCACTTTATTAAAAAGTCATCTGTTGACTAAAGATCATGTTGGTGGACTCTCAGAATGCCTGGTGTGGACATGGGGACACAACTATGGCCTATAAAATTTATACTATAATAGAAACACTCTGTCCTGCCCTGTGTTATCCCTCCTTATCCTGTAACTCTCCATTCTGCTGTCTTCTGGCTACCCATACATTTGTTGGAACATATGTTTATTTTATGCTTGCTTTATACAACACTCTGCGAGGGACTGGGATTAAAAGTCCACTTAGAAATACTCTCTACCCTCAAAGGGCTGGCTTTGGGCCTAGTAGACCGTAAGGATACAATGATTGAGATGCAATGTAAGTGCTGCAATCATTTATGCTTGCGGAGGACTAGGCAGGGCAAGGTTCACAGGAATTAAGAATGGGGTTGTGAAGAGGGCATTCCAGAGAAGGGCCTATGGGAAGACCACATGAGGCACGACATAGCACACATGTTTAAAGAACCTCACGGTCTCTGACAAGTTAAAGAAAGCCTTCATCTGAAGGGGGAACAGACAATGAAGGCAGAGAGTGGGTGGGAACCAGATTATGAGAGCATTGGAGGTAAATTAGAGTTGAGCTTGACCCTGAAATCTCCAGAGAATGGATGAAGGATTTTAAGCAGGAGAGTGGTGAGCACAGCTTCAGATGCAGTAAAGAAGACAGAGTGGCAGGGGGCATGTTGGCAGGAAAAGACCACAGAGGAAGCTATTTGGACCATCCAGGAGAGGACATGCTCTCGATGGAATTGTCGGGATCTGATGGTGGCTTCATTGAAAGTCAAGAGAAGTAGGGAAACTGGGTAGGTAGCGATTTTGCTTACAGAGAGAAGAAATATAGGAAAAGCAAGTTTCAGAGGAATGACAATGCATGCATTTTGAATTTGAGATACTGGTAGCAGCACTAAGTAGTGATGTCCGGGAGACAGTTGGATTTGTGGGTCAGAGACTGCAGAGTTCTGAATACAGCATGGATTGGAGCGGGGGTGGGGACAGGCACATGGAGTGCTCCACAAGGATTGTGCTTCATGTAAGAAAAGTGACTGCCTGAGGATGTCGCCTTAGATTAAGCAATAATTTAAAAGAGACAAAGGCAGGAGGAACACTAGGACAGGACCGTAGCATTCTGCACTTAAATTGCTACACAGACACCACCCCTCCCTCCAACCCAGTTGTACTTCAGCCAACTCATTTAACTCATTGCTTTCCTAATTTGCGACCACACTGTCCAGGACTAACATGGTACCTCACAGAGTAGACATTCACATGATGAATTGACTGGAAGCTTACTTTGACCTAAAGGCTTGCTGTCTAGGCCTTTTGTAGGTAGATCTGCTTAGACATAGATAAAATGGGGGAGAGGTGTACGACTCAGTAAGAAATGGCAAGTGCCACTGATATCACAAAAGGTCAGAAACCTGGATCCCTGAATTCTACCTTTGCTGGTCCTTCAGTGAGTCATTTTCATCCCTCCCCTGACACGAGTACACAGCCCCCCTGTTTACTGAGTGGCTCTCTTCCCCCAAGATGCCTTTCCTCTCTACTTGGAGGGAACACCCATTCAGCTCATTTTCCCTGTGCCTTTCATTGCCCTGTGAGTCTTCTTACACAATCTCTGAAGCTAATCAGGTAGTGCTCTTCCCTCCACAGGATCATTTCCTCTGTTAAAGATACATGATTACTCAAAGATATTAAGTTATTATGGGACAGTATTGTCCTCATATTCTCCAGTCTAGGTGATTGCCTCTATCCATCTTCAGCACTGCCACTGGGAGTTTCCTGTGGTTATTGATGTATCTAGCTATCAGATAATTACTGAGCACCTTCCATGCATGACACTGTAAATGTATTGTGGCCAAGAAATGGAAAAGCTATAATGCAAGATAGAAAGGGTCAAGTACTATAGAAGTGCAGTGGAAGCTCAGAGAAGAGCCATTACTTCCAGCTGGGAGATCAGGAAAGGCTTTGTGGATGAAGCAATATGTGAGTGAGGCTTGAAAGATGGGTAGGATCTGGACCTGCAGAGACTCAGAGAAAGAGAATCCCAGAGAGAGAATCAGAGAACCACACCAGCAATAGCAGGTGATGGGACATCCACATATCTAAAGGGAGCCAGTGGCCCCATGTGAGCCAAGGCAGCTGTAGATGTGAGGAAATACAGCCCTTCTGCTGGTAATGGATGCATCAGAGCAGAGGTGAGGACAAAGTTATTGGCACAGCGCTCCCTGCTGTGAGACTCTCATCTTTGTATTGACCTCAGACATTTTTTTGCCATATGTCAAAACATCTCCTTCTAGCCCTTAGATTACAAATGGGTGAATTTGAGATGACTCCATTATTATTTTATGGGTATTTAATGCTTTTTTTTTTTTTTTTTTTTTTTTTTTCTGAGATGGAATTTCACTCTTGTTGGCCCAGGCTGGAGCGCAATGGTGTGATCTCGGCTCACCGCAACCTCCACCTCCTGAGTTCCAGCGATTCTCCTGCCTCAGCCTCCTGAATAGCTGGGATTACAGGCATGCACCACCATGCCCGACTAATTTTGTATTTTTAGTAGAGACGGGGTTTCACCATGTTGGTCAGGCTGGTCTCGAACTCCCAACCTCAGGTCATCCGCCCTCCTCAGCCTCCCAAAGTGCTGGGATTACAGGTGTGAGCCACCACACCTGGCCAGTATTTAATTCTTAATAGTTTCCATAACCAGTTAAGGTGTTATAATGAGAAGACTGTGCTTGGCAGAATTAGAATTCCAATTCTTTATAATATTCTTCATTTAAATATGTAATTTTGAAGAACTAAATTATGGCCGGGCACGATGGCTCACACCTGTAATCCCAGCACTTTAGGAGGCCAAGGAGGGCGGATCACTTGAGGTCAGGAGTTCGAGACCAGTCTGGGCAACATGGCGAAACTCTGTCTCTAAAAATACAAAAAATTAGCCGGGCATGGTGGTGCACGCCTGTAATCCCAACTACTGGGGAAGCTGAGGCAGGAGAATCACTTGAACCCGGGAGACCGAGGTTGCAGTGAGCCGAGATCACACCACTGCACTCCAGCTTGGGCTATAGAGTGACACTCTGTCTCGAAAAAAAAAAGAAGTAAATTTTGCACCTCTGTGAAAAGTCAGTGAAATTATCACTAGTTTTGATTTTCACTTCACACAACCATACTAGTTTTCTATAGGGAGAAAAACATATGTATTAGAAAGTTTTATATTGCTCTGATGCAAATAAACAGATTAGAGCACAGTTTAGAAAACCTTCACTTTGACAAAATAAAGATTCTGAAGTATTTCAAAGATTATATTTATATTCCTGATAAACCATTATCTATGTTTGTATTTGAGACATGTTGTTGAAGTGGGCCCGAGAAGGAGAATATCACCACACTGGAACACTCCATAAGTAATTACTAAACCAAAGGACAGCAAAGATATTTAACGATAACGTTGTTGGGTCCATAAAGTATATATGTTTTTTTAAATCTTCATTGCCATTGCCATATCATTTAGGGAGTCTTAAAATGTTAACAGAGGACACCTTATAGATTACCCAGTCCAAACATCTTCTTTAACAGATGAGAAAACTGAAACTTGGAGAAGAAGTTGCCACCCACGCTGGTTTCTCCATCTATAAACAGGATGTATCAGCCAGGGTCCCAACAGGAAATAGATGGCACACTCAAACTCAAGTAGTTCAAGGATTTCTTGACACAGGCATGATTTGCAGAGATGTGGGCTTAGGGGAACTCAGGGGATGGTGCTATGACCTGAGTCTTACTCGCAGTCAGTTCATTACCATTCCCAGGCCCTAGAAGAAGAGGGGAAGCAGTTACTGGAATCCAGGAGGAAGAAAGCAAGTAGAGCAGGCTTCCTGAGATGGACATTGACTTTGTGGTGGCAACACAGTCAGTTCTAGACAGCTTTGCTGGGAGGAAAATCAAAGAGTTGAGGATCCTGACCTCATGCTTCTCCTTCTCTCTGAATTCCTGCCGAGACTTCCCATTGGCCAAAGCCAGTAAGAAACTGGAGGCATATGGCAGATACAGGTCCATTTCTAGGGCAGAGACTATCTGGGGCAACAAAAAGAAGACATCCAGCACAGTGTTCATACCATGCTTTTCTGCCATTGTGGCCATATAATGAGGATGAATCAGATAACATCTAATTTTTTCAAGACCTTGGTGAAAGGGTACATGATAAAAGATTGTTAAATATAACATCAAGTGAGAGCGGTTTACTCTGAAATGTATTTTAAGTCAGAGTTGGCCTTGGCTGTACTTTTTCTTATACTATTATTGAACAGGTTCAAAAAAATGTGAATAGAGATCAAAGCAGTTTAAACAGATACATCCACTTGTGTAAATATCCTTGAACTCCCCCCTGCCTTCCGCTCCCCCTCCTGTTGCCACATCCATTCAGCACCTCTAGAGGCTGTTAATACATGTAATGATTGTAATAAACATGGTATTTGCTTTGGTTCCAGCTGGCTCCAATCACCAAACTCTGTCCATAATTCCTATTGTCTTTGCTTACTAGACAACTGCATTGTTACCATTAGTAGCGACTTTTGTTACGGATTTCTAAATGTTGATCTTTATATATTGCACTCATTGTTTTCCTCAACATGTTTTAAAATTTAAATTTACCATTATATTTTCTTTTTAAGGATATTTAGAATTATTAAACAGAACTTCTGGTAGAATTGATTATATTGTTGAGAACTTTCACGAGCTAAAACCTTGAAACAATTTTATTGATATTATTCATTCTTTATAAAGCTTTCAAATAAAAATAAGCTTCTGCTCATGCATGACTTAAACTGGTTTTAAGTTCAGCAGTCTTCCATCAGAAGTTTTTAGAGGCACAGAAGTATAATAATGTCTAAGCAAAGGGAATTTATATTTTACTGTCAGGAAAATTTGTTGCAATTTGTTCTCAAAAACTTGGATCCAGATTTAGTTGCAGTAGATATTTTAAATCCTATGAAATTACAGAAGTTGTCATAATTTGAGATAATTAAAATTTCAGTGACTTAATGTAGGGACTGAAAGACTGTGGTTCAGAAATTATAGAACAGCCAAGTAAATTAACAAATTAAAACTGGGGATGCTCTCTTGATATATAGAATAATATTACATAAACCAGGAAACAACTATTAGAAAATGCTATTCTTTTATATCTATTGCAAAATATAGTAGTTTGTTTTCCTTTTTTTTGAGACAGTCTTGCTTTTCACCCAGACTAAAGGGATACAATCTCACTGCAACCTCCACCTCCCAGGTTCAAGCAATTCTCCTGCCTCAGCCTCCCTATTAGCAGGGATTACAGGCGTGTGCCACCACACCTGGCTAATTTTTTTTATTTTTAGTAGAGACAGGGTTTCGCCATGCTGCCCAAGCTGGTCTTGAACTCCTGACCTCAAGTGATCCGCCTGCTTCAGCCTCCCAAAGTGCTGGGATTACAGGCATGAGCCACCACGCCTGGCCCAGTAGTTTGTTATTTTTAAATGTAGGCCCAGGTCATTGATGGGGTTATTTTATTAGAGAATTAACTAGAAATGTAAGTCTTGAACAATTTATACTTTCTTTTGGAATTGAATTCCTCAAAGATTGAACCAAAAATGATGTCTCTTTAGACAGATGTTGATAGTTTAAAATAGAGTGTAAGCATAAAGTTAGTCTAATTTCACTCTCACTTGGTTACAATGATTTACACAGACTAGAGCAAAATCTTAAGGATAAAAACGAGATATCTAAATTTTAGCTTTCATTGAACTTATTAAATGTGAAGTGATGAGTAGATGTCATATCATATAGAGAACTGGAAAGTAATGGAAACGCTTTTCTTTCTTTTTTTTTTTTTTTTGAGACGGAGTCTCTCTGTCGCCCAGGCTGGAGTGCAGTGGCGCGATCTCAGCTCACTGCAAGCTCCGCCTCCCGGGTTCACGCCATTCTCCTGCCTCAGGCTCCCCAGTAGCTGGGACTACAAGCGCCCACCAGAGTTGTAAATTTTGCAACTCTGTGAAAAGTCAGTGAAATTATCACTAGTTTTGATTTTCACTTCACAAAACCATACTAGTTTTCTTTAGGGAGAAAAACATATGTATTAGAAAGTTTTGTATTGCTCTGATGCAAATAAACAGATTAGAGCACAGTTTAGAAAACCTTCACTTTGACAAAATAAAGATTCTGAAGTATTTCAAAGATTATATTTATATTCCTTATAAACCATTATCTATGTTTGCATTTGAGATACTGGGGGAAGGAAAACAGAAACTCAACTCTCTTTTAGAGTTTGACAAATGAAGTATAGAAAAATATAAGTAAGGATTTATATAAGACAAACCCTTATCAATAAAGAACTTTACAAAGACAGTACTTCCATTACACTCCCAGAACAAAAACCAAGTATATACATCATTTTAAAGAAAACAACAATAAATCCTACCAAGTAGAAATTGTACAGATCATAGTCTCTGTTGTAATTCAATAAAAGTAGAAATTCAACCATTCAAAGATAGCCATAAATAACCTGACCATATGGACATCTTAAAACACTTTTCTAAATTAAAGATAAATTACATAGTATTTAAAGATGAGCAAAAATGAGAAAAGTTTATCTACAAATATGTAGTTAGCATTTTATTATTAATTAAAATGGAAAAGAAATGAGCTAAATTTTAACTCAAAAAAAAACTCAACAACAACAAAGAAATTAGGAGAAAATTTTAAAAGATAAAAATAGAAATCAACAAATTATAAAATAAAACAATAATCCTCCCAAAATGGAAATAAAATTATGTCAGTTTTTTTATATAAATAATATGGCTAAACTTCTGACAAACCTGACAGATATAAAGAGAAAACAAAAATTTACAACATTAAGAAAAAGAAAATCAGTATAACCAAGGAAACAGATGAAATTAAAATGATTATAAGAAATACTATGTTCAAATTTAAGTCAATACATTTTTAAATCTAGATTAAGAATGTTCGTAGGAAAATCCTTTATCATTACGAAAATTGGCTTCTAAAGAGGTTGAAAGCTGAGCAGACTAATTACCAAGAAGAAATTCAAAAGACCGTTAAGACACACTGCTAACAAAGATCCAGACAGCTCTATGAGCGAGATTGTTTGACCCTCAAGAAACTGATTATTCTTCTGTTGTTTGTACTATTCCAGAATATAATAAAGATTGGAAGCTTGAATATCCCTGATAACAAAACATGAAAAATTAACACAAAAAAGAAAACTACAGATCAGCCTCATTTATGAATATAAGTCAATATCCTGAATAGATACTAGCAAATAGAATTTCAGAGTGTCTTAAAAGAATAATACACAATCAGAAATGATTTATTCCAAGAAGGCAAGGATGCTACAATATTGGGAAATCTGTTAATGTAACTAATACGTCATTAATAAAACAAAGGCAAATGATTATATGGTCATTATTAATAGACATTTTAAAAAGCATTTGATAAAAATTCATTCTACATTTTGAGTGGTAACTAAATTTTAAAAGGAATAGAGGGAATTTCCCTAACATATCAATATTGTTATTATGATTTTGACTGTCTATACATTTATTTATCATAATAGGTATAACTGACTGAAGTATTGAAAATGAAGACAGTCAGCCTTACTAAAGTTTTTTAGGATGGGTAATCAATCAGAAACCAGTTTCTTGCTGAGCACAGTGGCTCACACCTGTAATCCCAGCATTTTGGGAGGCTGAGGTGGGCAGATCACCTGAGGCCAGGAGTTCATGACCAGCCTGGCCAACATGGTGAAACCCTATCTCTACAAAAAATACAAAAATATTAGCCAGGTGTGGTGGCGTGTGCCTGTAGTCCCAGCTACCTGGGAGGCTGAGACACGAGACTCGCTTCAGCCTGGAAGGTGGACATTGCAGTGAGCCAAGATCGCACCATTGCATTCCAGTCTGGGCAACAGAGCAAGACCCTGTCTAAAAAGAAAAAAGAAAGAAATAATATTTTCCTTAGAACAGCTTAAAATAAGGCTGTATTCAGATTAAACTTTTCTTTTTATGTTGCTAGACTTTATTTTGAATTGAGGTAGAAAGATAAGTGTGTGCCTTCATGATATCTGTGTATTTCTGTCAACCACTCAAGTGGAACCTTACAGACAGTTTGCACCTGCAGTTTTGTTTACAGTGTGTCAGGGAAGCAAAGAAGTGTTCCTCCAGCTAGAAATATTAATAAAGCAGAAACAAGTAATGTAACTAAAACTAGACCCCAGTATTGGACACTCTTCTTAGCAAAAACAATACCTTCCCTTTTGGAAATGACTGGTCATTGAATTTTGCCCAGTTATCTTTCTAGGAATGATTGCCTTAAAAGGATTAATTTGATAGGTGTATAAGCCCTTATTGTTGTGTTTACAGTACTGTGATAGGCATTTACAGATATAAACATAGATTAAGGCAGGGCCATGTCCTCAGGAACAAACCATATTATGAGCTATGTTACAAGGTATGATTTTCAGATAGCAGCTGGTGCTGCAACAGGGTGGTGCTGGCATCTAGGCTAGGCCTTGTAGAATAGGTGAAATTTACATATGTGGAGAGGAGAAAGAAGAGTTGCCCAGGCTAGGAAAATGATATAAACAAAAGCATGGAGACAAGAGCGATGGGATATGCTTGCATAATCTAGTGGTGTTCAAACATAGCCAAGGGTGAGGATTAGTTGAAGAACTCAAAAAAAAAAAAAAAGAAGAAAGGGGGAGGCGCAGTGGCTCATGCCTGTAATCTTATCACTTTGGGAGGCTGAGGCAGGCAGATTGCCTGAGCTCAGGAGTTCGAGACCAGCCTGAGCAACATGGTGAAACCCCGTCTCTACTAAAATACAAAAAAAATTAGCCGGGTGTGGTGGCGTGCGCCTGTAGTCCCAGCTACTCAGGAGGCTGAGGCAGGAGAATTGCTTGAACCCGGGAGGCGGAGGTTGCAGTGAGCTGAGATCATGCCACTGCACTCCAGCCTGGGCAACAGAGCAAGACTCCATCTCAAAAAGAAAAAAAAAAAGGAAGGAACAAAAGAGGAAAACTCCAACCCAAAAAGTTCAGCCCACAGAAAGTCTAATTCAGTGGCACAAGATAAGACCTATACACCTAAGTTTTTCTAAAACCCCATGGGGATTTTGATGAACAGGCAGGGTTAAAAACCAGTGGTGCAGTATAGATGTGACTAGGATATAAAGGCTATGGAAGTTCTATGGGAGGTGATGCATTGATGGAAAATACTCTGGGAGGTGATGCATTGATAGAAAGATATGTTGGGGCCAAATGGTAACTTGAGTAACATTGTTTCAGTATTGTCAGTTTTGTGTTTTGTTTTTTATTTCTATTATATCACAACCATCCCTCCATTAGATATCAACCAGTATTACTTAAACAAAACTTGACCCATGTGTGAATTCAAAGCAAAATATGTTAGATGAGATATAGAGGGGGAACCTGTCAAGAATCTTTTTCCAATTTGATGTTGCCATATAATCATCTAAAGACTTAAAACGGTCATTTTATTATCACTCATAATCTTGTCAGTTGACCGGACTCAGCTGGCAGTTCTGCTCTGTGTGACATTGTCTGGGACTGCAGTTATATGGGAGGTCAGTTGGCTTGAATGTCCAAGATGGCTCATTCGCAGGCTTTCAGCTGAGAGCTCAACTGGGGCTGTCAACCAGGGCATCTTCATGGGCTTCTCACAGCATGACAGCTGGGTTCCAAGAGGTAGCATCTCAAGAGAAAAGGCCTAGGCTCAGGCTTCTTATGACCTAACATTGGTAGTCTCAGACATTACGTCTACCATATTCTGTAGGTCAAGTAAGTCACTAAGGCCAACTCAGATTCAATGGAAGATGAATAAAATCCATCCCTTGATACGAGCAACAGTGTGTGCAAATAAGGAGAGAAGGAAATTGATGGCAGCCGCCATTTATTGAGACTTGCTACTGCAATCTTAGCACACCAAGTAATATAGCATCAAAATATATAAAGCAGAATTTTAGAAAATTTAGATAGACATCCATAATAATACAACTAGACAAAACAATAAGGATAAAAGGGATCTGAATAATATAAAATTCTGACGTAATAGATTTATATTCTGAATTCCTTATCTGACAATAAAGAATGCACCTCCCAGGGTATCCATAGACTATCTGCCCCTTCCCCCACAAAAGGAATCACTTGAACCCCCCCTATGTACTCAAATCTGCAGCCTTAACATGATATGCTTTCTTCAGCCCTCAACCTGGCAGGAAAAATTGTTGTGTTTGTTTCATCTATTACTATACGCTGCTCTGTATTAAATGAGTTTCTTGTCTTTTTGGAATCCCTTCCTCTGCTTGGCTTTTTCACACATCATATGAACAATTGGGTTACACATTCTCTCTTAAGTTCTTCCCCACTTTTTACTTGTTTTCTGAAAAGAGCATCATGGAGAGGGGTTTTACTTTGATTCCCCAAGCTGTCACGGTAAGAGCAGTTTTGACATGTCCTGGGTGTTGTGTAGACTTCAGGGACACCATCCAGCAGCCCTGGCACCATCTTCATATATGTGTGTGTGTGTGTGTGTGTGTGTGTGTGTGTGTGTGTGTGTGTGTGTGTGTATGTGTCTGTGTGTGTGTGTGTGTATGTGTATATATATATATATATATATATATATGTACAGCTTTTGGGGTACAAGTGGTTTTGGGTTACATGGATGAATTGTATAGTGATGAAGTCTGAGATTTTAGTGCCCCCATCACCCAGGTAGTGTACATTTTACCCAGTATGTAGTTTTTTCTCCTTCACCCCTTTCTCTACCCTCCCCCTTTCTGAGTCTCCAAAGTCCATTACACCACTCTGTATGCCATCATCTTCTAATCTGCCAATAATGCTGGCCTGGGGATTGAGCTGTAATTGTTGCCATCACCTGTTTTCCATGTATTATTTTTTAAAGGCCCTTAAAGGGGGGGAGAAAAAAAACGGTTTCTAAGTTTAAAAAAAATTTTTTTGGTCTTTGCTTTCTGAAACTCATGTTATTATGCCATCCTAGTTAGACATAGAGTTGGAGGTGGGAACCCAGTTTGTGGGGATGATGTAATTTCCTGGCCTGTCAGTGATGAGTCCTATTTACCTATTGCTTCTAGCGCAGTGTCCTTATATGATTTATAGGAGTTCTTTCTGAACTACATCTTGTCATTAAACCACCAGGTTTAGTCAGGAGTCTAAGCCAACAGCCACCTTCTCAGTAACACTTGGATCCGCTTGCCATTGCAGGTCGTCACGCTGTGGTACAGAGCACCCGAAGTCTTGCTCCAGTCCAGCTACGCCACCCCCGTGGATCTCTGGAGTGTTGGCTGCATATTTGCAGAAATGTTTCGTAGAAAGTAAGAAATACATTTTGTTTCACTCTGCTTTCCTTGAAAAGAGACTGTGGATCTTTGTGAATTTGAGTGGCAGCATGGCATTTCTATCATTAGGGGTCATGATGGCCAGATCCATCTACCCCAGGCTACCACTTGCAAGCCTGTCCTGAAACCGCCTTCTCAGTGCTTACAGTGTTGTTTTATATGACTGTAGCTTGCAGCTTCTGGAAACTCTGCCTGGGAAGGAATACCCCACTGTTCTTATAAGTTACATTGTTTTACTGGTGATGATAGGACATGGTGAAAATAACACATATTTTCGCATTTTTTTAGTGAAGAAATATCTCAAAGTGGACTTTATCCATAGGAGGAGAACCAAGGCTGTTAAGTGTATGAAAACTTTTTTGATGGAATTTTGATAGTGAGAATAGTTGAAAAAAACAATATTTAGGCTGAAAAAGAATAGGCAGTGGGGATGTCAGTGCTACTTCAGAGCACTTTAAATGCTGCCGTGTACAGGAGAGATTAGATATATTCAGGTACTATAGAGGACAGAAACAAGACCAAGGATACAGAAATTACAAAAAGAAAGATTTTTGTTAAAAGGGGTAGAAATCTAATGATTAGACAGTTATCTGAAGAGTGGATTGGGGTTTGTGAGAATAGTGAGTTTTCATTGTGTGTCTAAGAAGAGGCTGGACCTCCACACATTGGTGATGTTTCAGTAGCATTTATAGGGTTGGTGCGTAGGCTAGATGCCCTCTAAGTTCCCTCTAAGAGAGCATGTGATTCGTTTGTTTGATTTTCAGGTCACAAGAAATAGCCAAATAATATAATAAAGATCTGCCAGGAAAATAATCCATATCTGGGTACTAAGTTCAGCCTAGTCTAAATTAAACAGAGAACCTAATCATAATCTAATCTTTTTTTTCTTTTCTATTTTTATTTCCATGGGAAAAGGTAAGTTAGGAAACAGTATATTCCCATTGTATCTTTAAAATGTAGCTCCATGGTAGCTCACAAGGAAAAGAAGTGGTCAGCCATTGCTTGCTTGTTGTTTGGTTGGTTTTAACCAAACAAAGTTTTGTGCATGTAACAAATTTTTGGAACTGTTGCTAGTACTCAGCAAATTCATCTGTGGCTCATAGGATAGGAGATCATCACAAGGAGATCAGAGTAAACAGATGTTTAATGCAGCCATACCATGTGCCAAGTATAGTGTCAAACCTCTTCTTTTATGCTACCTTTCTTAGTCCTACCAATAAGAACAAACTGAGATGGAGTGGTACATTTATTTGTCTAACATTAGGCAGCTAAGAAGTAGCAGGGGTATGAGTCCAAAGGAAGCTTGCAAGTTCTATTCTGGTGTTGCTTTTTTCCCAAGGAGCGGGGAGAAAAAGTAATACTGAAATCAGCTGCAGTGTTTGCCAAACAGGCTAAATTAGTGATTTTGAAAGTATGGTCCCTGAACCAGGAACCTCAGCATCACCAGGCACCTTGCTGGAAATGCAAATTCTCAGGCCCCACCCCAGACCTATTGGTTCAGAAGTTCTTGGGCTGGGAGCCAGCAACCTGTGTTTCAACAAGTCCTCCGATCCTAATACAGCCTCCAGGATAAGAACCCCTGGGTTGGATGACAGTATGACCAGGGATGGGCAGTCTTTAAAAGTCTGGCTCCCAGGCCTCTCCCTTGAGATTCTGATTCATTACTGGGCTGGGGCCAGGAATTCTTATTTTTAAAAGTACCTTCAGCGATTCTTTTCATCCAACAAGTGTAGAAGACATTGGGTTAAAGGCTTATGGTTAGAACCAAGAATAATTTACTGTCAATAGAGCAGAGTAGGAGTTAAGACAGTCATTCTACTTCATCGCAGGAATAACTCGGTACAGCCAAGAGTTGATTACAGAAATGCTTATTGGAATTATCTTTATGTGTCTAGAATAGTCTCAACTGTAAAGACAGAGTCCTTCAACAATTACAGACTTGAATACTAGTCATGATTGATGCTAAAAGTCAATTTTTTTAAGATGTTAAAAGAAAGATAAAATTTTATATATGTAGAATTAAGTATTCACTACTAAGGAATTTGCTGTATAGGCAATCTCCATTTGTGGAACAAATTTTATTTTAAAATGTTAAAAGCATTTTCCACTGAAGTGATAAGTGGTCACTGGATTCCAAGCCTAGCTTGCAGAATCCTCTACGACCTGGAACATATACAAAACACCCATTGTGCTAATTCATCAAAATTTTTTCTTCTGTGGGAAAATTCATTCTATGTTCCAATCCAAGACTAGAGGAATACTTATCTCTCCATCTCAGCATTGGGACTGAGAAGTAGGACTCAAATATTGGAGGCTCAGGGGAGGGTTCCTTTGATGATAGTGGCAGCAGTCTGCTTCAGTTTGCTGGAAAAGTGAGACATTGGGTAGAGATCCTTTGGCACTTCAAATGTGCACATAAGAAAGTACCCTTTCTCCAGAAGCCTTGCACAAAAATAGTAATTTGAGAAATAATTGCTTGAAGGAGGAAGCAGTATCAGAAACCAGGTTCATATGCCTTTAAGGCTGAAAGGAGAGTGAATCAAGGCCAATCATACCATCCCTCCTAGGGTGGCTACCCTGTGTCCTTGGTATTTCCTATGATACCCCCCAGATATCCATGTGTCATGCTTCTTACTTATGCCAGATGAGTTCTGGGGTCCATCACCAGCTTGACCTGGTTCTGACTTGACTCCTGATTCAGTATTGACCCAGTTGAGACTTCACAAGCCATAGGCTCTTAAAGCAGACTCATTCATTGCTTTAGGCTAATCCTAAATCAGGGAATCCTAGCATCTTTTATTTTTTGTAGAGATGGGGGTCTCACTGTGCTGCCCTGGTTGTCTTGAACTTCTAAACTCTGGGTACCCACTTGATGCTAAGGCAGTAGTTACCAAATTTTGTCCTTTCTTTATCACCTTCATTGTTTTTGCCATATTCTTATGAGACTGGTACTATTATTTACGTAGGTTTTTTTTACTACTCTCTGTCAGTTTACTTTTTTATTTAGCCTCATCCTAAACAAAAGTACAGTCATGTGTTGCTTAACGACAGGGTTATGTTCTGAGAAATGCATTGTTAGACAGTTTTGTCATTTTGCGAACATTGTCGAATGTACTTACATAAATCTAGATGGTGTAGCCTACTACACACCTAGGTTATATGGTATAGCTTATTGCTCTTAGGCTGCCAATCTGTATGACATATTATCATACTGACTACCATAGGCAATTGTAACACAATGGTAAGTATTTGTGTATCTAAACATAGAAAAGATACAGTAGAAATATGGTATAAAAAATAAAAAATGATTTACCTATATAGAATGCTTATCATGAATAAGGCTTGCAGGACTGGAAGTTGCTCTGGGTGAGTCAGTGAGTGAGTGGTGAGTGAATTGAAGGCCTAGGATGTTACTGTACACTGCTGTAGACTTTATAAACACTGTACACTTAGGCTACACTAAATTTATCTAAAAATATTTTTCTTTCTTCAATAATAACAACCTTGGCTTACTGTAACATTTTTACTTCATAAACTTTTTAAATTTTTTGGCCGGGTGCAGTGGCTCACGCCTGTAATGCCAGCACTTTGGGAGGCTGAAGCAGGTGGATTGCTTGAGCTCTGGAGTTCGAGACCAGCCTGGGTAACATGGCGAAACCCTGTCTCTACAAAAAAGACAAAAATTAACCAGACATGGTGGTGTGTGCCTGTAGTTCCAGTTACTTGGAAGACTGAGTTGGGAGGATCACTGGAGCCCAAGAGAGGCAGAGGTTGCAGTGAGCCAAGATCACACCACTGCACTCCAGCCTGGGCAACAGAAGGAGGCCCTGTCTCAAAAAAAAAAAAAAACTTTTTAAATTTTTTAACTTTTTGATTCTTTTGTAATGACACATCTTAAAACACAAGCAAGCCAGATGCAGTGGCTCACTGTAACCCAACACTTTGGGAAACCAGGGCAGGAGGATCACTTGAGTTTAGAAGTTCAAGACCAACCAGGGCAACATAGTGAGACCCCCATCTCTGCAAAAAATAAAAAATTAGCTGAACATGGTAGCACACATCTGTAGTACTAGCTACTCCGGAGGCTGAAGTGGGAGGATCACTGGAGCCCAGGAGTTCAAGATGACAGTGAGCTAGGATCATGCCACTACACCCTAGCCTAGATAACCTTGTGTCTAAAAAAAATAAATAAATAAACACAAAAACATTATACATCTATACAAAATCTTTTCTTTATATCCTCATTCTATAAGCTTTTTTATTTTTAAATTTTTTATTTTTTTACTTTTTAAACTTTTTTGTTAAAAACTAAGAAACACACAGATTAGCCCAGACCTACACAGAATCAGGATGGTCAATATCACTGTCTTGCCTGTCCACTTCTTGTCCCACTAGGAGGGCTTCAGGGGCAATAACATGCATGGAACTGTCATCCCCTGTGATAACAATGCCTTCTTCTAGGATACCTCGTGAAGGGCCTGGCTGAGACTGTTGTACAGTTAACTTCTTTTTATAAGTAGTAGTACACTCTAAAATAATGATAAAAGTATAATATAGTAAATACATAAACCAGCAACAGAGTCTTGTATTAGCAAATATTATGTACTGTATATAATTATATGTGCTATACTTTAATATGACTGGCAGCGCAATAGGTTTGTTTACACCAGCATCACCACAGACATGTGAAGTGAGTAATGCACTGCACTACAATAACGTTAAGATGGCTAGGAGATAGGAATCATTCAGCTTCATTATAATCTTTTAGGACCACCCTCACATATGTGGTTCATTCATTGTTGACCAAAACGTTATTATGAGGGTCATGGCTGTGTATAAAAATCAGAGATTTGACCGGTTATTTATTTGTCTGATACACATTAGAATAAATATATAACCACTAAAACTATTCAGAAAGTTCATGCATGTTTATCCCCTAAATCATCTCACATGTCACCAACAGTAATATGTCACATGTTGGAAACCCTATAACAAGTGTTCCATTCAGTCCACAATTAACTTATGGAGTGACTGTTGTATGCCAGGCCCACTTCTAGAGGGGTGACTTAAATCCTAGTAGAGAAAAAATCCATTGCCTGCACAATTAGTTAATTAACCAGAGGTGGGATAAATGCTGTGAAGAAGTGTAGAGTACTGTGAGTGGGTATAATGACAAGTCTGTTTTTGGAGAGGGAAGATTTCTCAGTGGAAGGCCAGCAGTTGGGATTAACCTTCTTTAGAGGTCGCATCCTAGTTGTTTATTTAAAATCTTTGAGGAATAGTCATTTATGTGTCAGCGAGGCTCACCATCCTCCATAACCTAGGGAGAAGAAAAGAAGCAAAGGGAGTTACCATTTGTCATGTGACAGGCCCATGCCTTGGCAGTTGGGGGTTGGGGGCACCTTCATGTGCATTATCTGCTTAAACCCCTATTCTGAAGACTTCTTTCCAGAGCTTACAGATAATGAACTAGACCTTCCACAAGGAGGGTGAATAACTTGCCCATGGGCATACAACAATCAAATGACAGAGCCAAGACCCCATGTCTGCCTGACTCGATCGCCTTTGATTTTTCTACTCTGCTGGGTTTCTGCCATTGCTGTTGTTTGACCTACTAGGCCATATTTTTTTCTGTAATGATTTGTGTATTACTGTGATGTAGCAGCAATGATATTTTAGAGTGGTCAAGAAGCAAATCACACATGTATTTAATAGCTTTGATTTAGAATCTGTCCTGTATTGGAAAGGTTGGCCAATTCTCTGTCATATTATTAAGAGGTGCATGTCTTTTGTTCAAAAATGAAATACCTAGGAAATATAAACTCAGTAAAGAGAGTCATAGGGCAGATGGTTGACAAAGAGCCAGAGAGTTTAAATATCATCTGTCACTGTTATCTGGGTTTAATAACTGCCCACACTGGCCCACAGAAGTATTCTACAAAATGGGTAAGAGCTACATTTTTTTATCTTTCTCCTTTAATTCTTCATCCAGAGTAACCCATCCTTACTCCACATTGAATTGTATTTTAATACTAAAAAAAAATTGTTATAAATTTGGTTAGTGGCCAACTAGTCAGCTTAAAGGATGAGATTGGATGGATGGATGGATGGATGGATGGATGGATGGATGGATGATTGGATGGTTGTGATAGATTGATTTTTAACTATACAGCAAAATAAATTCACAGTATTAACTCCCCAGGTATCTATTGGTTGCCTTGTAATCCTAGTTAGAACTGTCTGTAGTTTGAAAGTTATGGGGTTTTCCAGGTTACAGCAAAGTCACATAAAATGCACATTTAGAAAATAAAACATGCGGCCAGGCGTGGTGACTCACACCTGTAATCCCAGCACTTTGGGAGCCCAAGGTGGGTGGATCACGAGGTCAGGAGATCAAGACCATCCTGGCTAATACAGTGAAAACCCGTCTCTATTAAAAATACAAAAAATTAGCTGAGCGTGGTGGCATGCTCCTGTAGTCCCACCTACTCGGGAGGCTGAGGCAGGAGAATCGCTTGAACCCAGGAGGTGGAGGTTGCAGTGAGCTGAGATCGTGCCACTGCACTCCAGCCTGGGTGACAGAGTGAGACTCAGTCTCAAAAAAAAAAAAAGGAAGAAAAAAGAAAATAAAACATGTTTCTTTGAATACGAAGATTGTGGCAAGCAGATAGTAATTCTTAGAAGTTCTGAGTTGCCAGCTCTGCCAATCCATAGCTAAGAAATGCCAAATGCCACCAGGAAGAATATAACAAATAGAGTCACTGTTAGAAGGAAACAAACAAGGCTTCCTGATTTGTCATATATTGCCTCTTGTCTGGTGGCCTCTCTAGGCTTGTCGTCATTGATTTCTATGAATTAAACACCAGTAGCTGAGAAACTGACAGTGAAACTGTCCTTTGTGGGTCAGTGGTCAGTGAGCAAATGTCTTTAAAATGTCACTGACTACCTTGCCAATTTTCCCATTGGTTACTGTGTTGGTGCCTCCCCATAGTTGAGCACCCTCCCTAGTGACATCCAGGAAATGAGGTCCTTCACAAGCTGACCTGAACACCAGGGTGCCAGAAGGCACGCCCTAGCCTGTGAGAAGAAACCCATCATTTCAGGTTAGGTCGAAACACGTGCATGGAAACCAGGGCACTTTAGACTTTCAGATTTCTTACCTTTTGTTGGATATTTTCCTAGACTCTGTTTTTGTTTTTTTTTTCTTCCTTTAAAGAACCAGCCAAATGGGAAGATCTCTTTTTTTTTATTTTATTTTTTTGAGGCAGAGTCTCGCTCTGTCACCCAGGCTGGAGTGCAGTGGCACGATCTTGGCTCACTGCAAGTTCCGCCTCCCGGGTTCACACCATTCTCCTGCCTCAGCCTCCTGAGTAGCTGGGACTACAGGCGCCTGCCCCCGTGCCCGGCTAATTTTTTGTATTTTTAGTAGAGACGGGGTTTCACCGTGGTCTTGATCTCCTGACCTCCTGATCCGCCCGCCTCGGCCTCCCAAAGTGTTGGGATTACAGGCGTGAGCCACCGTGCCTGGCTGGGAAGATCTCTTTAAAAAGCATTTTTATGAGTGAGGAAATATCCAAGATGGTACCCAGGAAAAGGTCCAATTTTGGTTGAGTAATGCAAACAAGGTAGTTCTAAGTAAGAACAAATTAATACTTTGGTAATGTTATTAATATTGATTTTTTAAATTCTTTTTTTTTTTTGGAGACAGAGTCTCGCTCTGTTGCCCAGGCTGGAGTGCAGTGGTGCAATCTCGGCTCACTGCAACCTCCGCCTCCTGGGTTCAAGCAATTCTCCTGCCTCAGCCTCCTGAGTAGCTGGGACTACAGGCACATGCCGCCACGCCCAGCTAATTTTTTGTATTTTAGTAGATACGGGGTTTCGCTGTTGTTGCCTAGGCTGGTCTCGAAATCCTGAGCTCAGGAGTTCACCTTGGCCTCCCAAAGTACTAAGATTACAGGCATGAGGCACCGTGCCTGGCCTGATTTTTTAAATTCTTGATGTGTACTTTAACATGAATTTGAAAAATATATTTGTTTTCATGACATATATTGAGAAGCCACCACCAGACCTGGCCTTTCCCTGTGGCGGCATCTCTTGGTCCTCCACCTTCCCACTCCAGGGCACCTCCATTCTCATATCCTAGGTCTGCCTGTTCTGTGATCTTTACCACAAACCAGATTTTATCTGCTTAGTCTTCTTCTAACCATTCTATCACATATCATATACCACTCTACCATTCTTTCTTCCCTCTTACTTCCCAAGCCATTGCTTCCCTCTTACTAACAACTGCTGGTTTATTACTTCTTCCCATGTTCCCATCCCTGTTCTTAGCCCCCAATACCTCCCCTCGCTGACTCTCTACTTCTGTTACTCCTTTCAAATCTGACTCTTGGAATCCTTGTCACATAGGAAGAAGTTCCTTTCTTCCCCAAACTTTTACTCACAATCTTCTTCAAGGTAACTAAAACCCGGCCTTTTTCTGTAGGTGCTCTATCCCCTCAAGAAGGGAATTGCAGTGTTTTTAGCTATCTGCTTCTTGGGGGCACAGTTCCGCCAAAGCCTCCCAACTTCTCTTTGCAATCCTCTTACACTCCTGTCTCCCCAGTCCTAATGGCATGACCTGGAGATTTTCAGGACCCATGATTTTCCAGCAAAGAGTCACTACAGAGTAAGAGTAAATGTTACTGACAGAAGTGTTTTGCAAATACGTGGAGACAGAGCAGTTTGAGGGTCTTGATTGACTCAGCAGCTGCATCACTCAGCTTGCACTCTCCCTGTCCCCCAGCCTATACACAAGCATTTAGTGACCCCCGTGAGAATTAATGTTTTCTTCTCCCTTCTCATGACATTGTACATTAGGGACTTCATCATCCAAATGTTCCACCACTGAAAAGAAAGCTCTACTTAGAGACAGAAATAAGAGCAACTAGAGCACACGTGCTTGTTTAACACTTGCATCTAGGCTTTTGGTGGGCATGTTTCCTCCCCTCCAGCTCCCCTCCTTTGGTCTGAGACCCACTTCCATGCTAGGATTCACTTCTCTTCCCATCCCCACGATCCTTAAGCCCCAACCTACTTCCACACCCCCAACCCAACATTCAGCCCCATCTCCAGTTAATTAAGATGAGTGAAGCCCTCGAAGTGAGTTCCTTTTCTCTTTCAGTTCAAAAATTTCTCTTTATCTTCACCTTCTCCTTCCTTCCCTCCAGTTTCTGAGAAGGATGCATTCTCCCTGCTTACAAGGCAAATCTCCCTCAACCCTTGCTCTTGTTCCTACCCTGCTTCTAGGTTCTCACTTCATCCATCATCCCTTTCTGACTTGCCTCGTAAGAGTCAAATCATGCCCTTGTCTCTCCATTCTGGAAAAGATTCTCATTCCCCTTTGTATTCCCCTAGTCTTTCTCCTTCCCTTCATGCCCAGACTTCTTGAAAGAATAGTGTCTCTACATGTAGCCTCCACTTCTTCTTCACTTGCTCATTTCTTCATCCCTTCCCATCATAAAAATAATAGATAACATTTATTGCACACTTACTGTGAGCCACGCTCTGTACAGTTGACCCTTGAACAACATAGGTTTGAACTACACAGGTCCACTTATATACAGATTATTTTCAGTAAAAGTTACAGCAAGTGTGCCTGACTCTCCTATCTCCCTTTCCACCACCTCCAGCTCTTCCAACTCTGCCACCCATGAGACAACAAGACTCACCCCTCTTCTTCCCCTTTACCCTCAGCCTATTCAATGTGAAGATGAGAAAGATGAAAACCCTTATGATGATCCACTTCCTCTTAATGAATAGTAAATATATTTTCTCATTCTCATGATTTTCTTAATAACATTTCCTTTCTCTGCTTACTTTATTATAAGAATACAGGGTATAATACATACAACATACCAAATATGTGTTAATCAGCTGTTTGCTATTGGTAAGGTTTCCAGTCAATACTCGGCCATTAGTAGTTAAGTCTTAGGGGAGTCAAAAGTTATACATGGACTTTTGACTGCACAGGGGGTCAGCACCTTTAACCCCCATGTTGTTCGAGGGTCAGCTATATTTGGTGCTTTAAAATACACAATTTCATTTTAATCTCAGAATAACTTTATAAGGGGCACTGTTGTCATCCCTATTTGACAGGTAAGAAAACTGAGGCCCAAGAAGAGGCTTTGAACCAGGATTATTTGACTTCAGAGTCCTCCTGACACTTAAGCTGCTATATTAGAGGTTGATGGTGACCTCCTCATCATTGCATCCAGGAGCCTCCTCTCCATTCTCATTTCATTTGATGTCTGCAGCATTTGAATCTTGTGGCCACTCACTCCGTGAAAGCCTCCCTGTCCTCACTGTTGGTAAAAAGCACACTTCTGGGTGCCTCTGCCCATATCCCCTTTGCTGGCTCTTCATCTCCCTTCTCCCAAACCTAGGTGTTTACAAAGAATTCTATCTAGATAAGATATAGATGACCCTCAGATGGGCTCCAGGGCCAAACTGCAGTTTCTTAATGGACTGACTCTTCCACCAACCACCTCACAGATACCCTTTCTTCACTGAACCCATCTAACCAGCTTCTCTTACCTTCCCTTTTTCTGTTAATGGAACCCTCATCCCGCAGCCCCCCAGCTGGGTCCTCAGAGTCACCCTGGAATCATCTTCATCCTTCTGTATCCAAGTCCTGTGGATTCTGTCTCCATGGGGCCCCTCCAATCTGGCCCATTTCCATCATGACCTGCATCTCATTAATTGAGGCTGCCTTTAACAGTCACCCAGTAACCTGCCAATCTGTCTCCCTGTTTCCTGCCCATTCATGTATTTATGATAAATTAATATTCTTATTATCACTGTTTTTCAAAATCTTGCTAAGACTGGTGTAGGATCCTTGGCTCTCAAGACCTTTTGAAAGAAGGCTCCAACTCTATTCTGGCCATTGCATATATTATTCTCCAAGATGTCACTATTAGTGAAAGAGACCTACCTTTTGGCCCCAAAACATGCCTCAAAGTTTTTCTCCTTAGAACCCTTGCTCTTCTCTTGTCCTGGGTGCCCAGCTGCCTCTGTCATCTTTCAAAGGTAAATCTAGAAGCTGCTTCTTTAACGAAGAGGCCTGAAGCACTGTACTGTGCTTACAGTAGCCCCATAGCATTGTGTCTGTACCTATGTCAGAGCACTTTCCTGAGCCACTATCTTTCCATGCACACAAGTTGTCCACCATAGGTGCAGCAATGATGTCATGCAGAGCACGGTGTTGTTTCTTAGGAACCAGACATCTAAGAATGGGTTCCAGCCCTACCCCTACCAGCTTTGCCACTGAAGGCAAACCATCAACCTCTGGAACTTAGCGTCTTTACCTATAAAATGGAGAGGCTGAAATACCACATCCATGGAATTCAAACTGTGCTTCAGAGTTCTTAGATTCCCTTCCTATGCATAGTCCAGAGATTTCTCGGCCCTTCTTGTTCCCACACTCAGCTTTAATCAGAGTATCTTGCTTTCATCTTTTTTCTATATTGGGCTTCTGAGATTTAAAAAGACCCTAAAACACTGGAATGGATGATGTCCAAGATTCACTCCAACTCTGATATTCTTTGAGAAAGCCATATCTTGGTCATTTCTGAAACTCTTACTATGTCTAATATGACTAATGTTAATATGGAAGTATAAAATGTGAGTATTGTCTTTCCTGTACTCCCCTCCAAACTCCCAAAGATATCCCCCTGGATATACTTCCACTTCTTCCTTATTATGAATTCAAAAGTGTGTGTGTGTGTGGTGTGTGTGTGTGTGTGTGTGTGTGTGTCATGCCTACTTCTCTACCCTGCTATTCCTTTTTCTGAACATTTGCATTGCCATGTGGAATATCTATAAAAGTATAAACCAGCTCTGTCTGGGAGAAATGTAATGAGAGCCACAAATGTATTTTTGAATTTTCTAGTAGCTGCATTTTAAGAGGTAGAAAGAAACAAGTCGAATTACTTTTAATAATATATTTTTTTTACCACAGTACATCCAAAATGTTATCATTTCAACATGTAATGAATATAAATATATGGATGAATGAGATATTTTTACATTCTTTCTTTTTACTAACTGTTCAAACTCCAATGTGTATTTTACACTTACAGCACATCTCAGTTCAGACTTTTTTCAGCACATTTCAAGTGCTCAGTAGCCACATGTACTGATTGGACAATGCAGGTCTAAGTCATCAAATAAAAGGATAAATTAAAGAAGAAACAGAGACAACTTGCCATTTATTGGGAAGAGGGGAGAAAATAAGTCAGTGCCCTTCTCATTGAAGTCTCATTCTTCTGTGTCCCACATTGTCTTCTTTTCTGGTTGTGTAGGGGCTATAGATGTTGGGGCCCTTGCATGTAAAACCAGCCAAGCTGATATTGATGCAGCTGCCTGGCCTTCTTCTCCTGAATTAATGGTGCTTGAGCTCAAACTTGCAAGTATAAAGTGTTTATCGACACTAGTGGATCATCCTCAATATGTCCTTACTTTAAAAAATGCTTGCACCTGGGGAGCCTCATTGTCTCTGTGATCTTTCACTCCACGTGACACTTTAAGAAACAAAAATTGCTGTACGAAGGATCAAAGTAGGAGATTTCCATGCCTGTTAGTTTTATTTAATTTTAAAAAAATTTAAACGAAAAAGTAAAATAACATAGTCTGGTTGTAAAAACACCTAATGTTAATACAGAAGTATAAAATGTGAACATTGTCTTTCCTGTACTTCTCCAAAACTCCCAAAGATAGTCCCCTCGATATACTTCCAGATCTTCCTTGTTACAAATGAGAGAGAGAGAGAGAGAGAGAGAGAAAGAGAGAGAGTTTATAAATGCTAAAATACATAGGTACACATGTACATATGTAAATTTTTCTCACAGAAATGGGCTTACCCGATACTCTTCTGTACATTGCTTATTCGCTTTATTTTATCATAATATGTCAGTACCTAGAGATTTAACTCATTTTTAAACAGATTAATAACTGTCAGTTCATTTATTTCATAATTTAATTTCTTCTTGATGGACATTTAGGGGTTTTTTGGTCAAAAAATACAAACAATATTTACTGCAAACAGTGTTGCAGTAAAATCTTTGTGCTTATTTTATGGAGCATTCGTCCAGGTATTTCTGTACAGTAAATTCCAGAAGTGAAATTACAGGGTCAAATGACATGCAAATTTTTTAAATTGTGCTAGCTAAACCAAATTACCCTGCAAAAAGTTTCAACTAAACTCTGTTTTTAGCTTGAGGTGGGAGGTAGGATTGAGATTCTCAAAGATGAAGAAAGGTTGTCAAGAGTAAAGCAAGAAAAGAACTCTTATGTAAGCCTTGCTACCTTTTCTACCACTACATTAAAACAATATCAAGTGGAGGTTGGCCATGGTGCCTTACATCTGTAATCCCAGCACTTTGGAAGGCCAAAACAGGAGAATCACTTGAGCTCAGGAGTTCGAGACCAGTCTGGGCAACATGGTGAGACCCTGTCTGTACGAAAAATAAAATTTAAAAAAATCATCTGGGCATAGTGATGTGCTCCTGTACTCCCAGCTACTCAGAGGCTGAAGCAGGAGGATCACTTGAGCCTGGGAGATGGAGACTGCAGTGAGCTATGATTACACGACTGCATTCCAGGCTAGGCAACAGAGTGAGACTGTGTCAAAAATATTAAGTGGAAAACATAAGTGAATATGGTAATTTTATAAAACTTTTGTTAAGTTTGGTTTGATGCATAAGAGACATCTTTCAACTGTAAAATTCACTGTGGGTTTCCTTTTTATCAGTTGGGTAGTGATAGGGAAGGAATCAACCTCATTTTGTCAGTTAAAAAAAAATTATCTCAGATCACATCCCAAGCAGTTTTTCAGACCAGTTTTTTTCCAGTGCACAGGCAGTTCAAAGATTATTCTACAGAATTTCAGAAGTGCCTAGGCTTGAAGAATAATGTATATTGAGTTATGATATTCCTTCCAGGCAGAATTTAGGTGCTTCATGTCATTTTTCCTTCTTAGTCACCAGTGCTCATGCATCATTACTTTGGATGCCTTCTAGGTCTACTCCTTGGAATAACTCTAGAAGCTTTTCCATCAGCTGCTTACAATAGGAAAATAATCAAACTAGTAGTTTCAAGTCTACCTGGTCATAAAGTCTCAGGTCTACCTGGTCACATCTTTCAGCCATTGAGTCAGATGAAAATATTCAGCTTGAGGTCCAGAAGCCACCCACTTTTGATTATAAAACACAGAGACAGTCACTATTTTATACATTGAAAGCCAATTCTTTTTTTTTTTAAGAGAAAAACATACACATTTATTTAATATGTTTTATGTGACATGGGAGCCTTCAGAAATGAAGACCCAAAGAAACAGAGACAACTGTGCATTTTTATGGACAGTCATGCAGAAGTGTGGCCGGAAGACCAAGGGTATGATCTAATGGTAATAAACTGGGGGAAACCTGGCAAGGCCTGCTTGTTCAGGTGCATTCTGTGTCCCCGGGTCTTCAGAGATAAGAATGCTCCTATCCTCCAGGTGTAGGGTGGGCACCTCTGGAATGAAAGTTTTATGGCCAACTCTAAAGGAAAATTGTGTCCTGGATGGAAAGTCAGTTCTTACCAGTCTAATCTTTAGTCAGTGGCAAACTTACCATCTCATTTTTCTCATGAGCAGGAGGTACTTCATAGCCCTACAAAATAAAAAGAACCACACCTGCACAAAATTATTCTAGCTGGGGCTTGGACCTCCAATCTGAGTTGAGTCTGGCCTTGGTAACTCCTTTAAAGTGTGGTGTAACATTTACATTTGTTTTATTGTGTTTATGCAAATTTACTAGACAATAATAAATATAGTAAATAACTTCAGGTAAATGTAGATTGCTGAGATTTTATTGTATGCCTACATAATTTCCCACCAAACACAACCAAGGCGCTAAATTACAACAAATAGTAAGATGTGTCAAAAGATTCTACTAGGTCTTGTACTAAAATGATAGGGGGTAGTGACAAACCAAGTAACTCCATACGGGCCCTTGCTGTGGAGTGGTCTGTGGCTGTCTGATACCCTTGCTCTTTTGTTTTGCGCTGAGCATCTACCTCCCATCTGGTGTTCCTATGGTGGCTGAAGGAGCTGGTGTCTGATAAGACCCAGCACTTGGTTTAACTGAGAAACATTGGGTATATTCTTACAGAAATAAAAGATATTACCTAGCTTCTTTTATCCCCTCCCTTCATCTTCTTTCTCTTCTTCCCTCCCTCCACGCTCCTGTTCTCCTCCTTCTCTTCCTTCTCTTTCCCTCTCTCCCTTTGTCCTTCTCTCCCTCCCACTTTAACCATAGGAAATATAGAGCATTCCGCATGGTCTTTCGCCTTTAACCTTCTCTGGAAATACATGATAGAATTGGGTTTGTGATTTATTGCTCCAGTTTTGCTTGCCAAATTAAATTTACAGGTATTAGAATGTACTCATAGATAGGATTGTTTAAGAGTTGTTGGCTGCTTAGGAGCGTGTGTGTATGTGCAAATGCACATACATGCACTTTTATAACAGGAAAAAGAAAGGTGTGACAGACAGCTGCAGACATATGGATTGTACTTACTTGCTAATTGAAACATTGCAAGGGACAATTCAAGATGGCAGATTTCTAGTGGAGATTAGATTTTACCATGAACTGAACTGGATACTACCAGCTCTTCTCTTATCACTGGCACAGAGTTTGCTGGACATTCCCAGTCTAAAACTTGGGAGGAGATCCAATACTTTGAAAGTTGGGCAACAAGAGCGTGCCAAATGTGTTTGCACTGTGTTGCCCAACCATTTAATTGTAATAATTTGACATGCTAATATTTCAATATTCAGAAGTAATTTGGAAGCCAATTGCTTTATCTGTTTTGCTTATCAGAGTCATATTGAATTCTCTAGGCATCAGCATGCAATAAACTTGTTTTCAAAGGCACTCTGTTAGGTGGCATACAGCCCTGATTAAAAACAGCACTGAACTTAGACATGTTTCATTTTTTTCTCTAACCTAGTACCTTTTTTACAGATTGCATATTAACAGCTTATTTTTGCATTTACCTCTGTAAACCCTCAATCAAAATTTATTTAAAATATTGGGAGCTTTTAGTTTAAAGTGATACCTACTGGCCCCTCAAAACATCCAGCATTAAAAAACTAAGACTGGCAGTGAAATAATTATCAAAATTATAGGAAGAATTTTCATTTAGCCAGAACTGAATTGAAAAATCCATTTGGTGGCCAGGTGCAATGGCTCACACCTATAATCCCAGCACTTTGAGAGACCAAGGTGGACAGATCACTTGAGTCCAGGAGTTTGAGACAAGCCTAGGCAACATAGGGAGACTCTGTCTCTACAAAAAAAAAAAAAAAAATGATCCAGGCATGGTGGCACGTGCCTGTAGTCCCACCTTGGGAGGCTGAGGTAGGAGAATAGCTTGAGCCTGGGAGATTGAGGCTGCAGTGAGCCATGATTGTGCCATTGCAACCCAGCCTGGGTGACAGGCTTTTTTCTGTCTCAGAAAAATATACATATATATATCCATTTGGTGACACAGGTTTGTTATGTGCACCTGGAAATAGGTAGATCTTTATTCCCCTCCCTCAAGTCCCCTTGTTTCAGAAACACAAGGTTGACTTCGGTTCAGAAAATGGCCAGCTCTTCCCACTACCTTTCCTGTTGAGAGCTCCATAGTGCTGTTGTCTTACCTACTCCACAGTATTACATCTTTTGCTCTCTCGGGTAAGACGCTTCAAATACCAGAAAACACATACATGCAAAAAGGAACTAGGGGTCTGGAGGTGAGAAGAATGGGATATTTAGTAAGTGGGGACAGAGACATAAGAGTAATATTAGAAGAAACATGGTAGATATAAACATCTAAGCTACTCAGAGACCATTAAATATTTACAGAATAAGTTCAAAGTAATGTCTACATTGCATTGACTACAAATTGTCTGGTTAGATTGCTCCTCTTAGAAAATGAAAAACAACTATCTAAAAGAAAAAATGATTGTAACTTTTGAAAAAATACTACTAGATAGGGTAAAGTAACACTTCCCAAAAGACTCAAAAAACCAAAGAAAAAAATTCTGAAAGTGATTAGCTAAATCAGAAGAAAATTTCTAAAAGTCAGTAGACTGAGAAGAATGCTAGAAGACATACTCTCTAAAACAGAAAAAAAAAAAGCCACAAGAATTGAACACTCTAAAATGTGAAAACAGCAATCTGAGATGGAGAGACCAATGATAAGTGGAATTGTAAGGAAACTGAGTATATAGCACAGTTAAAATCTGATAGGAAGCAGTAAAACATAGAATTAATACTGTAGGAAATGGAACCATTGACATAAAGGATGATATTGGAAGTTCTCACAAAATACTGAGAAAAAAGGAAAAAAGATTTATAAAATGGTGAGAAACTGACAAACATGAAGGATAAAGAATAGAAATCTGGCCTAAGAAATTGATGATCTTGAGGCCGGGTGCAGTGGCTTACACCTGTGATCCCAGCATTTTGGAGGTCAAGGCAGGGGGATTGCTTAAGCCCAGGAGTTTGAAACCAGCCTGGACAACACGGTGAGACCCTGTCTCTAAATACGAAAAGAGAAAGGAAATTGATGGTCTTAAAATGCAGTAATAAAAGCCATAATTAAAGAAACATGTTCCTAAACTGAGGAAAAACTTGAGTACACAAATTAAAAGATCCTGTAATATTTGGGGGAAAATCATTAAAAAGAGACATTAGTACTTGAGATGCTCAGGGCTGTGAATACAGAAAACTCATTCTGGATCCACTAAAGAATAAAAAACTTGTTGACTCACATAAACGGTGATTCCAGAGATAGGTGAGCATCAGGGTTGGCTTAATCCAGAAGCTGCAGCTCCATTTCTCTAACATTCCCTTTTCTATGTCTTGGCATCTTCAAAGGCTGTTTTCATTCATTGGCAAAGCGGTTACAGTAGTTCCAGGTTTCACATCTGCCCTGCAGGATACTCAGATAAAGAGTACGTTCTTCTGTGTCAGGATTTCAAACAGGAGCCCTGAGATGCATTCTTAGGGCTGCTTGTGATGTGGGCCTGCAGTGGAACCAGTGACTGAGACCGGAACAAAGGAATTTGCTTATCAGATAGATGGTAGATTGAAGAACATCAGTGTTGTGCTACAAGGTGAAAGGGGAGACAATCCATGGAATTCACTCCAAAGATTGACGTGGAGCACATTTGGAAAAATGTTTGAATTGCAGGGAGAAAGAAAAGAACCTACAAGGATAAAATACGTTTCTATTAAAGCTATACACAAAGGAAAGAAAATCAAGCTGGCCTCAGACTTCTCTCTTGTTGAACCAAAGCCAGAGGAGAATAGGGAAAATTCTACAACTTTGTTGGGGGCTAAGTCTATAACCCAAGAACTTTATTTTCAGCTAAGTTGTCTTAATGTGTGAAGGCAACACAAAGTTTAGTGATGCAAGGATTCAGTTTCTATTTGTATATTTGTTAAATACCCATTGGGCATTTACCTGAGCTGAGAAGGATATCAAAATCCATACATCAAGAACAGGATGCCATACTATGAAAGGACTGGTATGAAAGGGTTGCCCTGTAGTGATACTGTCACAGAACCAACATCCAGCTCTTCACAGAAGCTCTGAGAACTATGACTTCAGCAGACCTCACCTGTTTGTACTGGCCGTGTTAATGACCCTATAGGAATGTGGTTGGGTTAGTATATTTTTCACAACAGCGTCTGGATGAGGTTTAAAAGCAAATAATTTCATTATGAATTATTAGTTCTTATTATGAGACTAGCCCTGTAATTGGACCTCAGAAATTCCCCCCTGAAAAGCTTCAGGCAGAGTGTACCATCAGATTTAAAAGTCTAATTAAGTATGACTAAAATTATGTTTCATTTTACCCTACCTTTGACTAGAAAGAAATGGTCTCTAAAGACCTAAAAAATAAATATATGAAAGGCTATTCAAAGTGAAAAACCAAAGATGAAATGGAAAGGGAGATGAATGAGATAAGAAAGAATTATAAAGACGTAAAATGGAGTAGCTAAATTACAGTCCCCTTAAGGCAGACAGCAAATAACAAAATTGACACTTTAGGAGAATTGAGAAAGTGATGCAAAGGCAAATAGGGTTAAACTCTCAGGTGGGTGATGTGTTCCTTCTGATATCATGTCTTGCATTTTTCCCAATTTTCTTAACATGCATTTCTCTACTTGAAGATGATCTATATTAATACAAAAAGTGAAATTAATCAAAATGTTCAGTATTTGTGGAACTGCTTAATAAATAACAATCTATCAATACGTTATGAAATGTTGAAATTCAAAAGTATTTGTGCTGTAGTGTTCCTCCCTATAAGTGAGCGTGTTGACTCTCATTCATGTTATTGGATTACATTTCCAATATTCAGTGTTATAAATATTACTGCATCCCTTACCCATTGTTAAAATATTGATGTGCTTCCAGACCCATTGGTAAAGAGCCCCTCCTTGGAGTGCCCCAGCTCCCTGGATGCCCCTGCCCCTCTCCAAGATCCCAGGGCCTCCCTAAGATTCCACCACTAGAGAGTTAACAGCTGACACCAGTGTTCTTCCATGTCAAAAAAAAAAAAAAAAGTTTTTTAGTATTATTTCAGGTTATAGAAATGCATTCCTGGGAGTAGACATTTGCTGTTATTCCTGTATTCTCTTTAAGCCCCCTGAAGTCACTCTGTTTCTGGCAGTGGTTTCTTCCAGCTACCACTTGCACAAATGCTGGTCTAGAGCAATTCATTATGCTCCTTATAATATCAAAGACCTTCTACTCCTAGTCCCTAACTCACTTCTGATCTTTATCCTGTTTCTTGGACCTTAAAGGCTTCTGGAAATGGGTAAAATTTAGAATTTAATGTCAGTGAAATTCTTCTTTTGGTTTTGTTGTTGTTGTTGTTTGTTGTTTTGGGGCAGATTTAGCATTATCATTCACCCCTGTTAGCCATCTTGGCACAGAAATGTTCACCTGAAGTGGTACCCAGAATGGTCCCCTAATATATCTACACCCTAAACACTATGAATTTGTTACATTACATAGCAGAAGGGATTTTGCGGATGTAATTAAGGTTATGAACCTTACCATAGGGAGATTATTCTGGATTATCTGAGGGGGCCCAACCTAATCACATGAGTCCTTTAAAAACAGAACTAGCCTCGCACCGTGGCTTACGCCTGTAATCCCAACACTTTGGGAGGCCGTGGCAGGAGGATCCCCTGAAGTCAGGAGATCGAGACCAGCCTGGCCAACATGGTAAAACCCCATCTCTACTAAAAATACAAAAATTGGCTGGGTGTGGTGGCGCATGCCTGTAGTCCCAGCTACTCGGGAGGCTGAGGCAGGAGAATCACTTGAACCTGGGAGGCAGAGGTTGCAGTGAGCCGAGATTGCACCATTGCACTCCAGCCTGGCAACAGAGCGAGACTCCGTCTAAAAAAAAAAAAAGAGAGAGAATTTTCTCAGGCTAGAAGCAAAAGAGATGTGAGAGAGAGACTCCAAGTATGAGAAGGATCAAACATGCTTTGCTGGCTCTGAGACGTAGCAGCCACATTAGGAACCAGAGAGAGACCTCTAGGAACAATGGGCAGCCCCCAGCTGTCAACTGGCAAGGAGACAGGGACCTCAGTCTTACAACCACATCAGACTGAATTCAGCCAACAATCACGTATGAGATTGGAAGCAGATTTAGCCCCAGAACTTCCAGAATGGAACACAGCTCTGCCGACACCTTGATGTCAGCTTTGTACAACTCTAACAGAGAACCAGCTGAGCCATGCCATACTTGGACTTTTGACCTACAGAGCTGTGAGATGATACATGAGTGTTGTTTTTTTAAGCCACTAAATTGGTGGTAATTTGTTACAACAGCAATAGAAATTAATATGCCAACATGTAAAATAACAGCAACAACAAAAAAAAACAACAAAAGATCGTGGAATAAACAATAAACATTGCAGAAAACACAGTTCTGAATGCCTGTTGTCGCGCTCTGGCTGAGAATGTCTACACAGTAATGAGCACCAAATCTGAAGGCCAAAAGCACTCAGTAGGAGCTTTATTCTCTGCACTCCACTCACAACATACAAAAAGGATTGGGGTTTTAGGGGGAAACATGAGTGTGTATGTATCTGTGTATCATTTTTGGTAAGAAAAATATTTTAGAGATGAACCATTTTAACAAAGTGGCCTTGTTGTAGTGCTGTAATTAAAAGAGGGTGGGTGTATTGTTTGTAGCTTCTTGTTTGTTTACTTAAAGTCAGTATTGCATATAGTAACAAATTGGTGAGAAGAAAAAACTATACAAAGGGGAGATTGTTTTGGCAATGGTACATGCTGTCCTATTTGTATTTTACTTCTTCTGGTACAATTGTAAAGCTTAGACAAGCTTTTCAAGATGTGTTAGCACAAGGTCTGGTTGTTATTTATGGTTCCTAAGCTCTGAAGGCTACTTACCTAGGCTCAACCCAACTAGAAGGTAAAGTGAATTGCTTTGTGGTATGAATTACACTGGTAATGTGGAAGTTTGCTGACATATGCTGTAATTCCAAAGGTAGTTAAGCACAGGAGTTGATGTTGGAGCCAGACTGTCTGGGTTTAAATCCTAGCTCTTCCACTTACTAGCTGTATAGCCTTGGCCAAGTGACAGAACCACCCGTGCCTCAGTTTCCTTTTCTGTGAACATGGATAATAAAACTACCTCTCTCATGGTTTATTGTGAGAATTTTAGAATATAAAGTGCTCAAAATGGCATTGTAGCACATCAATTGGAAGCAATAAATGTTAGCTATAACTATGATTGTTATCCTTGCCTTAAACATGAAAATATTCATGAA
The DNA here is from genome assembly GCF_000001405.40 of Homo sapiens. Classification (NCBI taxonomy): domain Eukaryota; kingdom Metazoa; phylum Chordata; class Mammalia; order Primates; family Hominidae; genus Homo; species Homo sapiens. The sequence continues at coordinate 92,649,508 of NC_000007.14, read as the reverse complement.
ATTGGGGCATTCGGGCTCCTTGGACACAAGAAACAATTAATCCCAAGGATCCCCCCAGGTGAAGATGGCCCAACCACCTGTATGAGAGAAGCAAACCAGGACATCCAGTCACCTGTTAGGCCCTTCTGTCCCCACTTCACTGGTGTTTTTAACTTCAAATTAGTGAGGCTTTATAGATAATGTTGGCATTATAGCAGTCCTTGCCATAAAAATCTTCATTTTTTAACAATTGACAAACGCATTTCTCAATCTGCTGTTTCATGGAATAGTGTTTCATGAGATAATAATGGGCATGCTGTGAAATGATCGGTCAATACTAAAAATTTGGGAAACACGAGCTTAAAGGTTTCTGTGACTCAGGGCTTATCACAGCCCTCATTATTAATGTAAATTTTGAATTTCCAAAGATATATACATATAGTGCATAGCTCCTCAAATATATTTGACCGTGAGACTTTTTTTTTTCAAGATATGCCTCTTAAAATTTCCTGGAAGTGTTCTTCACATCCAGCTTGGGAAACAACTGCCCTAAAATAGGAGCATATTTTACCATTATTATTTAACATTTATGAATTAAGATGATTATGAATTGTAGCTTGTTGTAAAGGAGATTTTTATACTTACATATCCCAAATGTATATGTTTATGTATGTGTATCCATAGTAAAAACTAAAACTAGATAAAGCAGTGAAGAGTCTATTTCTCACTTTGTAGATTAAAAATGGTCCTTGTTAGGTCAAATTAATGATTTTTCCCAGTAGTTCTTCTCTGACACAGATAATGAGATCATCTTATAGATGGTCACTTGGCAAACACTCGGTCATCCAATACGTATTGAACTGGGCATTCTAGGTTTGTCATCCATCACTTTAGTGAGGCCTTTTATAAAATAATTTGTAGTTTCAGCCAGCACCATTTATTGAGATGGTAAGTTCTATAAGGTTAGTATCCTGTATGTGAAGAAATTCCTTTCTATTGACATAAACTTACCTCTCTCAAACATCAGGGATTCATCCCTTCACTTGATATTCAAGACTGGTGAATACAACCAAGTTTACTTTTGTTGATTTTATATACTTCAGCCTTATCCTCTACCCCTTTGGTCTTTGTCTTTCTCAACTAAAAAGTCCCCATTTTTTGGTTTGTCACTTGACTCATGTCAAGACCTGCGAAGGATGTGAGATTTTTCCCCTATTTGCAGGTTAACAAATTAGTCTACCACAGTTTCATGAATGCTGGCAAAAGACACAAGACTCTTGGGTTAGAGACAAAGCCTAGTTTATTACTCACAGCAATAGCAGTAGCTACAGTATCAGCATTTGCACCAGATTCCCAATTCCCATAGGAAAATAAGAAGGGGGGCAGATGACACCTGCAAGCACGCACGAACACACTTACACACACACATACCCACACACACACACGGGTTGTGTTACAAAAACGAATCCCCAACATGAATCTTTTATAATGGTCAGTTAAGTCGGCCTTACCTTTGCCCCAGCAGAAGCTATTATCATGTTTAAGAGCAAACAAACCTGCTCATGCTATAGAGGGAGACACTATCATCTTCCAAAGCAGTTTACTTGAAAATCTAATCCAGCACAAATGCAGTTAGTGTCTCTACTTGCAAGATGTGCAGAAATACAAAGGGCCCATGCAGAATTGTCTCCCAACAGGGAACAGCTGTCCCCTGCGTCCACTACACCACTGTTCCTTCCTCTGAGACCTTTCAAGTTTCATTATACACACATCAAGGTCTGTAGCCAAACCTGCAATATTTAGATGAAAATATATTGGTGCATTTATTTCTTACTATAGAACTTAAACTCCACAGGGCAAGGATCTTTGCTTTGTTTACTTGGATATCCCAGAGGCAGAGAACTATATCCAGCACATAGTCAGCATTCAATAAAGATTCGTTGAATGAGTATATGAATTTCCTGTATTCTTATTTGGATCCATAAGTTTATTGGCTTTGCTGTGCAGAAGCAGCAGTTATATCGGTCCCTTCAAGAAACTGCCTGCAGAGATTCCTGGAGTCATCTGCCTGGAGCATTGCCCACTCACCTCCTCAACTCACCTCCTGGCTGCTCCACGTCATTCTTCCAATCTCATCTTAAATGTTATTTCCTTAAAGAAACCTTTCCTGACCCAGAGTAAAATCAGTACCTTCGGGTATTCACTCTCACAACACCTTGACTTTTTTCCTTCATAGCACTTAGCACAGTTTGCACTTATATTTATTTTAGTGTTTTCTGGCTTAAAACCTGTTTGCCCTATCACTCATGAAACTATAAACCAGACCCTCTCTATTTTACTCACCACTGTATAACTAGTACCTAACAGAGCATGGCATAAAGTGGCTACTAAGTAAATGAATAATGAATAAATGAATGAACATACTGCAGCCTGTAGGTCAGAGCCCATCACTCTGTGAGTAGCTCTGGCATAAAATGGGCCAAATGCATCGTTTGCTCCTTGCCTTTTTCAAAACAGTTTTCCCATGTTTCTCTTCAGTCACTTAGTCTCAAGATTTTTCTTCAGTAGAGTTTAGTCATTTTTTTATTTTATATTCCCAGAAAGCACTTAATTTTAAATTCAGAGGTTTTATGTCATTTTACTAATCAAAACAGTATAAACATATTAAGTCAATACTGGTCCTAGCATTATTCCTTTGGTAGTTCTAATGTTTACACTTAATATATTTAACTCAGTTGCATAATAAGGAAATGAAACTTACAGAAGAATCCCATGGGATTCTTCTCTCAATTAATGAATGAGCAAATATTCTTTGAAAACCTACCAGGTGCTGGCCAGGCGCAGTGGCTCATGCCTGTAATCCTAGCACTTTGGGAGGCCAAGGTGGGCAGATTACCTGAAATTGGGAGTTTAAGACCAGCCTGGCCAACATGGTGAAACGCTATCTCTACTAAAAACACAAAAATTTGCCAGATGTGATGGCAGGCACCTGTAATCCCAGCTACTCGGGAGGCTGAGGCAGGAGAATCGCTTGAACCTGGGAGGGAGAGGTTGCAGTGAGCCGAGATCGCGCCACTGCACTCTGGCCTGGGTGACACAGCAAGACTCCATCTCAAAAAAAAAAAAGAAAAAGAAAAAGAAAAAAGAAAACCTACCAGGTGCTTACAATCATTCTGGGCACTGTGGAAGATAGCAAAAACCTGAAGACTGAGCCTGAAGGAGGTTATAACTTACATGAGCAAATAAAAATGTGCATGATGTGTTAGCATGTAATAATTAGCAAACAGTATCAGACCAGGCATATGTAAGTGCTGAGCCACATGGTACAGATTTTTAAAACTGTTAAGAGCTTAGAAAAGTCAGATATTACCCTGAACTAGAATAATAGGGGCTTCCTGAAGTTAGTCCTGAGCTGGATTTTGAAGATGTTTGATTGGATATTTAACAAGAACTTCATTAGGCAAGCCACAAAAATAGCAGTGCATTCATTCTCAGAAAAGCAAGACCTGGCTGTACTGGAAGGTATAAGTTGGGAAATAGTGTCGTGTATGCACAATCACCGTTGGATTATATGAATCACACAGTCTTTATGACTCCTTTTCCATTCAATTCAATACCATACAGAGATAAAGCCACACCTTTGGACAAATACAGCCGGGGTGTGAGCCGCCAAAAGATGGAGCCTTACTAAGGAGTATCCACGAAGTAAATAAACTCCGAAGGAAAGACTTGGAAGGTCATCCAACATACTCATAAATTCCAGCTATTGCCAAAGATGAAAGGGAAGTGAGAGCCATGAGGAACAATAGGAAGGAGTGCCCCTGCCCCCTCTTAACTGCCTGTTTACAGGAGGGGAGGAGCAGCAGTGCTGCCCAGATGGCAGAGCCAAAGTTAGAATGAAGCTTCTTCCTCACCCTAAGACCTCTTTAGGAAATCCTGTTTGTGACGGTGGCTTCACTGTGAAGTCATCAGGAGCCCCCTCCCCGGGTTGCAGGAGCACACTTCTGGATTGAACCATGGTTTCTAATGCTGCTTGGAAATCTTATTATCATGTGCACTCAGCAAGATAGAAACTGCATATCAGGTGAAGCTTGGGTCAGACTTTATTTTGCAAGCATTTACTTATCTTTCTTGTACGATGGAAATGCTGGCAACACAATAGCTTAAAAACAAGATAAGCCTCATCTTTTTTCCTGTGTGGGTATGTTAGGGAATGATGGTTTTGATGGCCTTTAAAAAGCAGGAAAGGGCAAAGCCCTGTGATGCCATTTCTTTGGCATTTCATTACTTCATTAAGAGAATTATCCTAAAAGCCTGGGAGCTGTAATACGGCTTAAAAACTGATGAGAGCTGAGTGAAAACACCATAGACTCCAAACCAAATTAACCAGAAGGTTCATCCCAAAGAGACCCGCTTTTATATTCGCACCTGGGGTGTGTACTTTTCCTTCTGCCACTCAAGAGCTTTTGCGTGTGGGGGTGAACAATTTGCTTTCCATGCCAAACCCGATGAAATGGGATTTGTCTTCCCTCTCAGACAGGTGGCCAAGCTGTAACAGAGAGGGCTCTGCCTGGCTGCTTGCCTCTTTGGACATGCAGCACTGTCAGTGCAGCGCCAGGCCCCATATCTGACCCTGTGGCCTCACAATCTGGAGGCCCACATTGGCAGCCTGGGGTGGTGACAGCTTCGGTCAGTTGTTGTGGAGTTCCACTGGCAGACAAAGAAGAGTAGGCGAGTGTGCTGATCCAGGTTCCTTCTGTATGATAGAAGAAACCTCTAAGGTCCTGGTAATGTGTGAACCAGTGGAATACCTGCTCCAATAATTAAAGTATGAGCTTTCCTTCCTCTTTTTCAGGGTGGACCAGGCCTTGGGAAAGGAATTTTGGCCTTCCCAGACTGTACACATTACTTAATGTGTCCTTCTACACTTATTACATGCATCAGGAGCAGATTTCACAAGCCTTCTTCCTATGAGACTAGGTTAGTCACTAGGGTTAATTATTCAGTAGTTAAAGGAAATATTGTGATGGAGGGAAAAATAGATTTCCAGAAGCCAGGGAGTAGAGGGCCTCAGAACATCAAATTGCTCCATGAAGAGAGTACACAGCCATTTTTATTTCAGTCTTTGAACATGAGATAGTAATCGTGATTTGAATTCTCTAAACCTCAAAAATATTCCCTTCTTAGCTGTAAATAGCCACTTGTCCCAACCCCATATATCCATGGGGAGCTTCTGTTCTCCCAGAGAAAATGCAGTTAATTATAGCAAAGAAAGGGACCCTAGGTCTCCCCTTCCTGCCTTAAGAGTAATCTCCAGTATCTCTACTCATGAGATAATAAAATGTATCATTTTCAGAAATTTGAAGAAGGTAGGTCAGGACTCACCAGTGCTGTTTCAAAAGCCTTTTGGTTGTGAGTGCCACATCTGACCACTGCACAGATAGCACTGAGAAAGAAAATTGGACCCAGTTCTCTGCTTTTGCCTTCCATTCTCCCTGTAAGGGTCCACGTGAACAGCAAGTTTGGCCTGGTTTCCTTAGGTCCCTCTGGGCCCATTTCTTTTCTTTCATCATCTTTCCTAAAGCTGATATGACAATTCCATGGGGAAGAAACAAATAGTACACTTGGATGAACTTTGCGAAACACAAAGACCTTTCCTCTTATCCCTGATTCTAAAGGGATTTTTCTGTATTTAATAAGTAAATAAATGAGAACAGTTTTAGACTGAATAGTAAGTGTCCCATTTATATCATATTTGTGATGTTTTGAACAGGGTGAAGGAAACCATTCGTGATAAAGCACATGGATTAAAAATCGTGGTTGACTTGTTTAACAGAACCCAAGTCATAAAGCTCCCTTGAAGAGTACTCAAAAATTCTAGCTACAACCAAAGATGAAAAGAAAGTGAATAGACCTCAGCAGGCCTGCCTCCTCTGTTTCATCCTTTAGGTTAAATGTCACCTCCTTAAAGAGGCTTTTTCTATTATTCTCCACCAGCATATCTTATTTTCTTCATAACACTTACCACTTATTTAATGATTTTCTTTCTCCCTAAACTGTAAGCCTCACAAGGGCAGGGACCACGTCAGTCTTATTTCTGTGTTCCCTACACTCAGCATAGTGATAAGCACATCACAGACTCCAAATGTGCTGAATGAGTGAATGAGCTGCTGAAGCGTGCTATAATGGCAAACCTGTTCCAAGTTCTTCATGGACTTACAGACTCCTCTGGATCACCTCTTTCTTTTCTTAGAACCAACTGAAGAATACTACTTGGTCTCAACATCAGGCTTACCAGTGTTATTCCCATTAGTTCATTTGTATTTTTTAAAACCCGGGATTTGGCCGGGCGTGGTGGCTCAAGCCTGTAATCCCAACACTTTGGGAGGCCAAGGCAAGCAGATCACTTGAGTCCAGGAGTTCGAGACCATCCTGGGCAACATGGCCAAACCCTGTCTCTACAAAAAATTAGTCAGGTGTGGTGGTACATGCCTATAGTCCCAGCTACCTTGGAGGCTGAAGTGGGAGGATCACCTGAGCTCAGGAGGTCAAGGCTGCATTGAGCTGTGATCACACAACTGTATTCCAGCTTTGGTGACAGAGGTAGACCCTGTCTCAAAAAAAAAAAAAAAAATTCTTTTTTCAGCCTGAGTCTCAAGTCCACTAGCAGTTCCGTAGTCATAGCCAAACGATGCGATGTAGTGAAGTGGTCATGAGAGCCAGCTTTGGAGCATCTAGTTGTCTCTATCACTTCTTAGCTCAATGATGATGAGTTATCATTAACCATCCCTCAACCTCAGTTTCCTCAATTGTAAAATGAGGATATTAATATATATCCCCCACATAGCATTGATCTGAGGTTAAACAGTATGTATAAAGCACTTCACTTTTGTCTTTTTGCATTGTACATGTTCAGTGAAACTTAGCCACTGAACTTCCTGTTCATAATGTTAAATTACCTTGGTGTATCACTTTTCTAGAACAGGATAAAGGATGGCTTCTTCTCAGAGGTAACAGAAGACATTAGAAGAATTCAGAATCAAAAAAGTCCAAGGACCTGGAGTACTGGGATTCTAGACAGAACCTCAAGCGTGGGGTACACAGCATGAACTGAGGTCACAGTGGGCTGGGCGGCATGGCCAAATGACTCAATAGTGAAGTGATGACTAATCATTGTAGTGCTCCTTATATCTCTCCCCCTATATCCCACCACAGTCACCACAAAGGCCAGAGCTGGTCCTAGAGTCTGGCAAAAGGCTGAGCATGAAAGTGAGTTTAAGGAAACCCATCTAATAAGATTAAAGAAACTATGCAGGGCTCTGGGGTCAAGGCGTGGGGTCAGCTGACTCCTCCACAAGGAGGAGTTGGGGGCTCCTACTTGGTCTTCCCTTGTTTTCCATAGTTCCTCACAGAATCCAGAGGGCAGTCCCCAAGGCTCTCAGAGTCTTACTCTGAGCCACAGGAAGAAGTACCTTACGCCAGCTCACAGGGGAACTCCAAACAGTCAGCAGGAAGAAACTCAGTCACTCAGATGAAAATGATGGTGTCTCACCATTCTTCTATGCAGTTTTCTAAGGGGCAAGACAGAGACATTTGGCTGTGAGACATTAATTAATCGAACAGAATGTACTTTAACTGTTACCTTTCTTATCTAAGGCTGTGTGGCCGGCTCACTGGTTTTAGTCAAGTAAAGAGCAATGACTTATGCATTTAATGATCTCACTAGACATAATTTCCTTTCATATTGGTTTGTAAGACAGGTGCTATCCTCTCCCATCTCAGGTGGAGCTCAGAAGGCCCATTTGTTCTAATATTCCTGAACCATGTAGGATCAGCAATCTGGACTGTTTTTTAAAAATCTTATAAAAATCTGTATAATGTATGCATCTTATGTAAGATTATTTTTTAAATAGTATGTATTATGTTCTTTCATTTAACAAAAATATACATGGTTGTTGTAGAGCTTTTAAAATACGAGTAAAGAGTATAAGTCTATAGTATCTTGTTATACCAGAAAGTAAGAAAATGCTCAAAAAATATGGGAACATACCAGAAAGGCACAGAATTTAGCTTGAAGGAGCCACTGGACAAATATAAAACAATTTGGGCATCAAAATACATAATTATAGTAAAGGATTATAACCTCCTGAATAAAATTAAAATCCATGAGTCCATGCTGATATAAATAAAGTGGGAGAAAAGAGAGCTTTGTCTTACAGTAGACTGACAATCAATAATAACAGAGTGAATGATGGAGTTAGAAAATCATCAATGGATGATGCTAAAACTACTGAGTGGAAATTTCATCAAGAGATTTACGTAGTGTCAAAATGGCTCTTTACAAGATACTTACTTTAAAAATAAAAATAGGAAAAGAAAGAGGAAAGAAAAATAAACCATAAACCAGTGACCAAGAGATGACCATTACTAATGGTTTAATAGTTATCTTTCAACTGTTTTTCCTATGCATTATAACATTTTAATTTTCTTGTAAAATTAGATCATGCTTTTTTGTAATCTGCTTTTCTTATATAAAAATATATCTGGATCTTATTTATTTGTATTTAAATATTCCCTGGTACATAGTAGGCATGTAGTAAATATTGGTTGAGTGAATGAAATTTGCAAGACTTTAAGGAAAGCTGTGATGCACATTGGTGTAAGTAAAGTTTTTTTCATTCTCATGATTATTCCTTTAGGACTAACTCCCGGAAGTGGAATAGTGATACAAAGCATATTCAAAACCCTGAGCCCTTTGATACGTGGAGCCAAATTGCCCTCCAGAAAGATTTTTCTACTTTATTTTCCCTCCAGGGGTGTATTAAATGAATGTCATTCAATACATTTTTAAGGAGGAAGATTGGGATTAAATGTGTGTGAAATACCCAGAGTAGACCCAGAAGTCGTCAGTCAGAAAGTAATAGTCATCCAAATTCTTTTCCCTGTATCTGTAGGTTAGATTCTGTCAGGACCAAAAGCTGGGATTAGTAAGAGTTGTCAAAGCCTTCAGTCATAGAAAATGGAGTTTTTGTTGATACGGGAAGCTCCAAGTTGGGATAGACTCTTATTTTCATTAAGCCAGTCATATACCGTATAATGTGCTATACCATCCTTCTTTTGTATCTATTGAAAAATCCTATCAGCTGCACTGGACCTGAAGTCTACTATGTCAAAGTAAATGATAAAGAGAAAAACCTGGTTCCTGTTTATGATAGGCTAGCATTGAACATCACTGTTATCAACACAGAACCTCCATGAGGGCCCCCTTCCATTTGCACTTTGATGCTGGCTACTTAGCACACTTAACACCAGCTGTTTCCAGTGCCGTTGCCAAAGGTGGGCAGAGCAAGGTGCAGGATACATATACGTTCCATGGGCAGCTGAGCGGCGTGCTCTCTTGTGCTAGCCAGTGCCTGTGGCAACCCTTCCCTCCTGACTTCAGCCTCCCCACTAGTTGCAGCCAGGTGGTGTATTATCTCCTGATCTATATATACATTAAACATATTATTAAGGAGAACCCAGAAGAAGATATTTAGAGAGATAGATACCCTTGGATTCAAAAGATGAGCAATCAGAAAAATTATACCATAATTTGAATTTGCTTATATTTTCCTTTTTGGCTTTCACTGGCTAGCATGTTCTCAAGTGATGACAGTTGGGCTGATTGAGAGCCGTTAGTCAAATCCAGTAACAGTATTAATCTGTGGTTGGAAATGACTGTTAAAGTAAGTGCCAGGCTATTCAGTTGTGGTTTTTATTCCAGCTTCCAATGGTGCCAGGCTTCCAGCAGGAGGAATAGAGGCTGTGGTAAAGGAAACCGTTGGCAAATGAAAGAAACCAGAAACTGTCACTACCCATAACAACGAAACAACAAAAAAATTTACAGAAAAGGAAGGGGAGACAAAGGAAATTGTTTAAAGTGGTTGAAGCCTGTACAGTCTGATGTGATCATTAGGCGTGAGGGTGCCGCAGCATGGTGGTGCCTAAGACACTGACTCCAATTTTCCAGTGAGAACAGGAAGGCTTTAAGCACCAAAGCCATGCTGTCCAGTAATACTGCTGAGCAAGAAAGCTTTTCTTGAAGGAAGAGAATAGCGTTTAATTGAGACTATTTTTGTCAGTCTCCTAACATGCTCCTCAGACCACTAATATGCAAAAGAACCTAAGGATCTGGTCACCAAGTTACGTCAAAAGAGTTTACCCCATAGTCCTTTTTACTGCCTTTTGCAGAACAAACGTTTAATAATGTCGCTATTGTTCATTGGTTATCAAGAAATAACTCATTGTAACTCAGAAGTGCTTAGCAAAGAATCTATCTCATATGTACTTTCTTTATTTCAAGAACTTTAAGGAGGCAGGTTTTCTACGTGTGTTCACCAAAGCGCCAAGATTTTTTTTAATATTTTGAGAAAATATTTTCAGTAAATCTGTATTCATTGAATGAAATATTAAGTGGATCCATAAAGAAGCAGATGATATAAGTCCCAGGATAACATCAGGAGAATCTGAACACAGTGTAGCTGAAGCATTTCATCACCCCCCAACAAGAAAATTGCTATTTTGCCAACTATTCTACCACATTGCAGTGTTTCTAAGATCTACATTTTTTTCACATTTATTTCTAAAAATCAAAATGTGAATTGCAGTCAACTGGTGACATCTTAGATCTGATGAGATATGGTGGTTCTCCTGGAAAAGCAAAAGTTAGTAATTTTCAGCATATCATTGGCATCCAATGTTTAACTCTGGGGGGGTCAAAAGACATCTTCAAGCACTAGTGAAGAAGACATATTTAATTTGAGGACATTTTTATTATAATTTAGTAGGTAAGTGATGTTCCTTCAAGGCATTCAAGGAACCCACTCTGGAATAGACTAAAGAGACTCTGAGTCAGTTAGTGTTGCCCACGAGGGTCACAGCCGGTCAATGGCAGACCTGGACTGAGGTTCCTGCCCAGTCTGGAGGGTCAACACAGGGTGTGTTGTCCTGCTACCTGTCAGAGCAGGCACAAAGCAAGACTCAGTGAGGCAGACCCCGATTTGCTCTGAAGCATCCTTCTATCTGGGCATTGGCAGAACTCCCAAATGAGTGGGTAAAGGTACCAAAAAAGTTCAGCCTCAAATGAGTGGGTCAGTAAGACATGAGACAGTGAAACGTTGTTCAATTGTGGGACATGGGATTGGCTTGGCAGAGTCACTCTGCTCCATGCTCAGCCTGCAGCCTCCTCCCTGGTATCAAGGCCTTCCTACTTCCAGGTTCATCTTTTGAAATACATCATTTATTTTCAAAATATACTGATGTTAATAAAAATAATGCCAAAGATATACTAAAAGTTTATTTTCTATATCTTTTGGAAAATTTATAAATTTCCATATAAAGAAAATGAAAATGTCTTTTAAATTTTTTAGCATGCAAAACCACAGTAATCCAAAGTATACATTAGTTATGAGCTAAAATTATACCATCTGAAGGTGCATTTTATGAGCAATGCATACAATGTCTATTAACAAATTATACCAACATGTTATTTGTAATACGTTAAATACTTTTACTCATAATGCTTTGTAAGCTTTAAAGGGCCCTACTTAATTAGATGGGATAAATGAACACAGCACAAACTTTCATTTTTTTTTAATGCCTTTCAGCAAGTGATCAAATTTTGAAATTTATCTCAGCGTTCTCTTTTTTCCTGCTTCCCCAAAACATGGTAATCACCTTGTATGTATACCATTGGCCTTGTCGTTGGCTGTTATTGCATAGTAGATGTTGAGTTTTTAAATTTGATATTTGATCTTGACTTAACCTAAGTCTCAGTTTCTCCCTTTGAAATGAGGATAATGATATTTACTTAGCAGAGTGTTATTAGGAGTAAATGAGACAACATATGTGAAACAAAGCAAAGCAGCCCCTTTCCTGTAATAAGTGTTCAGTAAATTGAATTTATTATTATTATTAGCTGTTGATGTTGAAGAAAAGTTATTTACTCAACACTTTTTAGGTCACACTGGTTTTTATCTACTTAATTTCTTAAAAATAATGATCTTAAGGTGAAATTCTCTTACATATTTCCTTAAAATTCATTCAGGATTTTTATCTAGCCAAAAGTGATCAGAAGTTATTTTATAGTTTGAAAGAATCTGAATTTCATTTTCAAGGAAAATGTGTCCCTCAGTTACAATGCCAAGACTACGAGTGATGATCAAGAAGTCTAACTGGTCAGTAATTAAACTTTATATTGGAAGTAGACATTTATTTGCTTAATATTCCAAAATCTGACTAAATTGTTTTCTAAATTCAAAAGGAGTTTTTGAGTAAAACAGTCAGTTGCTATTTAACCCGTAGGTCTGTAAAACCTGGCAGCCCTCTGTGGCCACATAGTCTTAAGTACAGTATAGAAGAAATACCTCCCAAGGCTTTTGTTTTATGTCTACATATTCATCTCTTTCTAAAACCGTAAGTGTAGCAACATGTGGCTGCATTTTTAACAACTTTTATTGCACTTTCATATTAAAAAGCAATATACCAGCAAAATTTTTGAAGTTTTCATTTAGGAAAATACAATCGGGCTGGGCGCAGTGGTTCACACACCTAAATCCCAGCACTTTGGGAGGCCGAGGTGGGCAGATCACCTGAGGTCAGGAGTTCGAGACCAGCCTGGCTAACATGGCAAAACCCCATCTCCACTAAAAATACAAAAATTAGTCAGCATGGTGGCGCATGCCTGTAATCCCAGCTACTTGGGAGGCTGAGGCAGGAGAATCGCTTGAACCCAGGAGGCAGAAGTTGCAGTGAGCCAAGATTGCGCCACTGCACTCCAGCCTGGGCACTCCGTCTCAGGGGAAGAAGAAAACATATTTCATAAATATTTTATCTTTTTTAACATATATTTTTACCAAAATGTAATTATTTATTCCTGTACATGCTGTTTTTTATCAAATGCTGTTTCATTTCTTATGAGTGACATAAAGCCTTTGCCGGTGATATTTTTCTCTTATAGTTATAAAATCAAAAATATGACAGAGAGTTGTACCTCTCTAGAGAATGTATAATGCAAATGGATCTTATATATAATCATATCCCCTCAGCCTTCTCATTCTTGTAAGTTCATTTGCTTCATAAATAAACTAAATAGTTTGTACTGAAACCAGAAGTTGACCTTAATATTTGTGTTGGCTGGGCACAGTGGTGCACGCCTGTAATCCCAGCACTTTGCGAGGCTAAGGCAGCAGATCGCTTGAGCTCAGGAGTTCGAAACCAGCCTGAGCAACATGGCAAAACCCTGTCTCTACAAAACAAAAAATACAAAAATTAGCCTGGTGTGGTGGCATGCCCCTGTGGTCCCAGCTACTCAGGAGGCTGAGGTGGGTGAATGATTGACCCAGAAAATGGAGGCTTCAGCAAGCTGAGATCACTTCACTGCACCCCAGCCTGGGCAACAGAATGAGATCTTGTCTCAAAAAATAATAATAATAACAAATTTAAAAATATTTCTTATAACTTTTTTTTAAATGTGCTACGGATAGATTGCATTTAAATACTTGATAAAATAGTATTGTTTAGAAATCATGATTAGCAAAACTGATTACAGCTCCTGCTCTTATCACGTCCCTGACTATGTCTAAGTTACAGAATCTTCTCAGCCATAGTCCTCACCTAAATAAGGAAACGCATTTATCCCCTTATTTGTCATTTTCCTAACTTCATCATCTATAAAGTTTTCTTAGTGATCTTTTTAAATAGCACAGCACGGTATCATGGGTAAATTAAATCTAGAGATTTGGGCCAAAGATAGGACCAAAATAACAGCATTGAATTTTCCTTGCATATTTAGTCATAATGAAACAAGGAAAAGAAACCACAGGACAGAGAAAAAGGAGAAGGAAATACAGTATTAAGCAAAAATAAATAACTTTGGAACGAGTAACAGTTCATTCTATTTGTTCTTGATTGGTAGCCTTACTTTTACTGAGCAGGTTAATTTTATTTCTCAGCAGTTTTAACTGCTTCATTCACATGGTTTATTATTTTGTGTTATTTTCTTCCATGATATGGAGTACGACAGAAGCTGTGATATCTGTTTTTTAGCAGATGAGCAGAGATTAAGTGGCCTGCCTGCACTCTGGGATTTATTTGTTAATCAGTTACAGAGCCAGCACTAAGAGCTGGATCTTCTGTCTCCTGGTCTATACTCCTTTCCATAACATGTGGTAAAGTGCTTCTCCCTTGTTCTGAAGAAATCCCTACAGGGAACCTAACACTGCCCTGATCTGGAAACAACATTGTTACCTGACAGGCCGGTTTGCCAGGGTGACCATTCTTAAGTGTTTTAGGGAGCTAGGATTAATCTTTTTTTCCCAAGAGGAAGTAGCAATAAACTGTGCACCAAAAATAACGCTTTAGCTGCTAAATTCTGCTTAGTAGGTGGTTTCCCAAAGATGATCCAATGCAATGAGTCATCCCTCTGAGCACTTACTGCACATTATTTCTTTTTACTAATCCTCGGTGCTTTTGGTTGCATGTTTTTTAACCTTTAGAGCCCTCCTGGGAGGTTCAGAGTCTTCTCACTATGAATATAAAACAGACTCTACTACATCCCCCCACATGTCCCTCTTGTCCTTTACTTCCTATACTTTTCAAATCTAAGATAATCCATCACTTAGGAGAACAGTCAGGATCATGTCCAAAGATAAAAGATCAGCAGTAAGTTTCTCCAGAGTTAGCAGCAGCTCCATCTCATTCCCAGTATAAAAATCAAAAATGTAGATGGATGTAAGTCAATGTGTAGAACCCATATCAAGAAAACTATAAAACTTGATTGAGATACATAAAAATGACTTTCCTAGATATAGAGAATATTTGATTATTAGAAAGATATTAAATATTCCATTTTCCTGAACAGGAAGATTGAATAGTTGTAAGGATATAAAAGGTTTCCAAATTAATTCATAGGTTTATGCAACTCCAGTCAGAATTCCAGTGGGATTTCCTGAAATGCATTTGGAAGAGTTAAACTGGTGAAAATAGCCAAGAATTTTTTGTTACCAAAAAAAAAAAGTTATGAAGAGAAACTCCTGCTACCAAGCACTAAAATACATTATGCAACTACAGTAATAAAAATAATGTGGTACCAGCAGAAGTGACAGACATTAATGGAACAGAATAGAGAATGAGACTTGAAACCCTAATTTAGGAAGTGATGCAATTTATCATAAATCACAAATCTGGGAGGACAGAACGGCATATGCAACAAATGAGAATAGGGTAATTGGTCAATTTCATGGGGGAAAAATGGTAACCTGATTAGATTCTCACTATTCCTCACCACAGAGCAAATGACAGATGGCTTAAAGAGTTACATATTAAAAGTGAAGCCATAAAAGAATAAAGAAACTATAGGAAGTATCTGTGACCCTAGAATGGAGATATATTTTCAAAGCATTAAGAAGTCACAAACAAAAATACTAATATATTTGATTATATAAAAATTGAAAACTTTTGTTCATCAGAAAATAAAAACACTGCCAAGTTAAAAAGCATGTGATAATCTTGGAGAAAATGAATGAATATGACAAAGGTGTAATATCCTTAATGAATAAAAGAGCTCTTAAAATTAATTGGAAAGCCACTAGCACACCCCACTGTAGCTACACTACATTCCTATCACACTGTGTACATATCACAGTGCTAAATCATTTTATACTCATAATACAGTTCAGATGACACAAGACAGTATTAGAAATTCAGATCTTATTTTCCATTCACATATTCTTTGTCCAAAGGCAGTTTAAGGAAACTAACACATTACATTATGCTATAAATACTTCAGAACAGTTTGTCCACATTGACACTTCCATTTCCTAAAATGAAACCCTCGCTGGCCCACAGAGGGAAAAAAAAAAAAAAAAGGCTAGCTTTGTTAACCAGCTTTATTTCAACAAGCACATCCACATGGTAAGAACTTCCTCTGATGAGTCATCCACAGTTGTCAAACACCAACTTTCCTTTGTTTGGCCCATGCAGAAATCAGGTCTGTGGAAGCACAGTTCAAGAGTCTGAATCATTTAATTGTGTTTTATTCATATCTGAATTTGCATCTGTCACAAACCCAATGTGTCCACCGTGAAAAATTGCATCCTTCAAATATTACTGAACAAAAAACCCTATTCAAATAGGTCTGTTCTGTCTAGATTGTCTGTGAAATTTCTGAGGAATGTTGTGGGCTCTGTTTCCTGTACCAAATTGTTGAGTTATCACACATCATTGGATTCTACCCAAAGTGTGCTGGATAGGCATATTATATTCAGACAGGATACCAGTTGTCTTTACCATTCATAAAGGAAAAAGAAAAGATTACTCCTGCTCCCTGCCATAAGATATAAACTAAGAAGTGAAAATGTGTGTACCCATAGTTTTTTTAATGTGTCCTTGATTTCTTTTCTTCACCAAGATTTGAGTTTTATTCAGTCATAGCTTTGTTATGCACTTTCTTGTCACCCTGTACTTGTTCAAAACTAAGGACTATAGTCAAGACTCAGATCCTGCCCTGGGATTGGTGCCATCTTAGCTTGTTTGGAAAAAAAAAAAAAAAAAAAAAAAGATCTTTAGAGATACCATCATATCCATTTGTATATAAAAAGAGAAAAGAATGGAAGTGATGCTGTGTAATTTATTTTCATCTATTTACTCTATTTTCCAAATTTTCCACAATGCGTATATATTTTATAATCAAGATAATCTGTTACTTTTTAAATTTTTTATTTTTAATTTTTGTGGATACATAGTAGATATATATGGGGTACATGAGATGTTTTGATATAGGTATGCAATAATTTGTTATTTTTAACAGTACCCATGATGAATCATTCAAAATATAAATTCAGTAAATAAGCTTTTTGAAAAAGTTAAACTTGCTGTTGGGCCAGTAAAATTTTATTCTGATAAAATAAATGCTAGCTTTTGTTGATTAATCACCACACTAAACTCACAATACTAGACACTGGTAGACAACATCACTGACATTCAAGGGCCAGAGCCCTTATTTATATGTTGAGCACATTATAATTTTTTAAGGAAAAAATGAGAAAATCAGTCTTTCAGTGTTTGGACTATTTTTAACCAATGATTGAATCCAATTTGAGAATATTTTTAGATCATTTGTAATGCTTTATGACTGATACTTTTGGTTCCATTTTGAGCAAAGCTTCTTTTTTTCTTTTTAAAGAAGCCACTTCAGCCAACAGACACTTCCATTTCAGAAAATGTCTAGTGATTATTTTCCCCCAAAGGCAACATGAAAACCTTCAGCCTCAGAAAGATGTCATTTTGCTGACATCCGGCTGATGTCAATATTAGAGTTTTTGCAAGAGAAAGGTGTGTGAGCATAGAGGTGATGATAATTATATACTCAAAGACACACCCACAACAGAGCCCATAAGACTCCCTTTGGCAAAAAATGTTGTATTGAAGACAAAACCAGTGGATTCAGAGGTTAAAAGTAAGAAGTAGTTTTGAGAGCCACATTTTAGTTACCGTAATGTATGTAGTATTTGCTGTTGAAATGTCTCTATTAGACAGACTTACTTTTGTATTTTCTAATTTTTATTCCTTGTATCAATGTTGCTTTGAAGTCAGCCTATCATGAGAGAAAACTTGACTCACTTAGCTAGTTCATTTTCAGAGGTGTGTGTTACTGATTAATGTAGCACTCTCTCTTGCTCCACCTACACAGCACTTCAGAATCATTCTCAACCCAGCTTACAGCCTATCGCTACCAACCAGACTGGATGAAATCTCCTTGTCATCCTATATGTGTAGGTAGCTCCACCCCAGTGACCCCCTAGTTGTGGTTGCCTCCTTAGATCCAGCACTTCCTGCAGACTATTAATTTAACCATGTAGACCTAACCATAGGCAATGCTCTTTCCCTGCAAAAGAGGCAAGGTGCGTATAGTTTTACGAAGTCATTTACTGAAAGAGAGAAATAACATCTTGAATTGTGGTATGAGGAGGGGACTCCCCCCAGTCTAGTCCCTTATTACACAGTAGCAGTGAGTTATTAGGAAAAAAGAGAATAAAACCTGTCTGTCTGGACCACTTTCATTCTGATTGTTTTGAGGTATGCTCATTTGATTTTTTTAAACAGCCTGCCCCACTGAAATAACAAAGAACTTAATTTTTTTAAAAAATTCTGTCTTCTACAGCCTCTTGCTCTGAGTCTCCTGGATAGGGTGACCAACCATCCCA
The DNA here is from genome assembly GCF_000001405.40 of Homo sapiens. Lineage (NCBI taxonomy): Eukaryota > Metazoa > Chordata > Mammalia > Primates > Hominidae > Homo > Homo sapiens. Next base: position 92,631,287 of record NC_000007.14, on the reverse strand, counting down.
GTTTGCCTGGGACAGAGAGGTTTCCCAGGACACAGCATTTTCAGTACTGACACTGGGACAATCTTGGGCAAACTGGGCTCGTTGGTTACCCTATTCCTGGGCCCTCTCCTACCCAAATGACCAGGTATTGAAGAACAACAGTGCTAAGGTTCCTACTCATGAACGAATTCCCTGGTAAAGCTTTTCCTTCTCTCCCAGGAAGGCACAGTATAAAGCAAGACTGGGAGTTGTGAGACAGAATAAGTTTATTATGTGGTATGGTGAGGTTCTAATTTGGTCGAGTGATATCTCTAGTTCAGAGTTCTGCTGCAGAGTGAAGGCAATTGATAAGCCCTGAGCCCAGTTAATAATCAGAGCCTCACTAATTAATCAGTGGCACTCATTTTGCCAGGTGTCCCTGATCGTCTCTAATCATCTATTCTGTCTCCACACCACACCATCACCCTTGCTCCAAATGACCTTCCAGCATGTTGTCATTAAAGTTTTTCAATGCTAAGCCCAATTTAAACTATAGTGAGTATTAAAGCTAGAATTTCCACAAGGGAGCAGAAGGGTTATCCAAGCTCTGTGGTTATATGAAGAGACAGAAGACAGTATTCCCCGGAGTGTTGAGCCTGCGATATCTGACTATTAAAGAAGCCCATAGTGACAGGAGTGATTCCATGGGGGTACCATATCCTTGACTTGCCTCCAATTTTTTAATAATACTAATATAAAGTCTTCACCCTTGTGAATTATAGCTTCCGAAGTTTGACTCAGATTTATTTTCCTGGTTCTAAAACTTTCTTTCATTTGCAAAGTTTTTCAGTACTTGCTAGTCGCCTAACTTCATGGTTAGAGTGAGAATTAAAATGCAATAATGCATTAGGAACCCAGCCCTTGGAAAGTGCTAAATACATCATCATTTCTTTCCCAGCCTTAAGAATCCCCCTGAACAGTGTGATTGGAGAGCAAGAGATAAGGGAGGCTTTGGAAGGGAAATAAATAAATAAATAAATAAATAAATAATGTAATTTGGCAAGAAAAAATATCAAAAAGTATATAAAATGAAGAGTTGGATCCTAGTCACAGAAAGACAAATCACATTTATTGCTGCTATAGTAGACAAGAATGTGCCAGCCCAGCTTTTTAATTTTAAAATTATGGAAGATATATTACATTCATTAATATGAAGAAGGACGTGTTACTGACTGAATGTTTGTGTCCCTCCCAAAATTCTTACATTGAAGCCCTAACCCCCAATGTGATGCTATTTGGAGATGGGGCTTTTGGGAGATTATTAGGATTAAATGAGGTCATGAGGATGGGGCTCCCATGATTGGATTAGTGCCATTATAAGAAGAGACACCAAAGAGCATACCCTCTCTCTAGCCACGTGAGTGCATAGCAAGAAGGCAGGTACAAGCCAGGAAGAGGGATCTTACCAGAACCCTACATTGTTGAGTTACCATGCTAGCACCCTGATCTCAGGCTTTCCACCCTACAGAACCACAAGAAAATTAATTTCTGTTGTTTAAGCCACCCAGTTTGCAGTACTCCATTATTGCAGCCTGAGTAGACTAAGGCAGGGAGAGATGACACTGGGAGAATAAAAATGAAATTATTTGAATATTTCAGAGAAGTAACTATTTCTTGGAAATGGGAGATACCCATTCAATTTTTGTCATAGTGATTAGAAATGACTTTTTCATCTCAACGACCGCTTAGTCTTATTTTAGTCATATGTAAAGTTGACTCAGTAAATATATTAATTTATGAGTTTTGTAATGTTTCAGAAATCTGAAGTAGTTTGGTGAGTTCTAGTTTAATTTTAATCCTCAATTTTGAGTTGAAAAATGGTAGGGTTTGTCCCTCTGCTCTCCCTCTCTTTCTTTCTCTCCATCTCTTTCTCTAGAGGAAGTTACTCATAGTCCAGTAAATATGAGCCCTCTGTGGATAAATAAATTATTCACATCGGTAACAAGGAAAAATTAATTCAGCTATTTATTTTTAAGGAAATTACCAGACTCATAGTCCCTCCTATGGACAGGGATGCCAGCACACTCTCTAACTTGTGTTAGAGACACAAGTCTTTCCTCTAAGTGGCACCTCCCTTCCCTGGCAGAGGTTTTTTCCTATCAGTCTGGGTCTCTGTGACGGAACTTCGTCTCAGATTCTTCTTTCTGCCACGGTCTTTCCTTGTCATTACTTGGGCTTTAAATTGTTTTTTTCCGTGCTCTTTCCCACCAGCCCTTCTCCCTTTCTGGACCGGTTTTACTTCAAGTGCGTCTTTCCCCTCCCCACTCTCCTTAATCCTATACCGTTTTGCCTTTGCTACACTTTTTCTCAACACTTCTCTTTCTTTGTCTTCCAGGGAGACCATCCCTAGCCTTCATACCTGGCTGAAGCAAGCACTGGAGGGCAAAGTTCCTATCCTGCTTGCCTCTTGCTGCTTCTGTGAAGGTTTTCGCAAGGTTTTGGATATAGGAGAATAATTGTCAGCCAGCCCCAGTTTTTAAATACACATTATTTGCAGGCAGATATTGTCTGGTGCCACAGGCAGATTAAAGCATAAACAGATACAACAATATAAATTGGATTTGGAGTTGGCTCTTGGTGTGTATACATCTAATCGTATATATGTACCTCTGCAGATACACCTGCTTGCACTTGAATTACCCAGAGATGAACCAAGGAAGTGAATTTTGAGACAGGAGGAGCTGAAGTTGAAGAAAAGAAGGGACAGAAAGCCTTCTTGCAGGGGGGAGCAATAACCACTCAGCATGTATTAATTGAGTTCCAATTATAGCCAAACTGGGCAGTAAATTCAGTACTCTGAATACAGAATCAAGTGAGGGTTGGCCCTGTCCTCAGAGAACTTCCAGTTTGTGTGTAGAAATCAACAGGTAAACGAATATAATAGAGTTGCCTTAGTATTAAAGTAGGGAATGAAGAAGTGAGGTGAACAGATCATATATGTGCAGTGTATGGCAAGAGGCAATGTTGTCGGGTTTTTTTTTCTTCTGATTTTAAAACTAACACTCATAAAACGCAGTATAGAAAAGTAGAAAAATGCAGAAAGCAAATCATTCATCATCTCACCATCCAAAGTGAAGTATAAGATAATAGTTTCATACCAGTGCCTTTTTTTGCATGCATAGACATTTTTGGTTTATTATTTAACCCTAATCTGATAAATCAGGTGTTTGGAAAGATTCAGATCATAACAATAGATTATCAAAACTTGCGGAGCACATGTCTCCAGACAAGTACTTGATTGAATATATGGTAAAATGTTTGTCACTATACTTTAATACCGCATGCTTAAAGCCTTTCATATATGTAGACCTAACAGTTTTCCTAGCAGTTTTTTTTTTAATTTATTTTTGTGTGTATGTGGATGGTTTCCAAATATTTAGCAGTTTTTTTACCCTCCTCCTGAATCCGTAATGTTTGCTTGGAAATATAATTTCTTAACCACCTTTTTTAACAGCTCTATCAAAATATAATTGATATAACCACACAATTCACCAATATAAATAGTACAATTCAGTGTTTTTTTCAGTTTAGCATATTCACAGAGTTGTACCACTACCACCACAGTCGATTTTAGAACATTTTTATCTCCCCAAAAAGAAACGCCATACCCATTAGCAGTCTGTCTTACTCAGCTTGGGCTGCTAACAAAATACCATGAACTGGATTGGCTTATAAACAGCAAAAAGTTCTTCCTCACAGTTCTGGAGGCTGGGAAGTCCAAGGTCAGAGCCAGTATCTGGAGAGGGTTCATTTCCTCATTCATTGATGATCGTCATCTTGCTGTGTCTTCATATGGTGAAAGGGACAAGGGAGCCTTCCAGGGTCTCTCTTATAAGGGCACTAATGCCTTTTATGACATAATTACCTCCCAAAGGCCCCAGTTCCTAATGCCATCACCTTAGGAATTAGGATTTCAACACAGGAAATTTTCAGGGGCACAGACCTTCAGTCTGTATACAGTCAGTTCCCTCAAATCCCCTAGTCCCAGGCAACCACCAGTCTACTTTCTGTTCGTATAAATTTACATTGTCTATATAAATGGAATCACATTATGTGTGGTTGTTTGTGACTGGCTTCTTTTACTGAGCATAATGGTTTCAAGGGTCCTCCAGGTAGTCTCAGTATATCATTCTTTTTATGACTCAGTGATATTCCATTGTAAGTCCATACCACATTCTGTTTATCCATTTATCAGTTGATGGACGTTAGGATTGTTTCCACTTTTTGGCTATTATGAATAATGCTGCTATAAATATTCATGTACAAGTTTTTATGTGGACCTGTATGTTAATGCTTTTGGGTATATACATAGGTATGCCAAACTACCTTTTTTGCATATTATTCATTCTCCAATTTCAGTGAAATGTTTTATATAATTTTATTATACAAGGAAAATATTTAAAACTAAATCAGTTACCTTCTAATCTCCTCTCCCCACCACCTCCATCTATCTCATTCTGCCAGACTTTACTAATAATATAATACAAACTTAAAATCATGCTTCTCCTCTCAAGTCATGTTCACATTTCCATCAAGTTCTGATCATCTTCTTCTAAATGTCTTTGCATCTCTAGCCATTTCCTTGTCCCACCTAGTTGAGGCCCTTGTCATCTTACTTGTACACTGACTTCCCAGTTGACCTCCTTGGCTTGGTTTCCATCCCTTCTTATTGACTCAGTAAACCCCTGCCAAATTAGTCTTTCTAAAACACTTTTTCTATATTGCTGTTCATTGAAGTCAGACAAATCAGCTTAGCCACTTACTCATCTGTGTTTCCTTAGATGTTACTTTACTTCCCATCTGTAAAAGTAAGTTAATCAAACCACTTCCTAACATTCTATTAAGATGAAACGATTACCGCGACTTCTGTCTCCCACTGGTAAAATGAGGTAAACTTCTATTCGGTGATTCTGCATTTGTATATCTTGTCTCCTTGTCTCCTGCTATTAATGTATAAATACATATTATATGTATATCATATGACTTACATTATATGTATATTACATACATTATAATTATATACTTTGAAATGTAATTTATATTTTTTATATGTGTATTTTTTAGTATTTCCCAGCACCAATTACAGCCGCATGTACTTACTGGGTAATCAGTCAATTAGTGTGTACTAAGTAGATCAGTTAATTGATTTTCTGCTTCATCCAGTTATTTGAATAGGTGGTAATTGTAAGGTGATAAGTTAACAATTTTAACTTAACTGATAACAACTCTAGAATAGAATGTGGTAATGAGTATAAAATAATAGATATTCTCCAGTAATATTTTTTTGAAAGATCACTTTATGAACATGGAAAATTCTTCCACTAATCAAGAAAAATAGCTGTCAAAGCATAGCTGCAGGTCAAATACAGGTTACAAAGGTGTTCTATAGGTTAACCCATGACTTCCTTGTCTTTTGAGTACAATGAAATTATTGTAACTAAATGAAACTTTCATCCCCTGTTATGCATGAATCATTTCCTTTCTATAACAGACATACCAGTATACACTTCTCATCTGTTAAAAAACATACCCAACTTCTAAATGTTGTTTGCCACTGTTACTGAGATTACAAATGATATCTATGCATTTTTGAGTTGTTTTTTTAAAAAGGCATATAATCTGAAACTTAGTCCCCTTGGTAATTTGACCTGAGAAAATTTATCTCACTGATAGACTTAAATACTTGGTGAGGTTTTTGGTTTTTTTTGTTTTGTTTTGTTTTGTTTTGTTTTTTTTTGCAAAACTGCATACAGGAAGTGATATTGCCAATTCAGAATTAATTAATCCTTATTGAAAAATGTGGCATTCATCCTTTAGAAAATTCTTTTCTTGATAAAGTTGTAAGAGCTGTAACATGTAAGCAATATTTAGTGACCCCAGAGGAAAGACTGTTAGACTTAAATGTGACTTGGACCTCACCACATGGTGGCAAATGGTTCCTTCCTTTCTACTTCACTGTGTGAAATACTTTACATGATTATCTGTATAATATTGGCCAGGAATAAGAGAGGTGTGTGTGTGTGTGTGTGTGTGTGTGTGTGTGTGTGTGTTTAGTTACCACTTAATTGTAACTCTGCTATAAGCTGGGCATTCTAGTAGATGAGATATATTCATAATCTCACTTAGTTGATCCTATGAGGTAAGTATCATTCTTTCCATTTTACAAATGAAGCAACTAAGTCAAAGAAATTAAGAGACTTTCCTAAGATCATATAGGAAGAAACAGCTAAATAGAGATTCACTCCCAGGACAGTCCATCGCCAAACAGACCCTTTCCCCAGTCAAAAAAAAATCTTGAAAAATCAGCATGTTAACTAAAAAGAAATAAAAGGAGAGGGGAATATTATGCCCTTAATTAAGCCATGTAACATCTCCAGTACTCAGTTTCCTCATCTGAAAATAGGGATAATTGTACTACTACATTTCTCCTGGAATTTTTGTGAGAATCAAATGAGATTATGTTTGGGGCACTTGGCACTAGGCCAGATACAACATTCATGCTCAATAAATTATAATTGTTAAGATTCCATTTTTTGCCTTTTTTTGGAAGTTTTAGAAAAAAACTTGGACTTCTCACCTTGTCATCTTTTAAGACCTGTCAAGATGTCTTTCAGAGCGCAACTTCGTGATTCTTTATGAATTTGGCTGCATTAGTGATATGCAGGTGGCTTATATTAGTTTTATAGGACTGCTGCAACAAAATACCAGACTGGATTGCTTAACCAACAAAAGCTTATTTTCTCACAGTTCTGGAGGCTGGAAGTCCAAGATGAAGGTGTCAGCAGGTTTGGTTTCTTCTGAGGGCTCTCTTTTAGGCTTACCTTCTCATGGTTCTCACATGTTTATTTCTCTGTGTGCATGTGCACCCCTGATGTCTCTTTGTGTCCAAATGGCTTCTTCTTACAAGGAAAACAGTCAGATTTGATTAGGGCCCACCCTATCTTATTTTAATTACTTGTTTAAAGGCTCTATCTCCAAATACAGTTAAATTCGGAGATCTTGGGAGTTGGGCTTCAACATGAATTTGGGGGAAAAAAATTCAGCCCATCACCTTGCAATAAGTAAATTCTTTTCCACTGCATTTGGAAATCATTATTTTCAGGAATAGTAACATTCATAGAAAGTATGGTTGAGAAACGTTAAGGTGTGTTCTAACCACTGAAATGCTATGACTGCAGGATTCTCCATATATGGCCATATATAGTGAGTTCATTTATTGTGCACAGAAAATATTTAAGAGGTCAAGTTTAAGGCTGTATAATTTGATATATAATATAAAAAGAGATATGATACCTGATAATAGACTACAACTATTTTAGTACATTAATGTTGAAAATTACCTGTTTATGGCATTTGTTGAGGAAGGAATCAGGGAACGTTTACTTGTGTACCATAGGTGTATGCAAAATGAAATAAAATGTTTAGTAACTGCATCTGTCAGAGTAAAGCTCTATGGCAGGGATTTATAGGGAAACCTAGAGAAGTCTCCTCCCTCAAGGGGCTACTTGATCTTCTTGGAGAAATGCCAGAAATGTCACAAAATGACCTTTTTTAATTGCCAGTTAAATGCTCAATGTAGACAAGGAAGGCTGTGTGTTTGAAGCAGACACAATTGCCTCTAAAGCCCAGAGTTAAGATTTAGAACTTGTAATGGTTAGCTGCCATAATATTGGGAGGAAGAAAAGTGGTATAATTAGAAAAATAGACCCAGAGGTGGTTCACTGCAGCATTGAGGACAAATGAAAGGAGAGAGACCCATGAGGAAGTACTCTGATAGCAGAGTAGTATGGAAAAAGTGCTCTGAGAAATATCAAAGAATCTCACCTATTTATGGTTCGAGACTAGGATGGTGGTATGTTCCACCTTATCACGAAGTTAAGCAGATCTTTGAAACCTGGAACTGAATTTGACGGTAGCACTGTTGTAAGAATGACTGCAAACAGAATGCCCGTGATTGTAAAACATGGAATTCATCTACCACCAGGTATTCATGAGAGATCCTAACCCATACATGAAATGCAGGGAAAACCTTCACTTACCAAAGGAAAAATGTCTCAATTTTTTTTACTTCTTCCCAACCCATAAAGAATATTTTGCTTCCTGTGAAACAATGATAATGGCAAATATGATTGAAATGTAATCTGAGAACATTTCTTATTTAAAATGTATCTTTATTCTTTTAGGCCTCTTTTTCGTGGAAGTTCAGATGTTGATCAACTAGGAAAAATCTTGGAGTAAGTAATAATTATAATTTTACACCAGTGTCCATAGCATTAAAACATTTACAGTGACTTTCCTCTGACATGCATATCATGTGTTTATCTCTTGTCTTTCTTACTTCAAGCAGCTGCTGCAGACAGTGTTACTATTTGTGTGGTGAGTGGAGACATGGTAGAAGTGCCGTTTTATGCAGAGCCCTAACTGCTCTGCTCTGGAAGCTTGTATGTTGCTTGTGTGGATCTTTTTGCTGCTCCTCTTTCTTCGTGTGGCTGAGCTCCAGTTCTTTTAGTTCAAATACATTTTCTGCTTGTGGTCATTTCAAAAGCACCCACCATCAGAGATGGGATGCCTGGTGACCAAGTACCCATCCTTGTCCAGTGAGCTTCCTGTCCCCACTGAGTATCCTTGGTCACCCAGGTTGGTTCTGCGTTGTTTTGTTTTGTTTTCCTGGGCGAAGGATGGTATGCTACACATCTCATTTTTCTTTGGAGCACCAAAATAGAAAATGAGAACCCTAAGTCTTTGGCAAAATAACTCTGCAACTTTGAGAAAGTCATTTAAAACACCTCGTGAAGGGCTTACACAGTGCCTGGCACATAGTAAGCACTTTAAAAAGTTATCTATTACTGTTACTATTAGAGTTCATCATTAATTATTTAACCTTTTATTTCCTTAACTTCATCTGAGAAATGAAACTCTGACTTAAATTCTCTATAAGATCCTTTCTTGTGCTCAAATTCTTTGGTTTCAGTTACATCGCTCCTTGATGATTTACATAGTTTCATTCATGTCTGCATGTTCATGCATGTATGCATTCATGTTTCTAGAATGTAACTGGGGCACTTCTTCTGACAAAGCATGCAGTGTGGCATCCTTTTTTGGTTTTTTGTGTTTGAAAGGCCCATCCAAATTGGAGTGGAGTAGGAAAAAAGTGGGAGTTCTAGACCAAAAATAGCCCTGATCTTTGGTCTGTGACATTTTATAGGAATCCCAGTGATTTTTATGAAATTCGAAGTCTGTAAGACTGAAAAAAAAAAAAAAACCACCCCTAAAGAACAGATTTTCATATCAGCACTGTCTACTCAAGCGTGACTGCTTAAAACAGTTAATAAAACTGGAACCTGATTTTGTTCTTTTAGTGACTAGAAGCAGCTAGACTTCTGTTAATGCCAGTGCTACTGCTGAGTCAGAACATAGTAGCTTTAAGGCCTGAATAACATTTGCTAGTTTTTTATGCCTGGGGGCTTCCTGGGTCCAGGGCAGGTGATGCTACTGCTCCTACTACTGACCACTCTGTACAGTGGATAAATTCAACACAAAGCCTTCATGTTACCCCTGCTTCTGAATGGCAAGTTATTTAATCACTCGATGAACTCCCATCTATTTTTCCCCATGACTGTTGAATATATTTTGTGTGCATGTGATCATAAAGAGGAAACTAGGGAAAGCAGACATACTGATGACCTTCTGTTAAAAGGAAAGAGAATCTTGACTAAAGTCAGCTTGCCAGGACTTGAAAGCCATCACCTTCTTTCCCTTATTTATACTACCTGACAGTTGTGTCTACCTCCAGCACTGATGTCTGCAATCTTGTTAACATTGTTAGTGCCCCCTTAGTACATGAGGCCAGTGAAATGGACCAGAAGGAACATTTGACCGGCATGTTTGACCTGCTTCCAAAGAAAAGCCAGTTCTGCTTTTGGCAAAGTCCTGACAATCGTAGGTTGCCAACAGCAAAGAAGCTGTAGAGTTCTATGGTTTGTGCCTTTAGATTTTACTTTGTGGTTTCTGGCATTGTGTCATCAAAATTATGTTCTGTTTCCTCTGAATGCATTACCTTGCCAGAGAAAAGGGACAATGCTGCACCCTAGCGTCACTGCTGAAGTACTTGAAAAAATATTTCTGTCTCCTCCATCACTGCCATTTATAGATTTTGTGCCCTGTTGGGCTTGCCAATATAAATGTCAACTTTTAAGGCTTATATTCAGCAGTCCAAATAGTGGAATTAAGTGCAAGCATTTTTAATGGACCTATCAGAATTTCACAACACATATTTGGGCCATAAAAGTTCATTCTGGACATGAAACCAAATTTTTTTTAAGGAAAGCCATATTCACATACTCTTTTTTATTTTTTTCTTTGGAGACAAGGTCTTGCCCTGTTGTCCAGGCTGGAGTACAGTGGTGCGATCTTGGCTCACTGAAGCCTTGGCCTTCCGAGCTCAAGTAATCCTCCTATCTAAGCCTCCCAAGTAGCTGGGACTACAGGCACAGGGCACCACAACCAGCTAATTTTTATATTTTTTATAGAGATGGAGTTTCACCATGTTGCCCAGGCTGGTCTTGAACTCCTGGGGTCAAGTGGTCCACTTGCCTCGGCCTTCCAAACTGCTGGGATTACAGCCACCCCACCTGGTCCATGTTCACATACTCTTAAAGGGAAAAACATTTCTGTGTTTAGGAAGATTTAAGCCTTCAAGTAATAGCAAGTATTAAAAGTGAAACAATAGTTTTAGCCTGTGACATCTTAGAGCATTTTTAAGAATGATGTCATAGCTAAATGGAAATAAAATATTGGAATAGAGAGAACGGAACTCACTCTGGACTCTGTGACTGAGCTTGCTATCTGTGACTTTGGCAGTTCATTTTATTCCTCATTCTCAATTTCCCCATCTATAAAATGAGACTAATAACACCTGACTTACATGTCTTAGGAAATTATTACAGGAATCAGAGGAGGTGATAGACTTAAAGTTTTATATATATAGTTATGTGTTTGTTTAAAATTTTATATAAAATTATATAAAGTTATTTGTATATGTACACACATACAAACAGAGATGTGCTGTTCCTCTGAAGGCTTTTGGCATTCAGTTGATCATATACTTGCAAGATGTAATTAGATGTAGATACATTCAAAGCCACAAATAAAAAAGATTTTAAATATTTCTAGGAGTTATTAATATAATCAATTTCTAGCTGACTGGTGAATATACACAAAAATATTGATACACATAGACCTGACAACTAAAAAGGAATGAAAGGAAATTTTTAAAGCTCTCTAACAAGCATTTTTCATTCCCTCCTCTGCCCTGTCCCATTGTATCCAGACACTTACACGTGCATTTCTTTTCATAATTAATAGTGGTATTTTTGGTTTTTTTCTTTTTACTTCTATTGTAGGCTGTACTATTGAACAAATCTATATATTGCTCATTGTCATTTCTATTTATTGCTTCTAGTAAATATGTCCATGAATCTGTCTTTGCCTCAATAATGTAGCTCTCTCAGTATGCCTGATAGAGGCCGAATTACAGTGTCTTCCCCAGACACCCAGGCAGAGAAGCCATGATGACAGGGTTATCTTCCCAGCTGAAGTCTATGGCCTGGGCTCCGTGTAGGTGAGGGAAGGGGAAATGAAGTGCTACAGATCTTGAGACCTGTACCACATCTTCCTGAAATCTGGAAGTACATTCATAAGAACACCTCTTCCTGGGCCTTAGTCCCAACAAGTAGAGGCCAAGCAGAAGACCCTAATGTGGGCCAGCACAATTTCTAACTGTAGTTAAAATTATTTGTTCCAGTATTTGAATAGCTATGTACCCCGTCCACTAAACTATGATTTTATTTTTGGTTCAGAGTTATACAGTCTGTGTGAGAAAGAAGTCCCTGCATCCTCTGATTTTCTCTGTTCAAACCTACTTACGACCTATATGTAAACTATAAATAATATCTATACAATGTATAAGTTATGTAAGTCCATTGACCCATTAATTTTTTAAAGAATCTTAAGTTATACATAGATACAAGCAGTTCATATTTTAAGTGTGGTAGTGATGTATTTCCTATGCATCTTGTATTAATAACATTTTCTAATTATAATAATAGTAGGCAGTGTATTGATTGATAATTGACTGTGTGTGATGTATATCAGGTGCTGTGCTTTGTACTTTAAATTATAAATTTATATATTACTATAAATTCAAATAAAGTATAACTGATCCTCATTACAACTGTAAGTTATTATCATTGTATACATAAAGACACTAAGGGTCATAGATGTTAAGTAATTTGTCCTTACCTGCCAGTAAGTGGCAGGTGCAGGATTTGAACCCAAATCTGCCTATTTCCGAAGCCTGTGCTTATCACTTGCTGTTCTTTCCACATTTCTGATCCCAGAATGGTTTTCAGGGGAAATATAAATAATAGTCTTTTAATTTACTGTTTGCTCACTTTGGAATACCACAGACTTCCTTTTATAAAATCATGTTTGTATAATGCAGGACTAGCACGTTTTAGCCTCATTTTTCCTTCTGATTCTAATGTATATATTTAATATGTAGGGAATTGCTCTTTAACCAAAAATGCAACCAAATTGATATGTTAATAAACCATGTTGGATGAGCATCATAAAATCATGTCAATACTGGGGTGTTCGATCAAAACACAAAAAGCATTCTTGGACATAAAGGAAGATATGTACCAGTATGGGTCTCCTCTGAATACAATAAGTCCTGCTTTGTCACTAAGTCAGAGCTTACTGCCTGGTAATATATTTTCTATTTCTACATCATCCCTTACATTTAGTGTCTGCTACCAGAGCAATCTCTTATCTCCTCCCACTGAATTTTACAATTCTTCTGTGAGATTACCCTCTCCCCCATGGCCACCATATTGCAGTAGGACAGAGATAAACAGAGACCCTGCCAGTGATAAAGTGAAGGTCTCCTGGGACTCTGCCCCCCATGTCTCCCCCTTAGATTTTGCCTTTCTCTGGAAATTGATGAGAAAACAGCTTCTGCATAGTAGCTAATGCTTATGTCCATGTGTGGTTCTTTTGTAGCGTGATTGGACTCCCAGGAGAAGAAGACTGGCCTAGAGATGTTGCCCTTCCCAGGCAGGCTTTTCATTCAAAATCTGCCCAACCAATTGAGAAGTTTGTAACAGATATCGATGAACTAGGCAAAGACCTACTTCTGGTAAGTTTTTCTGATGTCAAGCTCGTCTGCACTGTGCCAGTGAGACACCTGCTCTACCCAGACTGGGTGGTGGGCACAAATATCAGTTCAGTAGCTGCTATAGGCATCACATGCCACAGCCACATGGAGCAGGAGGCAACAGTCCCTCCAGAGGTTTCATTTTCACACTTGTAGCAGCTGGTGGCTTTTGATTCTGGAATGTCTTTCTGATCCACATTTTTTTAAATCTGCCATCTTTGAATGTTTATTTCAATGCAGGTTTAGAAGCCTCTCGATTCACTTTGACATATGTTTCTTTAGAAGTAAATATTATGTTTCCTTTCTTACAGTTTCATGCTACTTTAAGTAATTTGTTTGTCATTTTAACGTGCCTTTTCTTAAACATTCACAACTTTGGGGAGATGTTTTTCCAAAAGAACTATATAGCAATACTTCTTCTAGTTGCTGATTTATTTAATAAGTATTTAGTGTGCCAGGGACATATAAAATACCTCACTGAAAATAAGGACTTCTGTGCTCTGAGACTCTTAATGCTCAACCATATACATAATTTCCTATACTTGGAGGCCAGAACAATAGGTAGAAAAGTGTACCTGTTGGGCTGTTCTTGATGTCTGAAACCCAGTGAGTAATGAGTGTCTGCTTTACCTCCTGAATTAACAGCCTTTGATATCTGCTTCTGCCCGTGGGTGAAGCACAGGTCTTCTCCATGTGTCTCATGCTGGGGCCCATGCCAGAGAGGCAGCAGCTCCCTGGGGCATGTTTTTCTCATGATAGAAGGTATCGATGCTCCAGAAGGGCAAGCAGAAATATGCAATGCCCCTGAAGGTCCATACTTGGAAGAAGTACCCGCCACTCTGCCCATGTTCCATTGGCCAAAGCAAGTTCCATGCCTAAGGCCAACTTGAATGGAGGAAAGAATGCTCCCCCTATGGTGAGAGGGGAGAGAAAAGAGGGAATATGTACTAAAAGTTATCCAATCTACCATAGTATCCAACTCTTGACTAAGTTGTGATTCCAAAAGCTCATTTTATAAGTAAACTATTTGGCAATTAAACTAAATTTTCTTGCAGAAACAATATTATTAACACAAAGTTTTTTAATTAACCCTCAACCTGGCAACCTTGTTCCTGAAGTAGAGCAATAATAGAACTTAAACACCTTTTTTTTAACCATATTTCTATAGGACAAAATGTATTAAGACTTCCAACGTGAGATTCTCCCACACCCCCACATTTGGCTAAGGTGTTCTCCTTCTCTCCACCCTCTTCCCAGCTTTAAGCCATCAGTGTAGCTGTGAGGAAAGGGCTTCCTCTCACATAATCCTCTAGAGACATGTCTCTGTATTGTGAATGTATTCCCACAGCTCTTTTCTCTTCTTTCCTATGTCCTGGAGATTAAATGCCACTACCTAATTTTCTCCTTCTTGGGCTCTGGGAAAAGAGAACTCAGGCTCAGGAATTTTGCCCCTGCTTTCCGGTCCTTTGGGAATTCAGCCCTTGCAAAGCTTTTCTAGAGATGTTTCTTGCTGTTAGAGACAGTTGGAACCTTTCTACAGACAAGCTCTTTCTTCCACTTGCCCTTTAGCTCTTGATGTTCAGAAGATCCTATAGGGAGGCTAGCAACCATGGACTGATGGGGATCTCAGGATAAATCAGATTTCAGAGGACCCAAGAATTTGCCTGAAATTACACATAGAACTTTCTGTTTGTATTTGTTTTTCTAGGTCAGTAGCCTTCGATAGAATATTAGAGAGGTCCCTAATCCAGTTGGAACCTGACTAGGACTGTGAGCAGGAGTCCTATTAATATCATGGTTATGCAGACCTCTTAAGTGGAAGAGGTCTTCCATTAACCATGATAATGTGAAGTCTGTAAATTACATAGAAGACTGGAATGCATAGACATTTCATATACCCAGTTCACTTTAGGATGGAGAAGCCAGTGTGGCTTCCCTGCTACTTGTGAGCTCCTGTGGCAATGAGGAGGTCTTACTCATCACTAATTAGTGCTTGCCACCTGCTAGGCACCCAGCAGGAGGCGTTGATGGAAGGAGAGGAGGAGGATTTGAGTAACAAGATTACCTGAGGTAGGGGTGGAAATGAGACTGAAATTAGGGACACATTCTAACTAATTTAGGTATGGACAGTTTGGGAATAGAGATTGCTGCTACTGCAAAGGTTTCCCTTTCCCTCCTTTCACCTTCTACCTCAGTAGCTCAGCCAAACTGCCCAAACCACTTGACTAGGACCAGGAGCTTCTTAAGCGCAGGCACCAGCTCATTCACCTTGGTAGCCCTACACTTGAGCTGTCAGCCTGGAATAGAGTTTAGTGACTCGAACTGAATCTAATGGTCCCCTGAGAGAGCTACTGCTAGCCATGTGGCACCTTGGTATTAATTAAAAGGAAGATAGCCCTGCCTCTGAGTGGTGTAGCCTTGAGGCAGGATAATAAGTTACGGTGAAGTCTCCGACTGTAGCACTAAGTTTGCTAGCACTGGAAGAATTACTAAATAAAGTTATATGCATACTTTAATGGCTTAGTGAGAAATCCTGGGCAGGAAACAGTCCATAGGCACCCAAAAGGGTCTTCTCCTGAGGGACATTTTATACATTAGGGATATATATGAGTACTGTCTCCATATTATTTAGTGTCCCTTTAAATAAATACTCATTCCCACTGTAGATGCGCTTAACATATGACAGTGAATAAAGGGATAACTCTGTAAGTACATTATTTACATTGATGTATTGTATATCAACCAATTATTTTTTTCTTTATTACAGAAGTGTTTGACATTTAACCCAGCCAAAAGAATATCTGCCTACAGTGCCCTGTCTCACCCATACTTCCAGGACCTGGAAAGGTGCAAAGAAAACCTGGATTCCCACCTGCCGCCCAGCCAGAACACCTCGGAGCTGAATACAGCCTGAGGCCTCAGCAGCCGCCTTAAGCTGATCCTGCGGAGAACACCCTTGGTGGCTTATGGGTCCCCCTCAGCAAGCCCTACAGAGCTGTGGAGGATTGCTATCTGGAGGCCTTCCAGCTGCTGTCTTCTGGACAGGCTCTGCTTCTCCAAGGAAACCGCCTAGTTTACTGTTTTGAAATCAATGCAAGAGTGATTGCAGCTTTATGTTCATTTGTTTGTTTGTTTGTCTGTTTGTTTCAAGAACCTGGAAAAATTCCAGAAGAAGAGAAGCTGCTGACCAATTGTGCTGCCATTTGATTTTTCTAACCTTGAATGCTGCCAGTGTGGAGTGGGTAATCCAGGCACAGCTGAGTTATGATGTAATCTCTCTGCAGCTGCCGGGCCTGATTTGGTACTTTTGAGTGTGTGTGTGCATGTGTGTGTGTGTGTGTGTGTGTGTGTGTGTGTATGTGAGAGATTCTGTGATCTTTTAAAGTGTTACTTTTTGTAAACGACAAGAATAATTCAATTTTAAAGACTCAAGGTGGTCAGTAAATAACAGGCATTTGTTCACTGAAGGTGATTCACCAAAATAGTCTTCTCAAATTAGAAAGTTAACCCCATGTCCTCAGCATTTCTTTTCTGGCCAAAAGCAGTAAATTTGCTAGCAGTAAAAGATGAAGTTTTATACACACAGCAAAAAGGAGAAAAAATTCTAGTATATTTTAAGAGATGTGCATGCATTCTATTTAGTCTTCAGAATGCTGAATTTACTTGTTGTAAGTCTATTTTAACCTTCTGTATGACATCATGCTTTATCATTTCTTTTGGAAAATAGCCTGTAAGCTTTTTATTACTTGCTATAGGTTTAGGGAGTGTACCTCAGATAGATTTTAAAAAAAAGAATAGAAAGCCTTTATTTCCTGGTTTGAAATTCCTTTCTTCCCTTTTTTTGTTGTTGTTATTGTTGTTTGTTGTTGTTATTTTGTTTTTGTTTTTAGGAATTTGTCAGAAACTCTTTCCTGTTTTGGTTTGGAGAGTAGTTCTCTCTAACTAGAGACAGGAGTGGCCTTGAAATTTTCCTCATCTATTACACTGTACTTTCTGCCACACACTGCCTTGTTGGCAAAGTATCCATCTTGTCTATCTCCCGGCACTTCTGAAATATATTGCTACCATTGTATAACTAATAACAGATTGCTTAAGCTGTTCCCATGCACCACCTGTTTGCTTGCTTTCAATGAACCTTTCATAAATTCGCAGTCTCAGCTTATGGTTTATGGCCTCGATTCTGCAAACCTAACAGGGTCACATATGTTCTCTAATGCAGTCCTTCTACCTGGTGTTTACTTTTGTTACCTAAATAATGAGTAGGATCTTGTTTTGTTTTATCACCAGCACACAGATTGCTATAAACTGTTACTTTGTGAATTACATTTTTATAGAAGATATTTTCAGTGTCTTTACCTGAGGGTATGTCTTTAGCTATGTTTTAGGGCCATACATTTACTCTATCAAATGATCTTTTCTCCATCCCCCAGGCTGTGCTTATTTCTAGTGCCTTGTGCTCACTCCTGCTCTCTACAGAGCCAGCCTGGCCTGGGCATTGTAAACAGCTTTTCCTTTTTCTCTTACTGTTTTCTCTACAGTCCTTTATATTTCATACCATCTCTGCCTTATAAGTGGTTTAGTGCTCAGTTGGCTCTAGTAACCAGAGGACACAGAAAGTATCTTTTGGAAAGTTTAGCCACCTGTGCTTTCTGACTCAGAGTGCATGCAACAGTTAGATCATGCAACAGTTAGATTATGTTTAGGGTTAGGATTTTCAAAGAATGGAGGTTGCTGCACTCAGAAAATAATTCAGATCATGTTTATGCATTATTAAGTTGTACTGAATTCTTTGCAGCTTAATGTGATATATGACTATCTTGAACAAGAGAAAAAACTAGGAGATGTTTCTCCTGAAGAGCTTTTGGGGTTGGGAACTATTCTTTTTTAATTGCTGTACTACTTAACATTGTTCTAATTCAGTAGCTTGAGGAACAGGAACATTGTTTTCTAGAGCAAGATAATAAAGGAGATGGGCCATACAAATGTTTTCTACTTTCGTTGTGACAACATTGATTAGGTGTTGTCAGTACTATAAATGCTTGAGATATAATGAATCCACAGCATTCAAGGTCAGGTCTACTCAAAGTCTCACATGGAAAAGTGAGTTCTGCCTTTCCTTTGATCGAGGGTCAAAATACAAAGACATTTTTGCTAGGGCCTACAAATTGAATTTAAAAACTCACTGCACTGATTCATCTGAGCTTTTTGGTTAGTATTCATGGCTAGAGTGAACATAGCTTTAGTTTTTGCTGTTGTAAAAGTGTTTTCATAAGTTCACTCAAGAAAAATGCAGCTGTTCTGAACTGGAATTTTTCAGCATTCTTTAGAATTTTAAATGAGTAGAGAGCTCAACTTTTATTCCTAGCATCTGCTTTTGACTCATTTCTAGGCAGTGCTTATGAAGAAAAATTAAAGCACAAACATTCTGGCATTCAATCGTTGGCAGATTATCTTCTGATGACACAGAATGAAAGGGCATCTCAGCCTCTCTGAACTTTGTAAAAATCTGTCCCCAGTTCTTCCATCGGTGTAGTTGTTGCATTTGAGTGAATACTCTCTTGATTTATGTATTTTATGTCCAGATTCGCCATTTCTGAAATCCAGATCCAACACAAGCAGTCTTGCCGTTAGGGCATTTTGAAGCAGATAGTAGAGTAAGAACTTAGTGACTACAGCTTATTCTTCTGTAACATATGGTTTCAAACATCTTTGCCAAAAGCTAAGCAGTGGTGAACTGAAAAGGGCATATTGCCCCAAGGTTACACTGAAGCAGCTCATAGCAAGTTAAAATATTGTGACAGATTTGAAATCATGTTTGAATTTCATAGTAGGACCAGTACAAGAATGTCCCTGCTAGTTTCTGTTTGATGTTTGGTTCTGGCGGCTCAGGCATTTTGGGAACTGTTGCACAGGGTGGAGTCAAAACAACCTACATATAAAAAGAGAAAAAGAGAAACTTGTCCATTTAGCTTTCATAAGAAATCCCATGGCAAAGGGTAATAAAAAGGACCTAATCTTAAAAATACAATTTCTAAGCACTTGTAAGAACCCAGTGGGTTGGAGCCTCCCACTTTGTCCCTCCTTTGAAGTGGATGGGAACTCAAGGTGCAAAGAACCTGTTTTGGAAGAAAGCTTGGGGCCATTTCAGCCCCCTGTATTCTCATGATTTTCTCTCAGGAAGCACACACTGTGAATGGCAGACTTTTCATTTAGCCCCAGGTGACTTACTAAAAATAGTTGAAAATTATTCACCTAAGAATAGAATCTCAGCATTGTGTTAAATAAAAATGAAAGCTTTAGAAGGCATGAGATGTTCCTATCTTAAATAAAGCATGTTTCTTTTCTATAGAGAAATGTATAGTTTGACTCTCCAGAATGTACTATCCATCTTGATGAGAAAACTCTTAAATAGTACCAAACATTTTGAACTTTAAATTATGTATTTAAAGTGAGTGTTTAAGAAACTGTAGCTGCTTCTTTTACAAGTGGTGCCTATTAAAGTCAGTAATGGCCATTATTGTTCCATTGTGGAAATTAAATTATGTAAGCTTCCTAATATCATAAACATATTAAAATTCTTCTAAAATATTGCTTTTCTTTTAAGTGACAATTTGACTATTCTTATGATAAGCACATGAGAGTGTCTTACATTTTCCAAAAGCAGGCTTTAATTGCATAGTTGAGTCTAGGAAAAAATAATGTTAAAAGTGAATATGCCACCATAATTACTTAATTATGTTAGTATAGAAACTACAGAATATTTACCCTGGAAAGAAAATATTGGAATGTTATTATAAACTCTTAGATATTTATATAATTCAAAAGAATGCATGTTTCACATTGTGACAGATAAAGATGTATGATTTCTAAGGCTTTAAAAATTATTCATAAAACAGTGGGCAATAGATAAAGGAAATTCTGGAGAAAATGAAGGTATTTAAAGGGTAGTTTCAAAGCTATATATATTTTGAAGGATATATTCTTTATGAACAAATATATTGTAAAAATTTATACTAAGGTCATCTGGTAACTGTGGGATTAATATGGTCGAAAACAAATGTTATGGAGAAGCTGTCCCAAGCAAACTAAATTACCTGTACTTTTTTCCCATTTCAAGGGAAGAGGCAACCACATGAAGCAATACTTCTTACACATGCCTAAGAACGTTCATTGAAAAAATAAATTTTTAAAAGGCATGTGTTTCCTATGCCACCAATACTTTTGAAAAATTGTGAACCTTACCCAAAACCATTTATCATGTCCATTAAGTATATTTGGGTATATAATTAGGAAGATATTTACATGTTCCATCTCCACAGTGGAAAAACTTATTGAGGCTACCAAAGTGTGCCAAGAAATGTAAGTCCTTAGAGTAATTAGAAATGCTGTTTTCCTCAAAAGCATGAGAAACTAGCATTTTCATTTCTTATTTACTCCCTTTCTATATCAATGCAATTCACAACCCAATTTTAATACATCCCTATATCTCAAGCATTTCTATCTTGTACTTTTTCAGAAAATAAACCAAAAATAATCCTTTGGTCTCTCTATCTTCTGACCTTTGTAAGCAACAGAAATGTAAAAACAGAAGGGGTCCAATTTTTACACGTTTTTTTCTCAAGTAGCCTTTCTGGGGATTTTTATTTTCTTAATGAAGTGCCAATCAGCTTTTCAAAATGTTTTCTATTTCTCAGCATTTCCAGGAAGTGATAACGTTTAGCTAAATGAGTAGAAGTGGACTTCCTTCAACATATTGTTACCTTGTCTAGCCTTAGGAAGAAAACAAGAGCCACCTGAAAATAAATACAGGCTCTTTTCGAGCATCTGCTGAAATACTGTTACAGCAATTTGAAGTTGATGTGGTAGGAAAGGAAGGTGACTTTTCTTGCAAAAGTCTTTCTAAACATTCACACTGTCCTAAGAGATGAGCTTTCTTGTTTTATTCCGGTATATTCCACAAGGTGGCACTTTTAGAGAAAAACAAATCTGATGAAGACTAAAGAGGTACTTCTAAAAGAGATTTCATTCTAACTTTATTTTTCTGCGCATATTTAACTCTTTCCTAGCACTTGTTTTTTGGGATGATTAATAGTCTCTATAATGTTCTGTAACTTCAATATTTTACTTGTTACCTAGGTTCTGAACAATTGTCTGCAAATAAATTGTTCTTAAGGATGGATAATACACCCATTTTGATCATTTAAGTAAAGAAAGCCTAGTCATTCATTCAGTCAAGAAAAAATTTTTGAAGTACCCAGTTACCTTACTTTTCTAGATTAAAACAGGCTTAGTTACTAAAAAGGCAGTCCTCATCTGTGAACAGGATAGTTTCGTTAGAAGTATAAAACTCCTTTAGTGGCCCCAGTTAAAACACACATACCCTCTCTGCTGCTTTCAAATTCCCTAGCATGGTGGCCTTTCAACATTGATTAAATTTTAAAATCCTAATTTAAAGATCAGGTGAGCAAAATGAGTAGCACATCAGTAATTCAGTAGACAAAACTTTTGTCTGAAAAATTGCTGTATTGAAACAGAGCCCTAAAATACCAAAAGACCAGGTAATTTTAACATTTGTGGAATCACAAATGTAAATTCATAAGAAGCTCTAATTAAAAAAAAAAAGTCTGAAGTATATGAGCATAACAACTTAGGAGTGTGTCTACATACTTAACTTTTGAAGTTTTTTGGCAACTTTATATACTTTTTTTAAATTTACAAGTCTACTTAAAGACTTCTTATACCCCAAATGATTAAGTTAATTTTAGAGGTCACCTTTCTCACAGCAGTGTCACTTGAAATTTAGTAGGGAAGGATATTGCAGTATTTTTCAGTTTCCTTAGCACAGCACCACAGAAAGCAGCTTATTCCTTTTGAGTGGCAGACACTCGACGGTGCCTGCCCAACTTTCCTCCTGAGTGGCAAGCAGATGAGTCTCAGTAATTCATACTGAACCAAAATGCCACATACACTAGGGGCAGTCAGAAACTGGCTGAGAAATCCCCCGCCTCATTCGCCCCTCTGCTCCCAGGAACTAGAGTCCAGTTAAAGCCCCTATGCGAAAGGCCGAATTCCACCCCAGGGTTTGTTATAACAGTGGCCAGTCTGAACCCCATTTGCTCGTGCTCAAAACTTGATTCCCACTTGAAAGCCTTCCGGGCGCGCTGCCTCGTTGCCCCGCCCCTTTGGCAGGAGAGAGGCAGTGGGCGAGGCCGGGCTGGGGCCCCGCCTCCCACTCACCTGCCGGTGCCTGAAATTATGTGCGGCCCCGCGGGCTGCTTTCCGAGGTCAGAGTGCCCTGCTGCTGTCTCAGAGGCATCTGTTCTGCAAATCTTAGGAAGAAAAATGTCCCTAGTAGCAAACGGGTGTCTTCTGTGCATAAATAAGTACAACACAATTCTCCGAAAGTTCGGGTAAAAAGAGATGCGGTAGCAGCTGCCCTGTGTGAAGCTGTCTACCCCGCATCTCTCAGGCGCTAAGCTCAGTTTTTGTTTTTGTTTTTGTTTTTTTAAAGAAAAGATGTATAATTGCAGGAATTTTTTTTTATTTTTTTATTTTCCATCATTCTATATATGTGATGGTGAAAGATATGCCTGGAAAAGTTTTGTTTTGAAAAGTTTATTTTCTGCTTCGTCTTCAGTTGGCAAAAGCTCTCAATTCTTTAGCTTCCAGTTTCTTTTCTCTCTTTTTCTTTGTTAGGTAATTAAAGGTATGTAAACAAATTATCTCATGTAGCAGGGGATTTTCATGTTGAGAGGAATCTTCCGTGTGAGTTGTTTGGTCACACAAATAACCCTTTCTCAATTTTAGGAGTTTGGATTGTCAAATGTAGGTTTTTCTCAAAGGGGGCATATAACTACATATTGACTGCCAAGAACTATGACTGTAGCACTAATCAGCACACATAGAGCCACACAATTATTTAATTTCTAACTCTCTGTGGTCCCTAGAAAAATTCCGTTGATGTGCTTAGGTTAAAGTTCTGAAGATACCCGTTGTACCCTTACTTGAAAGTTTCTAATCTTAAGTTTTATGAAATGCAATAATATGTATCAGCTAGCAATATTTCTGTGATCACCAACAACTCTCAGTTTGATCTTAAAGTCTGAATAATAAAACAAATCCCAGCAGTAATACATTTCTTAAACCTCACAGTGCATGATATATCTTTTCATTCTGATCCTGTGTTTGCAAAAATATACACATGTATATCATAGTTCCTCACTTTTTATTCATTTGTTTTCCTATTACCTGTAGTAAATATATTAGTTAGTACATGGAATTTATAGCATCAGCTACCCCCAGGAACAGCACCTGACAGGCGGGGGATTTTTTTTCAAGTTGTTCTACATTTGCATAAATTATTTCTATTATTATTCATGTATGTTATTTATTTCTGAATCACACTAGTCCTGTGAAAGTACAACTGAAGGCAGAAAGTGTTAGGATTTTGCATCTAATGTTCATTATCATGGTATTGATGGACCTAAGAAAATAAAAATTAGACTAAGCCCCCAAATAAGCTGCATGCATTTGTAACATGATTAGTAGATTTGAATATATAGATGTAGTATTTTGGGTATCTAGGTGTTTTATCATTATGTAAAGGAATTAAAGTAAAGGACTTTGTAGTTGTTTTTATTAAATATGCATATAGTAGAGTGCAAAAATATAGCAAAAATAAAAACTAAAGGTAGAAAAGCATTTTAGATATGCCTTAATTTAGAAACTGTGCCAGGTGGCCCTCGGAATAGATGCCAGGCAGAGACCAGTGCCTGGGTGGTGCCTCCTCTTGTCTGCCCTCATGAAGAAGCTTCCCTCACGTGATGTAGTGCCCTCGTAGGTGTCATGTGGAGTAGTGGGAACAGGCAGTACTGTTGAGAGGAGAGCAGTGTGAGAGTTTTTCTGTAGAAGCAGAACTGTCAGCTTGTGCCTTGAGGCTTCCAGAACGTGTCAGATGGAGAAGTCCAAGTTTCCATGCTTCAGGCAACTTAGCTGTGTACAGAAGCAATCCAGTGTGGTAATAAAAAGCAAGGATTGCCTGTATAATTTATTATAAAATAAAAGGGATTTTAACAACCAACAATTCCCAACACCTCAAAAGCTTGTTGCATTTTTTGGTATTTGAGGTTTTTATCTGAAGGTTAAAGGGCAAGTGTTTGGTATAGAAGAGCAGTATGTGTTAAGAAAAGAAAAATATTGGTTCACGTAGAGTGCAAATTAGAACTAGAAAGTTTTATACGATTATCATTTTGAGATGTGTTAAAGTAGGTTTTCACTGTAAAATGTATTAGTGTTTCTGCATTGCCATAGGGCCTGGTTAAAACTTTCTCTTAGGTTTCAGGAAGACTGTCACATACAGTAAGCTTTTTTCCTTCTGACTTATAATAGAAAATGTTTTGAAAGTAAAAAAAAAAAATCTAATTTGGAAATTTGACTTGTTAGTTTCTGTGTTTGAAATCATGGTTCTAGAAATGTAGAAATTGTGTATATCAGATACTCATCTAGGCTGTGTGAACCAGCCCAAGATGACCAACATCCCCACACCTCTACATCTCTGTCCCCTGTATCTCTTCCTTTCTACCACTAAAGTGTTCCCTGCTACCATCCTGGCTTGTCCACATGGTGCTCTCCATCTTCCTCCACATCATGGACCACAGGTGTGCCTGTCTAGGCCTGGCCACCACTCCCAACTTGACCTAGCCACATTCATCTAGAGATGGTTCCTGATGCTGGGCACAGACTGTGCTCATGGCACCCATTAGAAATGCCTCTAGCATCTTTGTATGCATCTTGATTTTTAAACCAAGTCATTGTACAGAGCATTCAGTTTTGGCTGTGGTACCAAGAGAAAAACTAATCAAGAATATAAACCACATTCCAGGCTGCTGTTTTCTCTCCATCTACAGGCCACACTTTTACTGTATTTCTTCATACTTGAAATTCATTCTGCTATTTTCATATCAGGGTACAGACTTATAAGGGTGCATGTTCCTTAAAGGTGCATAATTATTCTTATTCCGTTTGCTTATATTGCTACAGAATGCTCTGTTTTGGTGCTTTGAGTTCTGCAGACCCAAGAAGCAGTGTGGAAATTCACTGCCTGGGACACAGTCTTATAAGAATGTTGGCAGGTGACTTTGTATCAGATGTTGCTTCTCTTTTCTCTGTACACAGATTGAGAGTTACCACAGTGGCCTGTCGGGTCCACCCTGTGGGTGCAGCACAGCTCTCTGAAAGCAAGAACCTTCCTACCTATTCTAACGTTTTTGCCCTCTAAGAAAAATGGCCTCAGGTATGGTATAGACATAGCAAGAGGGGAAGGGCTGTCTCACTCTAGCAACCATCCCTCCATTACACACAGAAAGCCCTCTTGAAGCAAAAGAAGAAGAAAGAAAGAAAGCTTATCTCTAAGGCTACTGTCTTCAGAATGCTCTGAGCTGAATGCTCTTGCTCCTTTCCCAAGAGGCAGATGAAAATATAGCCAGTTTATCTATACCCTTCCTATCTGAGGAGGAGAATAGAAAAGTAGGGTAAATATGTAACGTAAAATATGTCATTCAAGGACCACCAAAACTTTAAGTACCCTATCATTAAAAATCTGGTTTTAAAAGTAGCTCAAGTAAGGGATGCTTTGTGACCCAGGGTTTCTGAAGTCAGATAGCCATTCTTACCTGCCCCTTACTCTGACTTATTGGGAAAGGGAGAACTGCAGTGGTGTTTCTGTTGCAGTGGCAAAGGTAACATGTCAGAAAATTCAGAGGGTTGCATACCAATAATCCTTTGGAAACTGGATGTCTTACTGGGTGCTAGAATGAAAATGTAGGTATTTATTGTCAGATGATGAAGTTCATTGTTTTTTTCAAAATTGGTGTTGAAATATCACTGTCCAATGTGTTCACTTATGTGAAAGCTAAATTGAATGA
Organism: Homo sapiens; assembly: GCF_000001405.40. Lineage (NCBI taxonomy): Eukaryota > Metazoa > Chordata > Mammalia > Primates > Hominidae > Homo > Homo sapiens. The sequence goes on along the minus strand of NC_000007.14, from coordinate 92,605,130 downwards.
GGCAAAAAGAGCAAATAGTTTGTATATTTGTAATACCTTTTGTATTTCTTACAATAAAAATATTGGTAGCAAATAAAAATAATAAAAACAATAACTTTAAACTGCTTTCTGGAGATGAATTACTCTCCTGGCTATTTTCTTTTTTACTTTAATGTAAAATGAGTATAACTGTAGTGAGTAAAATTCATTAAATTCCAAGTTTTAGCAGAATGTGTTTTTTTTCTTTCTTTTTTTTTTTTTTTTTTTTTTTTTGGTGCTTCTTATTTGCAACCTGGCCATGTGGTAGAAAGAATGTGTTTTAAAGTTTTACTTTAAGAGATTCCTTTTCAGGCTTCTAGTGTTTAAAAAGTAAATAACAGCTAAGTGAGCTTAGAACTCATTCAACAATTGGCCGGGCACGGTGGCTCATGCCTTTAATCCCAGTACTTTGGGAGGCCGAGGCAGGCAGATCACCAGAGGTCAGGAGTTCAAGACCAGGCTGGCCAACGTGGTGAAACCCTGTGTCTACTAAAAATACATGAAAACTAGCCGGGCATGGTGGCACGCGCCTGTAATCCCAGCTACTCAGGAGACTGAGGCAGGAGAATCACTTGAACCTGGGAAGTGGAGGTTGCAGTGACCTAAGATGGCGCCACTGCACTCCTGCCTAAGCAACAGAGCAAGACTCCATCTCAAAAAAAAAAAAGAACTCATTCAACAATCATGCGTTGCTTAATGACTGAGATACAGTCTGAGAGATGCATTGTTAGGGGATTTCATCGTTGTGAGAACATCATAGAGTGTACTTACACAAATACACACCTAGACTAGATGGTGTAGCCTAAGCCTCCTAGGCTACAAACCTGTATAGTATTGAATACCGTAGGCAATTGTAACACATTGTTAAGTATTTGTGTATCTAAACATAGAAAAGGTACAGTCAAAATATGGTATAAAAGATAAAAAATGGTACACCTGCAAAGGGCACTTACACTGAATGGAGCTTTCAGGACTGGAAGTTTCTCAGGATAAGTCAGTGAGTGGTGAGTGAATGTGAAGGCCTAGGACATTACACTACTGTAGACTTTACTGTACACTTAGGTCACACTAAATTTATTTTAAATTTTTTCTTTAATAATAAATTAACCTTGGCTTACTGTAAATTTTTTAGTTTATAAACTTTAATTTTTTTAACTTTTTGACTTTTTTTTTTTTTTTTTGAGACAGGGTCTCACTCTGTCACCTACGCTGGAGTACAGTGGCACAATCATGGCTCACTGCAGCCTCCACCTCCCAGGCTCAACCTATCCTCCCACTTCAGTCCCCTACCCCCAAGTAGCTGGGATTTCAGGGGCATGATTGACTCTTTTATAATAACACTTTATTTTTAAACACAAACACATTGCACAGCTATACAAAAATATTTTCTTTATTCTATAAGATTTTTTCTATTTTTAGTTTTTTTTTTAATTTTTAAACTGTTTCATTAAAAACTAACATGCAAACACACACATTAGCCTAGGCCTACACAGGGTCAGGGTTATCAATATCATTGTCTTCTACCTCCATATCTTGTCCCACGGGAAGGACTTCAGGGGGCAATAACACACATGGAGCTGTCATCTCCTGTGATAGTGCCTTCTGAAATACTTCCTGAAGGACATGCCTCCGGCTGTTTTACAGTTAACTTTTTTTATAAGTAGGCGTACACTCTGTAGCAATGATTAAAAGTATAGTATAGTAAATACATAAATCAGTAACAGCCATTTATCATTATCACAAATGTGAGTCATGTGTTACACTGTGACATCACTAGGCAATAGGAATTTTTCAGCTCCACTATAATCTTACCAGACCACCGTTATATATTCAGTTCATCATTATGCAGTGCATGACTGTATTTATTGAACCCTCATTAGTTGACTGTGCTAAGCACTGAAGTTACAAAAATGAGTAAGGCAATGGACAGTCCTTTCAGGAGCTTACAGGAAGAGAAGGGGCTGTGAAAAAGGTTTGTGTAACTAATTGCTAATCACCTGGAGATGAGCAAAGTTTTCACCTTGGAAATCATGCTTAAGGGGACTCAAAAACAAAGAGCAATGATTTCCAGTTTCATGAGGAGAAATACTTTGCCCATGTAGAGGCCTGTAGTTTTATGAAAGAGCAGGCAGGGAAGGTGAGGAGGCTGGTGAGACTGTGCCTGGGACAGTGGCCTTCAAATATCTGGATCATAACCTAGAGAAAGAAATAGAATCTGCCAGCATGAGCTGGTACACACATACACACACATACACACACACACATATATGCTGGATCATTTTCTTTGAAGCTGTGTACAAACAGCTCCTTTGGTTATCTCTGGTATTTGGTACTCACTTAGGACCACATTGCATTAAAAAAGCCTAGTAGCCTTTTGCCATTGATTTTACCCTCTGGACTGTCATCCCAATTTACATTTCCTGTTGTCTAGGGAAGAACTCCTTATGTGGATGGCTCCCGGAAGGCCATATTTGTTCAAACTTACATTTTACAAAATGATGCTATGTGGTCCACACATTCTCTTTTCTGTTTTGTTATCTACTACTCTGAAAATAACTAGTGACTAAAGCTGATTTCACAATCACATGAATAGGCCATGACTTACAGTTTGAAAATTATTGATAAAAGAGGCGGGTATGTGAAGGAGAGTCAGGAGGTAAGGTCATATAGGCCATGTAAAGGAGCTTGGAACCACAGAAGGACTTTAAAGAAGGAGATTATTTCTGTTAATTTTTGTTCAACTATGTATGTACTGGAGGCAGAGGGAGGAATAGATCAAGCAGCTCCCGAGATACTACACAATAAACCAAAAGGGGGATCATTGTCACTGATACATATATTCCTCTCTTCGTATATAATATCAGGTATACTGTATTTAAATTGGACTTCCAGAATTCCCTAGAAGCTCCCATTAGGACTTGCCTTTATTTTTTTATAGGTCCTAAATTGCATTTAAATTTTATTTATTTATTTATTTTTGAGGCAGGATCTTACTCTGCACGTAGACTAAAGTGCAGTGGCACAATCTCACCCCCCAAGTATCTGGGACTACAGGCAGGAACCACCACTCCTGGCTAATTATTATTATTCTTATTTGTAGAGACAGGGTCTCACTATGTTGCCTAGGCTGGTCTCAAACTCTTGGGGTCAGGTGATCCTCCTGCCTTGGCCTCCCTAAGTGCTGGCATGAGCCACCATGCCCAGGAGGCTGGTGAGACTGTGCCTGGGACAGTGGCCCTCAAATATCTGGATCATAACCATTTAGATTTTTAAACTTTAAATTTTAAATTTTAAAACTCTTTAAAAAATATTCATGAGGTAATATAAAGGGTCAAGAATTTGATCTTTATTAAGATATCAAAAACTTGTGGTTTATAAAGGGGTCAGTCATAATGATACATGTTTCCACAAACCATAGGCATCTACAACCAGGTTTGATTGGACCATTTTCTTTATTTTTTATTTTATTTATTTATTTATTTATTTTTGAGATGGAATTTCGCTCTTATTGCTTAGGCTGGAGTGAAGTGGCGCGATCTCGGCTCACTGCAACTTCCGCCTCCCAGGTACAAGTAATTCTCCTGTCTCAGCCTCCCAAGTAGCTCGGATTACAGGCATGCACCACCACACCTGGCTAATTTTTTGTGTATTTAGTAGAGATTGGGTTTCACCATGTTAGTCAGGCTGGTTGCAAACTCCTAACCTCAGGTAATCCACTCCCCTCGGCCTCTCAAAGTGCTGGGATTACAGGCTTGCGGCACCGCGTCTGGCCTACTGGACCTTTTTTTTTTTTTTTTTTTGAAGCTATGTATGAACAGCTCCTTCAGTTATCTCTGTATTACTCACTCAGAACCTACTATACATTACATTACATTACATTACATTACATTACATTACATTACATTACATTACATTACATTACATTAAGAACCTAGTAGCTGTTTGCCGCTGATTTTGCCCTTTGGAATGTCAGCCCAATTTGCACCTCCTGTTCTGTAGGGAAACACTCTTAATGGTAGGGATGGGTCCCAGGATGCCATGTTTGCTCTGCAGTGTGGTGAAACCCAGTCTCTACTAAAAATACAAAAATTAGCCAGGCATGGTGGTGCATGTTTGTAATCTCAGCTGCTTAGGAGATTGAGGCAGGAGGATCACTTCAACCCGGGAGGCAGAGGCTGCAGTGAGCTGAGATCACACCACTGTACTCCAGCCTGGGAGACAGAGTGAGACTCTGTGGAATAGAATGCAAAATTCAGATTCTTAAGGCAATGTATTTCTACTTTTATAGATTTATTTTTAAATAAACCCATTTTTATAAAAATGAAAAAAATACAGATAACTTCAAAGATACTATTTGACTTTAATAACTGCATTGGAGGATACCACTAGATGCCCCTTGATACAATTCCCTCTCCTGTGGAAAATTTTGAGAAGCACCACAGCAGCCAAGAGAACACATTGGCACTTGTTTGGAAAGGGGTCTGTTGTTCTAAATGCTGTACCTCCTCTGGTCTCCAGGATTCTTCATTTGAAAATGACAACTATTCTGTGATAAAGAAAGTCAAGTTTACCCATATTCACTGGATGTCTACAACTGGTGTCGGCTTTCAAAGAGCATCCGATACAAGGAGGCAGAAGCATCAAGAGGCACCCAGTAGTTCATTGGTTCAACAGTGATGGTTTGTAATAATAGACCCTCCCTCCTGCTCCTTGGATTGCATTGTGATACAGTGTTATTTAACTGTGGATGCAGCAAAAATAGTGCCCTGGAGGAGAAGGGAAGCAATTGACATCCAGTGAACTCCCCAAGTGCCAATTTGGTACATGCCATACAAACTATCTTATTTCATCAAGTCATTCTTACCTCCAAAGTGAGAATAAGTAGATGGTGTGGTCAGCCCCAAAAAGTTCTGAAATGAAGTTGTATATAAACACATAGGAAAGAAATATCAGTGCATGCTCTAGGGTCTAGTGGTGCCTAAACAGAGTAGAGGTTCAATAGTATTGAATGGATTAGTGATGAATTTCCAGTGGCCAAGTGACTGAAATGTAACTGCTGAAATAAAATCATCACATACTTACCATAAAATATTTAAAGAATACAAAAACTACTAAGAAAAAAATTAATATTACCTGAAACTCCACAACCTGGAGAAAATCACTGCTAATATTTTGATAAATAATTTCTAGATACCTAGCTTTGTACAGATACATGTAAGATACAGGAATGAAATTTTACGCTATGATGATGGGCTGGCTGTACACCCCATTCAATAACTTGTGTTTTGAGTGTTGTGTGTTGCTTTACAGAAGATCTTGGACAATTCGTCATTGCAATACATATAAATCTACATTAACTTCTCTTACAGCTGAATAGTGTGCCATTGTGTAAATGTACTATAATTTACTTACCCAATCCCCTATTGATAGGTATTTCTCCCCACCATATATCCAATTTTTTACTGTTAGAAACAATGCTTCTAAGGAGGGTGCGGTGGCCCACGCCTATAATCCCAGCACTTTGGGAGGCCAAGCCCAGGGGTTTGAGACCAGCCTGGGAACATGGTGAAACCCCGTCACTACAAAAAATACAAAAAAAAAGCCAGGCACGGTGGCATGGACCCTGAGACTGAGGTGGGAGGATGGCTTGAGCCAGGAAGGTCCAAGTAGTAAGTCATGATTGTGCCACTGCACTCCAGCCTAGTTGACAGAGTGAGACCCAGTCTCAAAAAAAAAAAAAAAAAAAAAAAAGAAGAAGAAGAAAGAAACAGTGCTTCTAAGGGCAGTACTGCGCATGCATTTATATTTATTTGCATATGTCAGCAGCTAGCTTTAAGTCATCTCATCACTGGAAACTCATACATTCATTCATTCAACACTTAATGAACTTCTGTTCCAGGCACCAGCAAACCCTAGAAATACAGTAGTGAACAAAACAAGGTGCTTGCTCTCATGGAGCTAACATAAATATTTGCATAGGATAATTACATTATGATAAGTGCTAAAATTGCTATAAGGTAGAAAGTACTTGCATTGGCCAATGCAAAGACTTTGGTATTTACTCTGAATAAGATGGGAAACTGCTGGAAGATGGGAAACTGGTGTCAGAAAAGGCCCTGTCAAAAGAGTTGAGGCATGAAGAATGAGACTAAGGCAGCTAGGTGGGGTGCTCAGGGGAAAGCAGCTGAAAGCTTCAAGGTAGGAAGGCTTGGTATGTAGAAAAGACATCAGTGAGCCTAGAGCATAGTCAGTCGGGGGAGGAGTGGTCAGAGATGAGGTTAGAGAGGTAGAGAATGTAGACAGCCTGTTTGAGAAGCTGAATCATAAAGCAGAACAGAGAAATGGAGGTAGAGCTCAGGGAGGATGTGGTATCAAAGGAGAATTCTTGTTTTCTGAGATGGAAGACAGTCCATTGTGGAAACAGAGAGATTGAGGGTGAAAAAGAAGCAATAACAGCAGAAGCAAAGGTAATGAGAAGAGGGAGAGGAAGGGCCCAGGAGAACAAGAGGAAGAGCTGGATTTGAGAGAGAAAAGGATTAATGGGAGGGCAGGCAAAGACAGTGGGTACAGGTACAAACAGACCAGTCAATATGGCAGTGAAACTAGTCATTGATTCATTTAGTAAATATTTATTGAGCACAGTGATGTGCCAGGCACTGTCCTTAGGCACTGGGGATGTGGCAGTAAACAAAATACACAAAATGTCTTGTTTTTATGGAGCTTGTTTTCTAGTGAGGGGCAACAAATAAATAATTATAGTAAACTAGGATGTTAGATACATGTGTGGGAAGAAATGAGGAAAGGAATATAAAGTGTCATGGGGGTGCAATTTTAAACGAGGAGATCAGTGAAGGCCTCATAGAGAAGGTGACACTAGATCAAAGGACTTACAGAGAAGAGGAATCTAGGTGTATTAGTGATGAAGAAAACAACAGGTGCTAATGCCTTAAGGCAGGAGCATGCCTGCCATGTCCAAAGAACAGCAAGGGGGCCAGTGTAGCAGCAATTAACTGCAAGAGAAAGAAAGGAGATATTCCAGGGAAGTTAGTGGCAGGAGAAGCATATCTTGGAGGGGCTTCTTGGCCAATGCAAAGACTTTGGTATTTACTCTGAATAAGATGGGAAACTGCCGGAAGGCAAGAAGCACAGTCGTGACATATGATCTGTTTGTAAAGCCACTGTGACTGCTCTATTGAGAAAATACTTTAGGGTGGCAAAGATGTAAGCGGGGAGCCTGGGTTAGGAGGCTGTTGTAATAATCCAGATGAGAGATAATGGTAGCTTTGATCAAAGTGAAAACAATGGAGACAACAAGATGTAAGATGTTTTGAAGGTAAAGGTTATAGTAGGTGCTTATAAATTAGACATGGCATTGAAAGAGAAGAAGCGTGGATGGGCTGGGCGTGGTGGCTCACGCCTGTAATCCCAGCACTTTGGGAGGCCGAGGTAGGTGGATCACCTGAGGTCAGGAGTTTGAAATCAGCCTGGTCAACATGTGAAAGCCCATCTACTAATAAGAAAAAATACAAAAATTAGCCAGATGTGGTGGCGGGCGCCTGTAATTCTAGCTACTTGGGAGGCTGAGGCACAAGAATCACTTGAACCCTGGAGGCGGAGGTTGCAGTGAGCTGAGATCACAGCATTGCACTCCAGCCTGGATGACAGAGTGAGACTTTGTCTAAAAAAAAAAAAGTGAGGATGTCTCTGAAGTTTTTGGCTTAAGCAGGTGGAAAGATCAAGTTGCCATTTACTGAGATGGGAAGAATGTAGGAGGACCTGGTTTTAGGGAGAATATTGGGAGTTGGACACTGGACATGTTAAGCTTGAGCTCATATGAGACACTGAAGTGAGGATGTTGACTAGGCAGTTAGAGGCATGAGTCTAGATTCCAAGGAAGTGGTCTAGATTGGAAATAAAAGTTTTGAAGTTGTCAGTGTATGGATGGCATATAAAGCTAGAGATTGGATGAGATCAACAAGAAAGAAAGTGTCTATAAAAAGAAGAGATCCCGGCTGGGTGCGTTGGCTCATGCCTGAAATCCCAGCATTTTGGGAGGCCGAGGCAGGCGGATCACCTAAGGTCAGGAGTTCAAGACCAGCCTGACCAACATGGAGAAATCCCATCTCTACTAAAAATACAAAATTAGCCAAGCGTGGTGGCGCCTGCCTATAATCCCAACTACTAGGGAGGCTGAGGCAGGAGAATTGCTTGAACTCGGGAGGCGGAGGTTGTAGTGAGCCAAGATCATGACATTGCACTCCAGCCTGGGCAACAAGAGTGAAACTCCGTCTCAAAAAAAAAAAAAAAAAAAAAAAAAGGAAAGATCCCAGAACCAAGCTCTACAGTGCCCCAGTGTTTATATGCCAAGCTCTACAGTGCCCCAGTGTTTATATCCCAGGAGACGAAGGAAAATATGCAACAGAGACTAAGTGGACTTTACGAGAAGCAGAAGGTGAGCATAGTGTCTGGAAATCCAAGTGAAAAAAAATCTTTTGAGGAGGAGAGAGTCATTGTTGTGACAAATGCTGCTGATAGGTCAAGGAAAATAAGGGGCAACTGATTAAGCAACATAGAGAAGATGAGCAACCTTGAAAAGAAATCTTGATTAGGTGGTAGAAGTAGAAGCCTGATTAGATTGGATTCAAGAAAGAATTGGTCAGTAAGTGGGATGTGAAAAATACTAACTGTGAAATGAAAAGTACTAAGTGTAAAGTAAAAGATGTGAGGTGTGAAGTATGACCTGGTACAATATTGACCCCACACTTTGATAAGCTCAGAGTACTTTCCTCCTAAGATCAAGAACAAGGCAAGAATGTCAGCTTTCACCACTTCTATTCGACACTGTACTGGAGGTGCTAGCTAATGCAATAAGCAAGAAAACAAAAAACATACAGATTAGAAGGGAAGTAAAGTCTCTCTCTCTCTCTTTTTTTTTTTTTTTTTTTTTTTTTTGAGATGGAGTCTCACTCTGTTACCCAGGCTGGAGTGCAGTAGCAAGATCTTGGCTCACTGCAACTTCCACCTCCCGGGTTCAGGCAATCTACCTCAGCCCCCAAGTAGCTGGGATTACAAGCATGTGCCACCATGCCCGGCTAATTTTTGTATTTTTAGTAGAGACGAGGTTTTACCATGTTGGCCAGGCTGGTCTCAAACTCCTGACCTCAAGTGATCTGCCCACCTCGGCCTCCCAAAGTGCTGGGATTACAGGTGTGAGCCGCCACACCTGGCAAGTCTCTCTTTATTCAAAGACAGTATGAGTGTCTATGTAGAAACTCCAAAGGCTCTACCAAAAAAAAAAAAAAAAAAGGCTACTAGAATGAATAAATTTAGCAAGGTTATAGGTTTAACTGCAAAAGGGCACAAGGAAACTTTCTAGAGAGATGGAAAATGATATCCTGATGGTAGTCACGGTTACATGATCATATATATTTTTCAAAACTCATCAAACTGAACATTTTAAACTGGTGGATTTTACCGGATGTGGAATATACCTCAATAAAGCTGATTTTTAAAAGAAAAAATAAAGATGTTTTCTTTCAATGCTAACAACAAAGCCATCCTGAAATAATTGTCCAAGAATGTTTATAGCTTGTGAGTCACCTCAACAAGGGTGGAACGAGAGGAAAATTACAGTGAAATTATAACCCATTGATTCAGTTGGCGCCCTCATGAACACCAGAAACTTTCCTTTCTGACTCACTTTACTTGGTAGCTTCCACTGCCTTTATCCAATAATAGTACTCAACCTGGGGTTTACAAACGGAAAATTAATTAAAATGAATGTCTATTTGGTTTTCATGATCCAAATCCTTTTTTAAAAACATCCTTTTTATATTTTTTACAGCGAGAAATATAGTTGTCAGGAGCACAAGATGATCACGTTTGCTGGTGATCATTTTCTCTGCATGTAGGCAAAATTACATCCAGAAGTTAAATGGTGAGTGTGGAATCGGAGCAAGGGGAGTTGATTAGCTGAGCAGTCCTATAAAATAAAATAAATCAGAAAGAAGGGAATATGGTGGAAAATAAAAATTCCTATACCTGCCCTCTAAACTCACTAATACCATTATGAAGTATCCAGCAATGAAGATTTCAAGCATACGTACGTAAAAAGTTGAACCATATGAAATTGCCATTCTCATAGGTTAGAAATTACTGCATGTCGGCAATTTCATAAGGCTCAACCAATGCATCCTCTTGCTGCACATACTGCCATACTCTATATACTCACATTCTTTTTTTTTTTTTTTTCTTGAGACAGGTTCTCACTTTGTCACCCAGACTGGAGTGCAGTAGCATGAACACAGCTCACTGCAGCCTCAACCTCCCTAGGCTCAGGTAATTCTCCCACCTCAGCCTCCCAAGTAGCTGGGACCATTATGCACCGCCAACCCCGGCTAATTTTTTATAGAGATGAGATTTTGCCCTGTTGCCCAGACTGGTCTTCAACTCCTGAGCTCAAGCAATCTACCCACCTCGGCCTCCCAAAGTGCTGAGATTGCAGGTGTAAGCTACTGTGCCCGGCCTACTCATACTCTTTATAATTCTCTTTTTCACTTAATAATAATGTATAGTGGCCATTTTTCCCTATCAACACATACAGCTCTACATCACTTTCTAAATAACTGCATAATTTGCCATTACATGGACATACCATACTTTAACCCTTTTGATGGATATTTAACTTGTTTCCTGTCTTTTGCTCTGTCATTTAATATAGTTGGATAAACACAACGGCTGTTGTCTTCAAACACAAAAGCTCCATGTTTTCATTTCCAGTCTAGTGACATGCATGCCAAAACAACATACTTGGGTTTGTGGGTTGAGTTTCTGTATCTCTCACCATTGTTTAAAATCTCAAATACCCACACAACAATAACAAAAAAAAATAGGAAAATCAGGCTGGGCTTGGTGGCTCATGCCTGTAATCCCAGCAATTTGGGAGGCCGCGGCGGGCGGATCACTTGAGGTCAGGAATTCAAGACCAGCCTAGCCAACAAGGTGAAAACCCATCTCTACTAAAAATACAAAAATTAGCCAGGCATTGTGGTGACGTGTGCCTGTAATCCCAGCTACTTGGGAGGCTGGAGCAGGAGAATCACCTGAACACGGGAGGCAGAGGTTGCAGTGAGCTGAGATCTCACCACTGCACTACAGCCTGGGTGACAGAGCGAGACTCTGTCTCAAGAAAAAAAAAAAAAGAAAAAAGAAAAAGAAAAATATATAGGACAATCCACTATATTGTTTAATTTGGATATAGACCCAAGTTCATCGCTAAAGATGCCACCTGAGTTATAATCTTTGTTATTCAAGCTGAAAAATCCTGCCCCAGAGAATTATTATTATTATTAGACTGTTACTATTTACAGCTTTGCCTTTTATCAATGCTTATGTTACTACCCTGCTTAAACAGCTTTATCTCATTTGCAAGAACATGGGTAGATCTGGAGGATGTTATATTAAGTGAAATAAGTCAGGCACAGAAAGACAAATACTGCATGATCTCACTTATATGTGGAATCTAAAAAGGCTGAACTCATAGAAGTAGAGAGTAAAATTTGGTTATCAGGGGCTGGAGGAGTGGGAAGGGAGGGAAGTGGGAGCTGCGGATCAAAAAGTACAAAGATTTAAATAGACAAGAACAATAAGTTTTGAGATCTACTGCACAGCAGGGTGACTATGGTCAATAATAATGTATCATATATTTCAAAATAACCAAGAGTAAGTTTCAAATGTCTCACCATAAAAAAAATAGGTAGGCAAGGTGATGGATATGTTAATTTGTTTAATCACTCCACATTGTATACATATAACAAAATATCATATTGTACTCCATAAATGTATACAGTGATTTGTCAATTAAAATAATATTAATTTTTAAAAGGCTCTACAGCTGGGTGTGGTGGCTCATGCCTGTAATCCCAACACTTTGGGAAGCCGAGGAGGGTGGATCATCTGAGGTCAGGAGTTCGAGACCAGCCTGGCCAACATAGTGAAACCCTGTCTCTACTAAAAATACAAAAATTAGCTGGGTGTGGTGGTGCATGCCTGTAATCCCAGCTATTTGGGAGGCTGAGGCAGGAGAATCGCTTGAACCCAGGAGGCAGAGGTTGCAGTGAGCCGAGATCTCACCACTGTACTCCAGCCTGGGCAACAGAGCAAAACTCTATCTCAAAAAAAAAAAAAAAAAAAAAGGCTCTGCCTGCAGAATAAAATATAACTTCTTCCTTTGGCATTCGAGGTCCTTTGCCTCCAGGCCCAGTGTACCTTTCCAGCCTTGTTCCCTTCTATCATAAGTGTTCTATGCTGCCAAACCTGACCACATCACCACTCCTTTTACGCGGGCTATTCCCTCTGTAATGTCCTTCCCTCTCAGTTCCTCTGAGGGAAGCTGGCCCAGGGTCACAATCCACCTGAAATGCCACTTCTCAATCCTCCCTCTCTTCTCTCCCCTCCCAAAGGCAGTGTGATTTTGTAAGGAAAGCATATGCTTTCATGGTGTGGGTGGGTGTGTGTGTGTGTGTGTGTGTGTGTGTCTACGCGTGCCTGTGTGTCTATGTGTGTATTTAATAGAGACTGCATCTTGTAAATGCTTTCATGTTTGACACACCTGTGTTTGAATCCCCAGCTTCTCTGCTTTCTTGCTGTGGAAGCTGGCACAAATTACTCGGCTTCCCTTCGCCTCGGTTTTTCTCATCCACAAAATGGAATGTAATCTCCTGGTTATGCCTAGAACATTCGGGAGGGCATGTAGGCCCACTGCTAGGACAGAAATGTATTTATTAGCAGATCACACATGTGCAGAGAATGTGTAAAGATTTCTACTGTCACTGAATTATATCCTGAGAAGTCTTGGACTGATTTGTTCTTTATGTAGTCCACTCAGATGAGCTCCCGATAGCTCTTGCCATCTTCCTTATCTTCACAGGCCCCTGGTCATTTTCTTGTTTCTCTGTCCCCCCAGGGATTCACGTTTCATCCAGGAGGGGTTGTGTACACTCGCAGAGAGAGAGAGACTTCTAAAGGAAACACAACCTTTCTGTTGACTTATACCATATTTTTAAAAATCTCTGTGTTCTGTACAATCAGCCAACCAAGGAAGTGAAAGGTAAGAAGGAGCTGAAGAGGGAAAAAAAAAACTATATTCTCTCACAGGTATTATCATGCTTATCATGTTGGAGTATTAAAAATAATATCTGTCAAATGCCTAGAATATTTAAAACATGAAAAATAAGCCAGGAAAGAAAGAATAACTTAATATTAATAGGTTCTCCTCTTCCTCTTGTGTATAAAAAGAAGCCTGTCTTCAGTCAGAGTCCCCAGCTTAAGTCGGGGGTAATGGAGGAGGAGGAGAAATGAGAGACTGGAGGCCTCATTTTGGAAAGTGGGTTACTGAGGAAGAATCAACACTTAGTAGGGAGCAGAACCACCAAGGACTGCATGTGAGAGTTTGGAAAAGTTTTGAGACAGAAGATGGTAGTTGGGAGCATCTGTCATATAGTGTAGCATGAAAAATGCAGGGAGGGAGGGAGGCAGAGATCGGGAAAGATGATTTTAAAGCATGTTCTTGTATGTAATTAGTGTAATTCCCATTTTGCCATTTCCAAGAGTCCGGAGAAGATCCTAATTGATTTTCAACTACTTCCTAATGATACTTGCTAAGATGAACCCAGAGGGGTCGCTTTATCTATAAATACTTACTAAATATGATTATCTTCTCTGGAGCCCAGATCATCTTCCTTAAAGTTGCAGTGCAGTAGTGCCAATATTACGATATGCTATGCAGTAAAGTTGGCCCTGTGTGTGTTTATTGCCCTTACGAGTTTATAAACAGGCTCCTTGACGATAGGGATTTTTCTTAATCATCTTTGTGCCCTACCCAGCTCCAGCTTCCAGCCACCCAGTTAGTGAAAACTGTACAAACTACATGTTCAAAAATTAGTGTGAAATGAATGCACAGGTGATGAATGAATGGGATTGAAATTAAAGGGTGATTTCGTTAGCAGCGTCTATGACAGCACTGCCTTTCCCCCCACCAGCTGATGGGCTCCGTGAGGGACCAAGGCTCTTTGGTCCTCACTTTGTCCCCAGCACTTGCACTCTGTCAAGCACAAAATAAGCATCGGGAGAATCTTTGTGTCCCCTCGAATGAGTATTTCAGTGTATCAAGAATGGAAGAAAGGCCAAGCGCAGTGGCTCATGCCTGTAATCCCAGCACTTTGGGTCGAGGCGGGCGGATCACTTGAGGTCAGGAGTTATAGACCAGCCTGGCCAACGTGGTAAAACCCTGTCTCTACTAAAAATACAAAAAATTTAGCCCGGCGTGTTGACGGCCGCCTGTAATCTCAGCTACTCGGGATGCTGAGGCAGGAAAATCGCTTGAACCCGGGAGGTGGAGGCTGCAGTGAGCCTAGATCGTGCCACTGCACTCCAGCCTGGGCGACGGAGCGAGAGTCTGTCTAAAAAAAAAAAAAAAAAAAAAAAAAAAAAAAAGAATGGAAGAAAGCAAAACAATCCAAGGCCAAACTGAAGCGAGCTGCCTTGGTGGGGCTCCGGTGCAGAAGCGCAGCGTCGCCTGCTCTTGGGTGCCTAATGAACGACCGGACTCCTGCAGGCGCTCCGCCAACTGCAGCGATCTCTGGAGCCGGCCTGTCCTCCACAGAGATAGGGGGCGCTGTAGCAGAGCGCGGCCGTCGAGTCCGCGTGGTGCCGCTCTCTAGGCGGAGTGGGGAGGCGGCAAGAGGACCTGCGGCAGGCCCTCTTCGGCAGTCTCTCCGGCCCGGTTTCCCTCGGCGTGCTACTGTGCGCTCGATCCAGCACCATGGGGAAGCGGGACAATCGGGTGGTGAGTACTCAGCCGGGAAAACAGTGGGGCGACGCAGGGCCCGGCGGCAGGACAGCGAGAACCCTCGCTGTTCCCGGCCGGGCCGGAGGGCAAGCGGCAGCCCTCAGACGTGGGGCCTGGAGACCCAGCACCCTCCGCCGATCCCAGATGCGCGTGCGCCGCGCACGCAGTTGGCGCTTTAGGGTTCCCAGCTCTCTCTTGCCCGCCCCTTTTTTCTTCCCTCACCTCGTCGCTCTTTCTGGCGCTGCTGGTTTGCACTCTTGCCTGCTGTACGCGGGCCCCCAGTGCCCACTTAGAACCGCGAGGGCTCGGGGAACCCCCCCCACACCTGGCCCCGCCATGTAACTCCGAAGACTTAGGCCCTTGGACGCATCCGACTCACCCGCCCCTTGGTATCGGCCGCCCCAGGTCCGCACCCCTCTCCTGCGCACCCAAGTGGGAGGGAGGCACAGAGGCCTCGACGCGGTCCCTGTGCCGGAGAGCCAGCAGCGCGCCTGGTTTTAGCGACAAGCAGGCTCCCGTTTGAAAATGGGATGGCAGCATTTGCTTTCGTGTCTCCAGCGCCCTGTAGGACCTGGCCCCCATAGACACTGTGAGGGAATGAATGGCGTGAAAATAGTTGGCTTTCGAGTCCAACACAAAACTGGAATGTCAGTTTTGTTCCGTCGGAAGTTGGGTGACCTAGAACAAGTTACTTTTCTTCTCTGTGCCGTCGTTTATAAAAGGGGATCATTATTATCTACAACCTTACAGATTAATTGAAATCACAAAAGGCAAGATGTGTGAGCGAGTACTGGGCATGAAAATTATTACTCTAGTGAATGAGATAAAAGAGATGCATAAATAACTTACAGCAGAAAGAGTAGGAAATGGTCCTTGATAGTTGTTAGAGATTCTAAAGGCATTCAAAAGAAAAGGTGCTTTTGAGAAGCGGAGATGGGAGGAAAGTATTCTAGACCGCTGGGGCGGGGAGGGGGCTGAAAAACTCAGGTTATGAATCAGATTGAATGAGTAGTAAACATAATGAAATAACAATAAGCTTAGGTTGCAGCCTGACAATTTCTGGGCTTGCCTGTGACAAAGTTTTAGCCACTGAGTAGCAAAATGAGGAAAATGCACGTAAAACGAATGTGCTACGTTTCTTGAACTCGCTTTTTTATTCAACAATTATTTGCAAGCTGTGTGTGTCTCACACCAAAGGAGACTTAACATTTACGAAATGATGACACTTGCCATCTGTAGTAGCCAGTTCTTGCATGGCTTTTATAAAGAAAAACCTGAGGCTGGGTAATTTATAAAGAAAAGTGTTTAATTGGCTCACGGTTCTATGGGCTGTACAGGAAGCTTAGCGGCATCTGCTTCTGGGGAGGCCTCAGGGAGCTGTTACTCATGGTGGAAGGCAAAGCAGGAGCAGGCGTCTTACATGGCAGGAGCGGGACCAAGAGAGGGACGGGGAGAGTTGCTACACAGTTTTAAACAACCGCATCTGTTGAGAAATCATCTCTATGCAGTGCTGGGGAGAGGAGGATGCTAAGCCATTCATGAGAACTCCGCCCCCATGATCCAGTCACCTCCCACCAGGCCCCACCTCCAACATTGGGGATTACAATTCGACATGAGATTTGGGCGGGGACACAGATCCAAACCATTTCACCATCTTAAAAACTTTGTAGTTCTGTATAGTCTTTATAATGGAAAATGTCTAGGAACCACTGTGGTAGTGAATCTTGATTACAAGATAGCGGGTTGTTCTTTCTCCTGGCTGTAGGTGAGACTTTGTTGTGCTATCTTGATTGTCATGGCGTTGAAATTATGTAGCATAACACCATTTCAGCATAGGAGCATCCTTAGGTGTTTGAGTATTTTGGGCTCTTCTAATACCCTTGGGCCTTGAATGTTTAGAGATCACCTGACCTTGGATGCAGTTTCATATACAGACCTAAAATGTTTCATATTACTGAAAAAACGTTTTGGTTGAAACATTCCTCTAAAACATTTGAAAAACTTACCAAATTAGCTTCATTTACTAGAACATTTTGATAGCTCTGGGCTCTACTTACTACTTTTGGTATGCAGCTATGGCACAGAGTATTCTGGTAACATTTTGTGTGCACTTCAAAGATTGGGATTAAGAACAAGAAATTAAGAGGTAGAAGACACGGATTGTCTAATTCAGTCTCCTCATTGCATAGAGGAGGGGTAAGACTTTAAACTGGGACCAAAACTTCAGTCATCTGACACTCAATTCTGTACATCTTAACTCTTGATTTTCTTTTTAAGACTTTTTTTTTTAAGCATTTTTAGTTTTACAGCAAAATTGAGAGGAAGGTACAAAGATATCCCGTTTACCTCCTGACCCCACTCGTGCATAGCCTCCCCATTATGAACATCCTTCACCAGAGTGGTACATTTGTTAAAATTGATGAACCTACATTGACATGTTACTATCATCCAGTCAGTAGTTTACATTAGTGCTCACTCTTAGTGTTCATTCTCTATGGGCTTGGACAAATAAATTTATTTATTTATTTATTTAGACACAGTATCTCACTCTTGCCCAAGCTGGAGTGCAGTGTCGCCATCATGGCTCACTGCAGCTTCAACTTCCCAGGCTCAAGGGATGCTCTCACGTCAGCCTCCCAAGTAGCTGGGACCACAGGTGTGTGGAACCACACCTGGCTAATTTTTTGTTGTTTTTTTGTAGAGATGGGGTTTCACCATGCTGCCCAGGCTGGTCTCAAATTCCTGGCCTCAAGCAATCCTCCCGTCTCGGCCTCCAAAAGTGTTCGGATTACAGGAGTGCCACCACATGCGTTCACCAATATAGTATCATAAAGAGTAAAAATCCTCTCTTCGGCCTAGCCATTCCTCTACCACCCCTGTCCCCAAGTGTGGCAACCACTGATCTTTTTACTGACTCCATAGTTTTGCCATAACACTTGATTTGGAGCAACAAAATGAATATTTGCTTGTGAAAATATTGGCATTTTTTGAGATTGTCTCAAAAACAGTTCCTGTTCTTTCTTACATTGATGAAACAATCATAGTTTTAAAGATGATAGGATTGCTTTCCAAAAAAAGCCCCAGTGAATTTCAGGTTGAACAGTTTTTTTAATTTTTATTTTTAGAGCAGTTTTAGGTTCACAGCCAAATTGAACAGAAAGTACAGAGGGTTCCCATATACCTCCACACTTGTGCAGCTCTACCATTATCAACATTCGCCAGCACCAGCAGGGTGGTACATTTGTTACATTTCATGAACCTACATCGACACATTATCATCACCCAGAGTCAGTAGTTTGCATTAGGGGTCACTCTTGGTATGCATTCTTGTACAGTTTTTATAACTGAACGTTTTAATTCAGGACTTGTAAAGGGCTCTTAAGTTCATGATGGCCACCTTTTGTGCTTGTTATTTTCCGAAGTGTTCTTCATGTTCTTTTCTGCTACTTTGGGACCTCTAAAATAGATGTATCCTCTAGATAAAAATAGGTAATCAAATTGACAAATGAAATTCTGCACATTGTGTCTTTAGCCAGTTTTACTGCATTGCTCTTTTTGTACCTGCCCCCATACATATCCCCTTGAGACCAATTTGCCATCCTGAGTTTCAGAAACAAATCATTTTCTGTTATCTGAACTCATGCAGCAGTTTGAAGCCACAGAGAATTCTAGTTACATATGGATGTGAATGTTTGATTTACAAGGTCACAGTGTTTATAATGATTAAGTCATAGTGAAATGTTTCAAGAAATTGCACAATCTCTATATTTTAGTGAATGCTTAACCATGCCACCCACTTAATGTTAGAAGCATTATTTTTCACACTGATACAAAAATGAAAACTCCTGTACCTTTGTGAAAATAGTTGCTTGTTTTAAAAGCTTTCTGTTGTGCATAGTTTTAAAGAAAAGTATTGTTGCTTAATGAATAAGAGCAGACTATCAAGTGTTTTGCATGGAGCCTAGAACATAAGATGCACTTTAAAAAATATTGCTATTATAATTGAAATAAACAATGGAGATATTTGGAGTGTACTTAAGCAGACTGAGATAGTGTTTGTGGTCAAAAGCTTAAAAGTAAGCCTTATTCAGCAGTAGTTCATGTAATTGTACCCGTAGTCCTAGCATGTGAATATACTACTTTACTAGCATTTTCCTCTGAAAAGTAGGAATAGGTTGGTATGTACTTTATGAAAGCAGTTTGATAGTACACAGTAAGATGTAAAAATATTAATGTACTTTAAAGATACATGCTAGATAACTTGAAGACTGTAAAACATGGTAAATGTTATAATTTTTTTCATTAGAATGAAAAATTGCCACTGCATTATCTGTGAATTTTTACATAAGGACAGTTCAGCTCTCTGAGTTGGAGTGGCAGTATTGTGGTTGGATTTTTGTCATTTTCTTTACCTTTATTACTATAATAATGTTTACGCAGTTACATTTTTTGTTTTATAAAGGTAATCATTATTTAAAATTTTTTTCTCCAGTGTGTGAATGAATATGGATGTTTTCCTTTATATTTTGGTGCACATGCAGTCTAATTTTTCTGATTTTTAAATTTTTAGTTATTTATTAAAATAATTCTTTCATTTTGGCAACTTGCCTTTGCTTTTCACTTGAGAAATCTTAAACATTTTCTTATCAGGAACTATGGATCTACTTCATTCATTTTAGTAG
The DNA here is from genome assembly GCF_000001405.40 of Homo sapiens. Lineage (NCBI taxonomy): Eukaryota > Metazoa > Chordata > Mammalia > Primates > Hominidae > Homo > Homo sapiens. The sequence goes on along the minus strand of NC_000007.14, from coordinate 92,585,582 downwards.
CTACGTAATATTTAACAGGGTGTGTACTTTAATATATTTAGCGAATCCCAGTTTGATAGCTATTTGGGTGTTTTCAGTGTTTGCTGTTTTAGTAATTTAGACCTGAATATCCTTGATATGTGTATATTTGCACTCTTTGGAAATAAACAGTTTTTACAATTCTAACCTGAAATATTTTGCCATTAGGTACTGCCAAAATTATGACATGATACCAAGGAAATTAGAATGTGATCAATATTGTTGAAAACAAAAACAAAAACCTGAGACCAGTTAAATTTAACAAAGGTAATTTGAGCAAGAAAAAGATTCTAGAACTTGAGGAAGATGTTCTACATCCTGGTGACCTATATTTGCAATAGGAAATGACATACAGAGATTACCTGATTGGTGCAGTTCTGAGTTTGCCTTATTTGGGCATAATTTGGCAGCCTTCTGTTTGGGATTGGTTGAGGGTTGGGCTCCTGTGATTGGCTGAGACTCAGTTGATTGGTTAAGAGGATATACTCTTTGATTAGGTTAGAACTTGTTTGCACATCAAGCCAGGTTGCAGTTCACCATATACAGAGGGTTTTTGTTTTGTTTTGTTTTGTTTTGTTTTGTTTAGTAGAGACAAGATTGGTCTCTCCTGAGCTCAAGCTCCTCCCACCTCACCCTCCCAAAGTGCTAGATTACAGGTGTGAGCCAGTGCACCTGGCTTTTTGGGCCAAATTTTATTACCCAAGTAGGAGGACGCTTTGAGCCCAACTTAACTGTGTTGAACAGTACAAATAATACTCCTGTTTTACAAACGGTGAACTAAGCTGCACATGGTACTTGCCTTCATTGTCTTCATTTCTGCCTTCATTGTTTGTCATACTTCCACACCAACTAATCGAAATGCTTAGCAAAAGCAGTTGAATGAAATATTTGAGGGTATAACAGTTTATACAAAAAATATAACAATATGCCTCTGTCTTTAACATTGCATATGATGTCCACATCTTGCCCTGATTCTGTAAACATTCCTTACATGAGGGGCTCTAGCATTTGTTCCTGCTTGTAGAGAAGTATGTCAAAGATTTATCTTTTTCATTCCAAGTAATTAGGTTTTGTCAGTTGAATGGTAATAGTTCTCAGTATGTGTTGTTTATGCTGGTTTTATATTGTTTACTCTGACAGAGAAATCTGGAAGTATATAACTTTTATCTGTTATAAAGGTGGGAAATGATGGTCATTTTCATAGATTTTGTTAAAATGCAACAAATATATTTTTTCCTTTCACTTATTTTGGATTATTACAAGGTATAACACCTTAAACCAACCTTGAGGGTAGTCATTTTCAATCAAAATTCTTTTTATTTAAAAAGTAGAAGAGTTTCATAAATGTCTATTGACTGGGCACGGTGGCTCACACCTGTTGTCCTAGCTACTCAGGAGGCTGAGGTAGGGGGATTTTTCAAAGTTGCAGTGAGATATGATCACACCACTGACCACTGTACTCCAGCCTGGGCAAAAGAGCAAGACCCTTTCTTTTTTTTTTTTTTTTTTTTTTTTTTGAGACAGTCTTGCTCTTTCGCCCAGGCTGGAGTGAAGTGGCACAATCTCAGCTCACTGCAACCTCTGCCTCCTGGGTTCAAGAGATTTTCCTGCCTCAGCCTCCTGAGTAGGCTGAGATTATAGGCACCCGCCACCACACTCAGCTAATTTTTGTGTTTTTAGTAGAGACAGGGTTTCACCATGTTGGCCAGGCTGATCTCGAACTCCTGACTTCAGGTGATCCACCCGCCCCAGCCTCCCAAAGTGCTAGGATTACAGGCGTGAGCCACCGCGCCTGGCTGACCCTGTCTTTTAAAAAATAATAATAGTAATAAATAAAATTTTTATTGACTTAAATTTGGAAAAACTAAATAGAAGAGGTAGAGACTGAATTAAAGACCAGACTTTATATCAGTAGCAATGCGAATTTTAATAAAACAACATCGCTTTGCTAAACACTGTCATTAACAAAGAAACCTTTTGCTTTGTTTTGCCTCAATATGTTTTTGAAAAAAATCTCTAAAATATTTTTCTGCTGTAGTAAGTGTAGTAGACAGCATGATTTAAATTTTTGCAGATGTTTTAATTGAGCTAAAATATGTATAACAAAATTTACCATTTTAACTGTTTCTAACTATATAGTTTAGTGACATTAAGTACATTCATAGTGTTGTGCAACCATCATCACTATCCATTTTCATCATCCCAAACAAGAACCTCTGTATCAATAAACAGTAAACTCCCAAATTCCTCTTCTCCCCAGACCCTGGTTAACCTCCATTCTACTTTCTTTTCTAGGTATCTCATATAAATGGAATCATATATTTGTTCTTTTGTGTTTTTCTTGTTTTATTTCATTTAGCATATTTTCAAGGCTCATCCAGGTTGCATATAGTATGTATCAGAATTGCATTCTTTTTTAAGGCTGAATAATATTCCATTGTATGTATATACCACAGTTTTGTTTATCCATTTATCCATAGATGGACATTTGCGTTGTTTCCACATTTCAGCTTTTGTGAATTCTGCAGTTGTGAACATTTGTGTACAAGTATCTGTTTAGTCCCTTCTTTGAATTCTTTTGGGTGTATACCTAGATATAGGATCATGTGGTAGTTCTATGTTTAACTTTTTGAGGGACCACTAAACTGTTTTCCACAGTGGCCACACCGTTTTACATTCCCACCAACAATGTGAAAGGGTTCCAGTTTCTCTGCATCCTTGCTAACCCTTGCAATTTTCTGTTTAATAATAGCCATCCTAATGGGTATAGAATGGCATCTCTTTGTTGTTTCAATTTACATTTCCCTAATGACTAGTGATATTGAACATTTTTTTATGTGTTTATTGGCCATTTACTATATACCTTCTTTAGAGAAATACCTATTCTTCTGCCCATTTTTTAATTACTTGGAGTTTTTTTGTTGTTGTTAAGTTGTAGGAGCTCATTTTACATTCTGGATATTAATCTCTTACTAGATTTATGATTTACAAATATTTTCTCTCATTCTGTGAATTGTCTTTTCACTCTTAACAGTGTCCTTTGATGCACAAACATTTTACATTTTGATGTTCTGTTTATTTTTTTCTTGCCTGCCTACAATTTTTGATGTTAACTATTTATGAATAAAATTGTCATCACTATGACATAGTATTTCGTGGGAGACAAGATGTAGTTGAATAAACAATGAATTTAGAGTTAGATCTTATTTAACTTCTTTGGAAATGAATTTATTTTATTTTATGTTATGTTATTTTATGTTATTTATGTTATGTTATGTTATGTTATGTTATGTTATGTTATGTTATTTATTTTATTTTGAGAGGGAGTCGCTCTGTCGCCCAGGCTGGAGTGCAGTGGCACGATCTCAGCTCACTGCAACCTCTACCTCCCGGGTTCAAGTGATTCTCCTGTCTCAACCTCCCGAGTAGCTAGGATTACAGGCGTGTGCCACCATACCTGACTAATTTTTGTATTTTTAGTAGAGGCAGGGTTTCACCACGTCGGCCAGGCTGGTCTTGAATTCCTGACTTCAGGTGTTCCACCTGCCTCAACCTCCCAAAGTGCTGGGGTTACAGGCGTGAGCCACTGCACCAAGCCTGGAATTGAGTTTCTTAATTTTCTAGTGAACATACTGTTATCACCCTCACAGGGTTACTGGGCTTTAGGAGAAAGAGCTGTAAAGCCATCAGTAGGTCAGAGGTATCTATTATTTCATCAAATCTCTTGTAAAACACACACACACACACACACACACACACACACACACACAATTTTCTCCCAAACTTTTAAGACTTAAAAGAGGATTAAATTAATTTTTTTAGAATAAAGAGTTGGTTAGTCAGATTGCATATACTTAGCTGGATATATTATGCATTTATAGTAAAGATTACTTGATGAGTAAGTGAGGTTTTGCATGTTTAATGATTGCTTTAATGGATTAATTGTTGTTCTTTCCCCAAGGCCTATATGAACCCAATAGCAATGGCGAGATCAAGGGGTCCAATCCAGTCTTCAGGGCCAACAATACAGGATTATCTGAATCGACCAAGGCCTACCTGGTATTTGTGAAACACTTTACCTATTTATAAGCTTTTATCAACTTTTTAAAGTTTATTCTTAAGACTTTAATTGATTTTATTGATTACCAAGCAATTGCCAGATAAGTAATTTTTTTAAGTAACATTTGATATGTGCTTTCTTTTGAATGTGTGAAACACGTGTACAATTATAAAGCAAACATTTAAGAACCCACTACCCAGTATAGCCAAAGCACTGCCAGGTAACTTTTTCATACCAGTCTCTTCTCTATTCCATAAAAGACCCTAACCTTGCAGTGGTCAAAGCTATTTAGTGAGTTTAAGTAGTCTTGTCCTTTACTGATGTGTAACCAGATAGCAGGAAGAATAATATTCAGCTTTGTTTCTAGTTTTATCTGCCAGCTTTTCAATGAATTAGAAAAACTGACTGATTTTTGTAAATAAAGCATCAGAGTATGGGCCATGTTATTCTTTAGTATGTCTTCCTCGTTATTAATACCTTACTCCTGAGACAACATACAACAGGCTTCAGAGCTGTTAACTTCAGAATCCCAAGTGCCCCTGAAAACTAGGCAACTGGTTGAAAAGTATGCTTATGTATAATAGGGAATCCTTCCTTTGAGTTAAATAAGAAGTAAGGATTGTTTACCAGTGTGTGTGAATGCCATTGTTAACCATTGCAGCATACCAGAAAATGCATTATCCCAAAACAAAGTATGTTTTAATGGGGAGAGGGAATGAACTTTCGAGGAGAAATGTCCAAGTAAATATATTACATGTGTATCAGAAATCATCAAGACAGCCCTCAGGTTGAGTAACTCGTAGGGACTCACTGGAGTTTCAGCAGATAGTCGTACTCATGGTAAGATTTATTACTGTGAAGGGCTACCAAGCACAATCAGCAAAAGGAAAAGGCACAGGGAGCAAAGTTTGGGTAAGTCCCGGAACAGGCTTTGAAGGGTCCTCCCCTAGTGGGATCACGTGAGAGGCACTTAATGCCCTTAGTAAGGAGTTGTGATAATACATGTGAGATTTTGGCAACCAATTGAAGCTCATTAGAGACTCAGTGCCCAGGGTTTTTATTGAGGCTGGTCAGCCTCTGCCTGTCATGTACCAAAATTCCAGATTCCAGGGCTGGGCATGGTTGCTCATGCCTACAGTTTCAGCACTTCAGGAGGCCGAGGCAGGAGGATTGCTTGAGGCCAGGAGTTTGAGATCAGCCTGGGCAACGTAGCAAGATGCTGTCTCTACAAAAAATATTTATGTGTTTTTTTTTTTTTTTTTAATTAGCTGGATGTGGTAGTACATGCCTGTAGTCTTAGCTACTTGGGATACTGAGGCAGGAGGATTGCTTGAGGCCAGGAGTTGAAGATTACAGTGAACTATGATCATGCCACTACATTCTAGCTTGGGTGACAGAGCAAGGCCTTGTCTCTTTTTAAAAAAAATTCCAGCTTCCCAGAAGGAAAACAGGTATTTAGCTTGAACTACATTGTTTGTACAAACAGTTTTAGGAACAATGATCTGCTCTTATCAGAGAATAGTAAGAATCCTCCGAATTCAAGTTCCCAGATGCCCACCTAGGGCCAGTCTTTTAAGTATGTCTTTCCAAGATTAAGCAGTCAGGCGAGCTGTATTAACTCTTCTCTGCACAGCATGTTAGGTACCTTATTAAATGGGTCATATATGGAATGTAGTAGTTCAGTCAGATAGATTTCAGGGCATCCTAACACTGAAAACTACCAGGTTTATGACCTTAGGTGGATTTCTTACCTTCTCCAAGCTTCAGTTTCTTTATCTATAAAATGGGGATCCATACCTTTTCTCAGAGGGTCGTTGTGAGGATTAAATGAAAATGTATTTTAAATAGTGCCTGTTGTAAGTGCTTAGATGTTTGGTGTATTAGCTCTTATAATCCATATTTAGAAAAGGAGTGATTAGTGTTATTTATTTAGCTTTATTATGGTAATTTATTTTTATAAACGTGAACAAAGAAATTGAAATGTTACCAACATTGAATAGAAGTCTATTAGAATATTTAGAAGAGTTTATGAAATTTTGTTGTCTTATTTGTAAGCATTTATCTAATTTGAATTGCTTGAAATTTTGTTTGTACATTCTATTTTTTAAGGGAAGAAGTAAAAGAGCAACTAGAAAAGAAAAAGAAAGGCTCCAAGGCTTTGGCTGAATTTGAAGAAAAAATGAATGAGGTTTGTAAAAAGTACCTGTTAAAAAAATAGACTAATTTGGCCAGTTATGGTGGCTCATACCTATAATTCCAGCACTTTGGGAGGCCGAAACGGGAGGCCAGGAGTTCATGACCAGCCTGGGCAACAAAGTAAGGCCCCCCCCCGCCGCCCTTGTCTCCATTAAAAAAAAGAAAATACCTTAAGTATTTGGGCATAGCTCTCTCAGTTAAAGAGGTTCTGTATTTTAGAAGTGTTATTGTTATGGTGAATACAAGTTTGTATTTACGTGCATGCTTTAAAAAATGAAGAAGAATCATCTTGTAATGTAAGTCATCTAAGACTTAGATAACTTGGATTCCAAGTTAGGGTTGAGCAGTCCTCCTACTTCAGCCTCCTGAGCAGCTGGGACCACAGTTGCAGGCCACTATGCCCAGCTAATTTTTTTTTTATCTTTAGTAGAGACAGGTTCTCACTATGTTGCCCAGGCTGGTCTCCAACTTCTGAGCTCAAGCGATCTTCCCACCTTAGCCTCCCAAAGTACTGTGATTACAGGTGTGAGCCATTATACCCAGCCTGTTTGCTTGTTTTGATTACAAACATGTATATAACATATCAATCACAGTAATGATTAATTCAACTTTTACAGCCTAGACGGAGAATCTAGCCATCTTTGTTGAAAAGAGACCTCAGCTTCAGTAATAATGCCTGCTGCTCAATAATACAGAACCCCTATCCCTTAATATGCTCTTTGAAAAGAGCTAGTAGAGGGTCCTTTGGTGATAGGGTCAAGGATTGGCACCTGTGTTTCTTTTGACTGTAATTAGAAGCTGAAATGGGTGAGAGGTATTAAGAGGATGGAGGGAAGGAAGCAGTGGCTGTCTCTGTATATTAGGTGTATTGGAAAGGTTAGATAGTCTCTGATGGTGTTCATAACCTTTTTGCAGAACTGGAAGAAAGAACTGGAAAAACACAGGGAGAAATTGTTAAGTGGAAGTGAGAGCTCATCCAAAAAAAGACAGGTAATACCACTTTTAGTTTATTGCTATTCTTAATCTCATAGTTGGATTTTCATAATAATGCTGTATACTACTGTTAATAGATGCATTTGCAAACTCACATCAGCTTATTTAGACTTGTACTTTTGTTTCCATTTAGAGAAAGAAAAAAGAAAAGAAGAAATCTGGTAGGGTGAGCAAAAATTTTCCATTTTTCTAAACGTTACAATTAAGAGCCAACAAAAAAAGTAAGAATAATTTGTTTAACCTGTATGCTAAAGGTAGCTTAAACTCCAGATGAGTCAAGGAACTTAGAGGTTCTTTGATTGTGAAGAGTGATTTTGTTCTATCACTGACATAAAAAACGGTGCCAACCACCTTATAACGTAGTACATTTTCTGTTGCTATTTAAAGAGAAAGATTGGTGACCATGGCCACATATGTTAACTTGTTGAGCTTTTGTACAGGGAACAAGTGTGACATTTTATATTTTCATATTTATGACTTATGAATATGGCATCTGTTTCTCAGACACTAGATTGATTTCACTAAGTATTTGAGAGACTTTGTAAAAGAAAAACATTCTCGCATCTCACAAGCTTTAATTGTTTTGTGCTTGGTCAAGTATTCATCTTCTTCTTCATCAAGCTCTGATTCTTCCAGCAGTTCTTCTGATTCTGAAGATGAGGTAAGGTTTGCTTATAATGGTTCATGAAATAATATCTCTTAATTTCTTTAATGTCAAGTGGAAACCCATTGTGAAATATCTGTTAGAAATGTTGACTTCCAGGTTTTGATTAATTATCCATAACTTAGAGGACTAACATGAGTGAGTGGTAACTAGGAACTTAAATATTGGTATATAATATATTTTTTAGATTTTAAAATTTGTTTTGTTGACCTAAAAATATCAGTAGAAGAAAATATTTGAAAAATCAAATGCTATTTGACTAGATGCTAGGCATTACATGTGATTCAAATCACTTGATCTTTATAACAGGAAAGTGATGTATTAAGTATTAAGAAAAAAATATAGAAACTGATCCTTTTGTGAAATTTTGTTCACTGATAAAAGTTTTATATTAATAAATGTGTAAATTAGATTTTTGAGACAGAAAGCAAATGTTTCTAAAAATATTTTATGTAGGATAAGAAACAAGGAAAACGGAGAAAGAAAAAGAAGAACCGTTCACATAAATCTTCTGAAAGCTCCATGTCAGAAACTGAATCAGACAGTAAGGTAAATTATTTAAATTATTAATATATTGGATACAAAGACATTTAATTAAGTTTTTCTGCCTAAAGTTGCTCTCAATTTAAAAATAAGATAGTCTGATATTTGTACTTTGATGTTCTATGCCACTTAATTGATATACTTGATAATATCTTGCATGTGACATTTAATAATTCAAGTGCTTTCATATATATATATCTCCATGTCTCCACATTTCCATGGCAACTGACATTATTGTCCCTGTTTTCATAAAGAAGTTAGAGTTCAGATAAAAAGCATTGGCTTAAAATGATACAGCTGGAATTAGAATTAAAAGTTGAGTCTTTATCTTCTAAAATCTGGTCCAATGTCCTTTCTACTATACCGTACCTAAATTTGTTCTGTACTAACCAGGATTGTCAGACACACAGTTGGCTTTCAAACATTACTGGTCAGAAAAAAGTTAAGAAGTTCTCGGAAAAAAGTGTTGATTCCTGAGCCCTACCTCCAGAGTCTGTTTTAGTATCTGATTAGGCTTGGAAACCTACGTCTTTAACAGATGCCCTGTGTGATTCTGATACTGGGGTGTTTATGGACCACAATTTGACAAACACTGTACTAGAGTCTCAGGAAACCAAAGCAGCTGTCTGCATTTATAACAGATAGCTGCCTGCCCCCGTGAGAGATCTTCTGGCAAAATACCTAGCATCTAGAAAGTACTCAGTAAATGTTGGTTTTCTCTTTGTCTTTTAAAGCAGAAGAGCTAGTCTCATGATAATGATAGCTAACATTTATTGAGTGCCTACTATCTGTTAGGCACAATTCTAAGCACTTAATTTATTAACTCATTGAATCTCAACAACTTCAGGAAGTAATTTGGTAATCCGCTTTATGGATAAAGTGGATAAGGAAACTAGGCTTAGGAAGATTAATAGCTAGAACTCAAAGGATTCAAAAGCAGAAATTGTTGCCTCCTCAAATTAGAATACAACTCCAGTACATGTGACCACCATAAGCAAACACAGGCAATGACACGAAGTCCTATTTTAAAATAAGCTGTGTGGGTATTACAGACAGTACTTATCATTTTAAGAGTAAATTTGGTATACAGCCAGATAAAGAAGCCTGTTTGCTTACAAGCAAATGTATACATAACTTATATTTCTCTTAAATTTTCGGAATAATATACTGGGATTGGAGTAGCCTTTTTTCAGTCATAGAGCAAATCACTTTTTGGGTGTTTTTGTCCTTGTTCTGTAATGCTGTGTCCTTGGCATTTAAAATTGATACATATATTTCTTTGTTTAGGATAGTTTAAAAAAGAAAAAGAAGTCAAAAGATGGAACTGAGAAAGAAAAGGTAACTATACTTTTACATTGCCTTAAGATAGTCTGTCATATAATACTTAATTGACTTAAATAACAATAATGTGTATCTCTTTTTAAGAGATATATTTATTTTGTTTTTGTAATATTTTGTTTCAATTTAAAGCAATTTTTAATTTGGATTCATTATTGAAGATAAAGGATCAAAAGAGTATTCTAGGCCAAGAGTTTGAATTTATATAGATTAATGGATTATCTCAGATTAAAAATACAAAATAATGCAGATTAGCAGATTAAACATTTCCTTTGATTTCTTTTTTTCTTTTTCTTTTGAGATGGAGTCTCGCTTTGTCACCCAGGCTGGAGTACAGTGGTGCCGTTTCAGCTCACTGCAACCTCTATCTCCTGGGTTCAAGCGATTTTCCTGCCTCAGCCTCCCTGTAGCTGGGACTACAGGTGTGTGTCACCACGCCCAGCTGATTTTTGTATTTTTAGTAGAGACGGTTTCGCCATGTTGGCCAGGCTGCTTTCAAAACCCTGACCTCAGGTGATGCGCCTGCCTCGGCCTCTCCGTGCCCAGCCTATTTCCTTTGATTTCTTAAACCATTTTGAAGAAGGCCCTTCCAATTAAAGAACATTAATTTCTCTTTCAAATTGAATATACCATAGATAAATATTGAAAAATCTTCTTACTATTGTAAATAAATGTTTTACCTTCATTTATAACTTACCTATATAGTTAAAGCAGAATTTATGCCTACCTTAATTTCTGGTTTACATTTAAAATTGTTATTCTGGTTATTAAAAATAAAAACCTAAAGAGGGCAGTAATAAAACTACAGACCAGTGTCACTAGTTTTTACTCAGAATTTACATATTTTTTTTTTTTTTTTGAGACGGAGTCTCGCTCTGTCGCCCAGGCCGGACTGCGGACTGCAGTGGCGCAATCTCGGCTCACTGCAAGCTCCGCTTCCCGGGTTCATGCCATTCTCCTGCCTCAGCCTCCCGAGTAGCTGGGACTACAGGCGCCCGCCACCGCGCCCGGCTAATTTTTTGTATTTTTAGTAGAGACGGGGTTTCACCTTGTTAGCCAGGATGGTCTCGATCTCCTGACCTCATGATCCACCCGCCTCGGCCTCCCAAAGTGCTGGGATTACAGGCGTGAGCCACCGCGCCCGGCCCATATTTTTTTAATGATAGAAAATGAAACTGAAATTCAGTTTCAGTTTCATTTAATATACCATGGTACACAATGGTATATACCATATTTTAAAGCTAAAATTCAGTATTAATGTATTTACAGTGTTGTGCAACCACCATCTCACTCTCGTTTCAAAACTTTCATCAGCCCATAAAAACACTCCATATCCATTAAATAATCACCACCACTCCCTCATTCTCTAGTAACCTCTAATGGGTATTCTGACTATGGATTTGCCTATTCTGGATTTATCATATAAAAGCAGTCATACAATATGCGACCTTTTGTGTCTTTCAGCTGGCATAGTATTTTCAAATTTCATCCAAGTTGTAGCATGTATCAGTACTTTGGTTTTTTGTATGGCTAAGTAATATTCCGTGTGTGTGTGTGGCGGATTTCGCCATCCATTCATTTGTTGATGGACATTTGGTTTTGTTTCTACCATTTGGCTATTGTAATGATGCTATGGACATTTATAAACACAAGTTTTTGTATGGATGCATGTTTTCATTTCTCTTGGGTATATGCCTAGGAGTGGTTTACATAACAATTTGCAAATAAAAATTAATTTTAAATTTTTTTTAATTAATTTTAAAAACTAACCAGGCGTGATGGCATATGCCTGTAGTCCTAGCTACTTGGGAGACTGAGCCCACAAGGTCATGCCACTACACTTTATCCTGGGAGAGAGAGTGAGACCCTGCATCTAAATTTAAAAAAAAATAAAATTTAATTTAAAAAGACACTTAAAAAAGAAACTGTAATGACCAATTCCAAGAATTCAAGGATAATTTAATATAATTTGCCATATTAACTGATCAAGGAAAGAAACCATATGATTATTTCAGTAGTTGTCAGAAGGATGTGATATAATTCAGCATTAATTCCTGATTTTCAGAACGATTATAAAATAAGTGGTTACCCTCATATTTAAAAAAAAAAAGTATGTGTGAAATTAAATCTGGTAACATAGAAACATGAAATATTAAAACTGAACTGCAATTTTTAAGTACTTAAAATATTAGATACAGAGTAATATACACACATGTAATCAACAAATATTAATATATTTACCAGTTAGAATTAATAAATGATTTACATTGGCTTCAAGTCTTGTTTTATGTATTAAAAAAAAAAAAGAAGAAAAAAGACTGGGCACAATGGCTTATGCTTATAATCCGAACACTTTGGGAGGCTGAGGCAGGAGGATCACTTAAGGCCAGGAGTTCGAGACCAGCCTGGGCAACATAGTGAGAGGCCATCTCTACACAAAGAAAACAAATTAGCCAGGTGTGGTAGTCCTAGTTTCTCCCGAGACTGAAGTGGGAGGATCACTTAAGCCCAGAAATTGGAGGTTACAGTGAGTTATGATCATGCCAGTGCACTCCAGCTTGGATGACAGAGTAAGACCCCCATCTCTAAAAAAAAAAAAAAAAAAAAGTCCCCAAACTATCATTTTTTCCTTTGATATAGCTGATCCTGAAACTAGTGTATGTCTTTCCTATCCACATTTATATACTTTTATTATATTAGTATGTGTTCATAAATAACAGAATATTGAGTTTCTTTTTTTTTTAATTAGTTATACCTACTGGAATGGGAAGAATACTGTGTATTATCAAAATGGTAACATTGTGTTTCCTTCTGAAACTTGTTTCTTTTCATTCAGCATTACTGTTGACATCTATCCTTACTGATACTTTCAAGTTTGTTTCTTTTGCTTATGGTATTCTACTAATTAATCCACCACAATTATTTCTCCGTTCTCCTTTTTATGAACATCTAGATTGTTTTAATTTTTCAGTAATACAAATAGTGCTGCTGTGGATATTTCTTACCCATTTCTTCTTTTCCACAGTTACTGTTTTTTGTTTTTTTGTTTTCCGAGATGGAGTTTCGCTCTGTTGCCCAGGCTGGAGTGCAGTGGTGCAATCTTGGCTCACTGCAACCTCCACTTCCCGGGTTCAAGCAATTCTCCTGCCTCAGCCTCCTGAATAGCTGGGATTACAGGCATGCGCCACCACGCCCAGCTACTTTTTTGTATTTTCAGTAGAGACAGGGTTTCACCATGTTGGTCAGGCTGTTCTGGAACTCTTGACCACGTGATCCGCCCACCTCAGCCTCCCAAAGTGCTGGGATTACAGGTGTGAGCCACCGCGCCCAGCCAGTTTACTGTTAATTTTCTAAAGGATACTTTGGACTGTAATTTCTAAGTTCTAGGATGTGCATACACATTCAACTTACGAACATTTTGCTTGCCCAAGTGCTTGTTATTTTGCATTCTTGCTAGTGTATAAAAATACCCTTGTTTCACATACTTGTCAACCCAGGGAGATGTCATTATTGCAAATTTAATGTATACAAATGGTTGAGCTTCTTAACCTGCTTATTAGCCATTCATATTTCATTTTCTTTGCATTGCTTTTCATAGTCTTTGCCCATTTTTCTGTTGGAAAGAAACAACATTTTCTGGTCCATGGCGTCTCTTTACTTTGTTTTTGTGTCTATTATAATTATATAAAGGCTTTAATTTTAAGTCACATAATCATTGTTTTTAGCCCCTTTATTATTTAAAATTATTCTGAAAGTGCTGATAATAAAATACTCAATTAGAAAATACAGTGGTAGAAAATATCCTCTTTATAGTAGTAACCAAAAAATCTGCAAGAAAATTTTAAAGAAGTAAACAGTACTTATTTGAAGAAAACTATACAAGTCTATTCAGAGACATATATGAAGATTGAATAAATGGAGAGTCATAACGTGTTCCTGGGTATAACTTGCCGTACTGGATATTAAAACATTATAAGAATGTTTTAATTAACACAGTGCAGTACTAGTACAGGAATAGACAAAACAATGGAACAGTGTAGAGTCCAGGTGAAAATTCGAGAATCTGTGGAATGTAATAATATGATAAAGATGGCATTTCTTGGAACAAAATGACTAATCATTTGGAAAATATAAAGCTGGCCACTACATAAAGCCAAATACATCCCAGACAGCTCAGAGATTTCAATGTATGAAAATGCAACTAGAGAAAGGGTGACTATTACAGTACTGGGGTGGGGAAGGCTTATGCCTCAAAACTCAAACTTTTGACCATATATTTCAAATTCTGAATGGCAAAAACTGATTACAAAAATTAAACTGTGAACAAAGTTTAACTACAATGAACAGACTAAGAAAAACTTCTAAGAATGTATAACACAAAAAACTAATGATCTTTAATAAGGAAAAAAGAATACCACACATACACAGACAAATTGGCAAATATACGTTTAGGCAATTCTAAAAGAAAACACAAACTGTATTCTCTGATACGATTGATAAAGAGCCTGAGAGGGAGGCTTCTTGGTAAAGTGTGATTCATAAATGGATGACAGACAGTTTTGGACATGGTGGGAGAAAAAGATGATCATTTGTGTGAAGGCTACGTTGGTCTTTGATTTAGTCATCGTTATTAAAGAGTTTGCACTCACATACACTTCATTCTATTTCAACTTTGTTTTTAATAGCAAAGAACCCATATTTCTTTCCTCCAGAAGGAGATGGGTTAAGTAAATTCTGGCATTTTAGTGAATGTTAAATGCAGCCATAAATGATGTAGTTGGCATGGAAAGATACTATTGGGTGAGAAGAGCAGGTTCCAGACAGCAGGTATTTATGTAATATTGTAAACATACACTTAGAAAGATGTTTCCAAAAATCTTAATGGTGTTTAATTTCTGATAGTGGGATTTGAGTCCATTTTCTTACAGTTAACATTTAACATTTTGGCCAAAATAACAATGCTGTTTGCAGAAACAAAAGGAAGTCTGCTATAATCTAGCCCATAGAGAGATCATCACTGTTAGTTTATTTTCTGCATTTTTGTTTGTCTTCAAAATTAGACTCACGCTATATAAAAAGTTGTACATTCTGAATTTTTTATGTAAGATTAGGTGGTGAACATTTTTTCCATTGGGTAGTTTTGTTTTTGTTATGAACTACTTCAGATATACAGAACAGTTCCATGAAAAATAATAAAATGATAACCAGCATATCCACTATGCAGCTCGAATAAATCTTAACATTTTGTTACACTTGCTTTGGGTGTTGTCATAATTTTTTTTTATTTCTTCAAATATATATTTAAGCCCCTAAGTACTACTCCCAATCTCAGTCCCCTCTCCTTCTCCAGAGTTACTCACTTTTTCAACATTAAAAATACTTAGAGGTTAAGATTTTTTTAAACACATATTTACATTTAACACTTTGCGCTAAAGGAATTACTACATAGAGATTCTTTTAGATCACTGCAAATAATCACCCATTTATTTTCTTTTCTGCAGTACTAGGCCTGTCTAATCCAATCCTGGGTAGAAACAAAAGAATTAGAATACAAAGGAACCAAATCTTACATTATCTGCATATTTCATATGACTGTATAAAGTCTATTCTGTATAATTTAAGAAAATAAGATGGATATTACATCTAAATGGATATGTAGTTATTTCTTTTCAATATATTTAATATTGCTTTAGTGGAATTAAAGACTTAAATCCTGGTAAATGTTACACTTTTTAGACATTCTAAAATAAAAATGGGTAATTATAATAATTAGAAGAATTAAATAGAACTTAGAAACATAAAATGTGTGTGACAAAGTATGTCTGAGTCAAGATAAATGTATTTATTTTTCATAGGATATTAAAGGACTCAGCAAAAAGAGAAAGATGTATTCTGAAGATAAACCTTTATCATCTGAGTCCTTGTCAGAATCAGAGTATATTGAGGAGGTAAGTATATGATCAAATCCATTTTCTCTATTTTAAAATGCTTAGTTATTGATTTAATAAATATGACTTAGAAAAAGAAATACTTCATATTTAATTTATTCACCTTTCTAGTATGAAAAAACAAAATGAAAGTTATTTCATTTCAGAATGAGTTTTGCTTTTTTCCAGAAGATAATTATCTATTATTTTTTATAATTAACTGTATTTCCACATACCTTTCTAATCTGAGATATTTTTAGTCTTCTAATATTTCCTTTTTATTGTGCTACCATTCTTGTTACATGAAAGAAGCTGTGTAACATACAGCATGTTGAAACCAAACATTCTCTTACATTGTTAAAATAGAACATTGCATATACTATCTCAGTTTAGTTGATATTTAGCTGTGTTTTGAGCTACTTTTCGGGGAGTAGAAAGGTGATGAAGTGGAGAAGAAATGTTGGCAGGAAACATATCATATTACTTCGTTGTGAGAACTAAATGAGATGATAAATTACGAAAGGCATTGCATCATACCTGAGACAGAGTAAATGGTGGCTAAAGTTTGCATAATTCTTGGTGTTACAGTAAAATCTAAGCCAAGTTTGCCCTAGAATCATTTATTTTTAAAACTGTAGCTTTCTTTAGCGATCAACATACTTAACCCCCAATAGTGTAATCTAAAAGAGTTGAGGATCTTACCCTTGCTTACAAGGGGTGGTAGCAGATTGCAACAAGAGCTGGTTTTCATGATTCTTTAATCGTTTCCGTATTAGCCTCCTCCTGTATCAGTCCTGCCCAGCTCTATCTCTGTCTACTATATTCCTCATCTCCCCATTCCCTGAGTCTTGCATTTTTGTTTGTTTGTGCCTCTCTCCTTTCTGATTTCATCGTTCTTGGTCTGCAACAGTGGCACTTGGTCCTTTAAGACCTATTGCCCCCATTTTATAGCAATGTCTTGTAATTGCTCCTGAAATGAAAGCTAATGCTGAGGCAAGAAGGTTGCTTGAGCCCTGGAGTTTGAGGCTGCAGTGCACTCTGATCCCACCTGTGAATAGCCACTGCACTCTAGCCCAGGTGACATAGCAAGACCCCATCTCTAAAAAAATAATAATGATAATGTGCAATTTTATGAAATTGTATTTCAGTGTAAATGCCTGAATGTGATTAACACCAGGCCAGGCGCAGTGGCTCGTGCTTATAATCCCAGCACTTTGGGAGGCTGAGGCGGGTGGATCACCTGAGATCAGGAGTTCCAGACCAGCCTGGCCAACATGGTGAAACTCCATCTCTGCTAAAAAAAAAAAAAAAAAAAAAAATTAGCCAGGCGTGGTGGCAGGTGCCTGTAATCCCAGCTACTCGGGAGGCTGAGGCAGGAGAATCACTTGAACCCGGGAGGCGGAGGTTGCAGTGAGCCAAGATTGTGCCATCACACTCCAGCCTGGGCAACAAGAGTGAAACTCCATCTCAATCAATCAGTCAATGCTGTAACACCAGAAGACATAGAATCTTAAGAAAAAACAAAATGCAGGCTGTAGCAGGTGTATATTACATACGCCCTTCAAAAACCATACAGTGGCATTACAGTATATCTTAAAATCCTGCACAAGAGGCTTGGTGCAGTGGCTCAGCCTCTTGTGGCACCTGTAATCTCAGCAATTTGGGAGGCTATGGCAGGAGAATCAGTTCAGACCAGGAGTTACGACCAGCTTGGGCAACATAGCGAAACCCTATCTCTTTAAAAAAATAAAAAAATTTTATTTTTTAAAATTTAGTTTCTGGGCCAGGTGTGGTGGTTCACGCCTGTATCCCAGCACTTTGGGAGGCCAAGGCAGATGGATCACCTGAGGTCGGGAGTTAAAGACCAGCCTGGCCAGCATGGCAAAACCCTGTCTCTACTAAAAATACAAAAATTAGCCAGACATGGTGGCACAGACCCGCAATCCCAGCTACTCAGGAGGCTGAGGCAGGAGAATCGCTTGAACCGGAAAGGCAGAGGCTGCAGTGAGCCGAGATCACACCACTGCACTCCATCCTGGGCAACAGAGCGAGACTTTGTCAAAAAAAAAAAAATTTTAGTTTCTGTATTGTAAACAGATTCATCACATGAATGTTTAGCAGGCTATTCAAAAGTCGTGGAGGATGTACAGGGCTGTTCAGGACATGGCGTGACAGCATCCCTCATCTCTGCCTGGCTAAATATAGATGTAGTACATCTGCTGTCACCCTTAGTCATTGTAATAACAAGAATAACAATAAAAATATTGTTTCCTAGGTGCTCGGTAAAGAGAGCTAGTGAGTTAGTGATCTCTGTTGTGAGCTTGTGATCTCTAGTGCTTAATGTGTTATATTTTTTTTAGTCCTCATGCTTCCTTTTATTGTTAATTGCATTTTTATGTATTTGTCATGTATTTAATGTCGTAGTCACTTAGCAGCAAAACCACGCAATTCAACATTAGGCAAATTTATAAATATTGTTTTGTATGTAATGTATTAGTGTTGTATTATGTTTGTCTGCTACATGGTAGCAAGTTTAATATGAAATATCTCACATTTGGACTTAACATGTAATACGAAAGTTTATGAAAGCTTTGACAACTTTCAGCTTATTTATTCTTATTTTTTTAGAGGCAGGTTCTTGCTCTATCGCCCAGGCTGGAGGGCAATGGTGCAGTCATAGATCACTGCAGCCTGGAACTCCTGGGCTCAAGTGATTTTCCACTTCACCCTTCCAAGTAGCTAGGACTACAGTCACATGCCACCACACCCCACTAATTTTTAACAAAAATTTTTTTGTAGAGGTGAAGTCTTAACTAGGTTACCCAGGCTGGTCTTGAACTCCTGGCCTCAAGCAATTCTCCCACCTTGGCCTATCAAAGCGCTGGGATCACAGGCACCAGCCGCTGCCCCCGGCCTCAGTTTAATTTAAATCCAGTGTACCACACTCAAAAAGATTGAAATAAAATATAAATGGGATGATAATTCTTACTTAGAATTTTAACCTATTGGCTTTATACTAACTACACTGAATATAGAGCTACCATTTGTTGAGCACCATAGAGTGAGAGAAATACCTGCTGTATTTTAGGCACTTCCCCTTGAGGGTGGATATTATCTACATTTTACAGATGTTGAGAGTAAGATAGGATTCAGACCTTGGAATCTATCTCATTTCAGAGCTGATGTTTTGTTTGCCTGTTTTGAGACAAGGTGTCAGTCTGTCGCCCAGGCTGGAGTGCAGTGGTGCAAACAGGGCTCACTGCAGCCTCAACCTCCTGGGCTCAAGTGATCCTCCCATCTCAACCTTCCAGTTAGCTGGGACTACAGGCACATGCCACTGTGCCCAGCTATTTTTTCTTTTTCTTTTTTTTTTTTCTTGGTAGAGATGGGGGAGCTCTCACTATGTTGCTCAGGCTGGCCTTGAACTCCTGGGCTCAAGCAAGCCTCCTGCCTTGGCCTCCCAAAATGCTGAGATTACAGGCAAGAGCAACCACACTCGGCCTAAAGCTGATGTTTTTTTCCACTGTACCACATTTTTTTAGGTGCTGAAAGGGAATATAAGAGAAGCTGTCTAGAGATTTTACGTCTTAATTGTCCTTCCTTTATGTTTTTTATTGAAACCTCATTGAGATATAACAGGAGTTATTTTAAATGTCCTGTGATTGTCAAAATGTTTTTTACATTTAAATTTTGAAGATGCAAGATAGAGAATGAAAGAAAAATGCCTTGAGTACAAATTACATGTTTGTCTTCTGTTCTCCACAAAAATTTAAACTTTCTAGGTGCGAGCAAAAAAGAAGAAAAGCAGTGAAGAACGAGAAAAAGCAACAGCAAGTATCTCTTAACGTTTTTACAGACAATAGAATAGGTGTTTTGGTTTAATATAAAATGAGTCATGGTAAAGCTTGATTGGATTTACTGGGACCAAATAAGTATTTGTTGGGAAAGGTGTGGTGTGTTCAGCAGCTTCACTTAATGGGTAGGAGAAAGTCAAAATGGTTCAGGAAAAATAAAAAATACCCTGGTAGCAAGCATGTCCTGTTTCCATTTCAGTATTTTACTGTTAGAAATATAAGCTCAGGGCTGGGCGCTGTGTCTCACGCCTGTAATCCCAGCACTTTGAGAGGCTGAGGCAGGTGGATCATGAGGTCAGGAGCTCGAGACCATCCTGGCTAACACGGTGAAACCCCGTCTCTACTAAAAATACAAAAAATTAGCCGGGCATGGTGGCGGGCACCTATAGTCCCAGCTACTCGGGAGGCTGAGGCAGGAGAATGGCGTGAACCCGGGAGGCAGAGCTTGCAGTGAGCTGAGATCACGCCACTGCACTCCAGCCTGGGCGACAGAGTGCGACTCCGTCTCAAAAAACATATATATATATATAAGCTCAGGTGGGGCACAGTGGCTCACGCCTGTAATCCCAGCACTTTGGGAGGCCGAGACGGGTGGATTGCAAGGTCAGGAGTTCAAGACCAGCCTGTCCAACATGGTGAAACCCCGTCTCTACTAAAAAAAAAAATACAAAAATTAGCCGGGCGTGGTGGCGGGCGCCTGTAATCCAGCTATTCGGGAGGCTGAGGCAGGAGAATTGCTTGAACCTGGGCAGCAGAGGTTGCAGTGAGCTGAGATCGCCCCACTGCACTCCAGCCTCAGCAACAGAGCAAGACTCCGTCTTAAAAAAAAAAAAAAAAAAAGAAATATAAGCTCAAATTTCTGTTTGACTTCCTTAAGCTACAATATGAAATACGAGAGACCAAAGTATGGTGATTTCTGTTATCTTTGATAATAGTTACTTCCAAATCAGCCAAATCTGGTAATAACAGAAAAAGCCTCTCCAAGCACTAGCTGCAATGAAAAAATAATAATATGACAACATAAATGACTCATTAATAAAGATTCTTTTGATAGCTTTTAAAGCCAAACTCTGCTATTAATGCAAATTGAGAAGAAAAGAGAAAGAAGAGGCGAATTAAGGAAAATAGAAGTAGTATCCAAACAAGAAACAGATCAACCAAGAGAAAATGGTTAACAGAGATTATTTTCAAAGAGTAATGCCAACAATATCAGCAAAGTAATTTAGGGGCCCTCAGTATAAATGTGAGCTATGACCTTTGAAGGCATTTTCTTAGGGAAAGGTGAAAGAAAAATGAAAACATCATCATTTGTAGGTTTCAGTAACCCCTTCCCAGAATTTTCCTGACTCTTAAAACGAGGTACCTTCTCTGATAGGAAGGCTCCCCTAGTAATGATTCAGAAATAACATTTTATGTGCTCCAAGCCTACGATGACGAATAAGTTTTTGTTTGTTTGTTTGTTTGTTCTGAATGTGAAAGTAGTTTGGGTGAAGATAGCTTTGGTCTGTGGTTCGGATTAATTAATTAAGACATAACCAAATAAGTATTTGCATACTTTCACTGTTTCATGCTTTCAGCTAGTGTGTATGTATGAAGCAACTCTATGCAGGCACTTTTCTAAGTCTTAAGAGTACAAAAGAGTATGAGATAGAAGAATATGATACGTGAGAGAGATACTGTGGGGACGGGCTCATGAAATCCTCGCTGAGGAAGTGAAATTAAGCTGAAATCTGATTTACAAGAAAGAGCCAACCATGTGAATATCAAAGGAAAGAATATCCTAGGCAGAGGGAAGAGCTCTTAGAGACCTATAGTGAGAATAAGCTTGATATATTTGAGGGACTAAGAGAAGGTAAGTGGCTTAATGCCTGGTGGGGAAAGAGGAATGCCATACAATGAGGGTAGGAAGTAAGCAGAGGCTTACTTACATTACACAGCAGAGTGTGTTTTCATCAGAATGTTATAAGAAGCTGTTCTGAGGGTTTTAAACAAAGAGGTGACCTAAATATTTTACATTTTGTAAATCCTTTGGTACAGGAGATAAGTGGGCACAAGTGAGGAATGATGTTTGTACAGCAGTGATAGTAATGGAGTTGGACTGGCAAGGATGGATTTGAGATACATTTTGAACTTAGATGGTAAGACTTGCTTGGTACTTTGAATGCGGACATTGGAGTTAAAGAGCAGAATCAGAGATAGCTTAGATTCTTTGACCTAAGCAAAATGACAGATAAGTAGTGCCAGTTACTAAGATGGCTGAGGATTTGGAGAGAAAAATGAAGCATTTTGTTGTGCTAATTTCAGATATGCCTACGAGACATCCCAGGTAGAGCTGTTAATGAGGCACTTATCGTCCTGAGGTCAAAGAGTAGGACTGAATATAAAGATTTGGGCATCATTGGTTTTAAGTGGAATGTAAAGCATGTGACTGGGAGAGTATGTGGTAAACAATGGAAGGAAGCCCCAGAAAAGCCAGCCAGAGGAAGAAGAGCCAGCAAAGGAAATGAAGAGGTCTTTGTGATAGAAGAAAACCAGCAGAGAGGTGTCATGGAAGCTAAGAAGAAAATGATTTTTAGAAGAGAGTGCTCAGCTGTCCTTTTATGAAAAAGCAACCTATACCCAAAACTTAGTTTTAAAAGCCCAAATTACAAGATTTTGGACTCTGTAATATTCCCTATGTACTTCAAACATGTAGTGAGAAAAGAATGTTGAAAATTAGCTTAGTGCCACAGAGTGGTAGAGGCCTTTGAGAGAGGGGAGAGTAGATAGTGCTGATAGATAGGAAATGGATAGGAAGCTCTGCTGTTACCATCCTTATAGGTCTCTTCTTTTTTGCTTTTCATTTTCTTCTCTTGAATATCAGTACACTAGCAGCAGTCTCTCATTTGGTACCACCTTTCCAAGTATCTGTGTTTCTAAAAGTTCTGCGTTCTATAACAAAAATAGGAGAGTCAGACTTCAGCAAAACTCCAGCTCCCTTCAATCCACTCACAGTTTAACTACTTCTACCGGGCATTAGTGGCATTTTCTTCTAAAAATCAGACATCTGTTTTGCTTAACAAAGTAGACTTTTTAACTATACATTGATACTTTGTACTAATTAGTTGATTTTAATTTAATAATTTAATAATTAATGACAGCAACTTCAAGTAGTGCTGCCAGTCTGAGCAGTACACAATGCCTGTGTACCTATTTACTTAAAACTGGCAAATTTAATATCTCTGTTCTGTCTGAAAACTATTTTACAAAAACAATTATGTTTTTATTTGGTTACTCCATTCCAGTAACTGCAATTACTTTACCTTTAGAAGTTATATAGCATGAAATAATAGTGATTGGTAGCATGATTCAATTGAATTTATTTCCTACAGGAAATTTTGTTAGAAGTTATGTTAATATGCTAATGACTTAAGAGTTTCTCCCTATCTTTTTGAAAATCGACAAGAACTGTTTTAGTCCTCATATGATACTGGTTGTTGAGACTTTTTGAGGAATGTTTTGAGTAGTTTTCTTGGTTGTGTGGATTGTTTGGAATTATGTGGTAGCTTAGAAGCATGGTAAAGATGCTTTTAATTTGCGTATTTTTATATAGTAATGTCTAACATGGAATTATCTTTACAGGAAAAAACAAAAAAGAAAAAGAAGCATAAGAAACACAGTAAGAAGAAGAAAAAGAAGGCTGCTAGTTCAAGTCCTGACTCACCATAACATTAAGAAAAATCAGGATTCCCTTATAAAGAAAGTGCAATGTCTGAGGAAATTTCAACTGTGAAAACTACAACATATTTACTAAAATGCATGAATTTTCTTGTTTTTGGAATTATTCCTGGACTATTCAGTAGCCACTCAGATGCCACTGTGTGAAAGGGCCATAAATGTTGCCTGCTGCTTGAACATCTATTTTTTTCTCTTCCAGTGCTTGATAACTCTGGGAGATAATACACTGCAGTCGTACTAGTGGTTAAGATATTTGGGAATAAAATTAATACTTTTGACTAGAAGCGTCTAAGGATAAACCAACAGAAATTGAATCTGGATACATCTTTAAGATGTAATCAGAAATGACCAGATGACTCTAGTTAGAATTTTTGAAGGAGGGATTACATTAATATTTCAAAACCCTTACTCTGTAGATAAGTGTATTTTAATTTTTTCCCCTCGTATACTTTTATTTACCTGGGGAAGGAGCTTTTAGGGTTGGGGGGTGGTTTGCTATCTCTTTAGCTAGCAGAATAGTGTGCCTTTGATCCTCACACATCCTGTATTATGGACACAGTAGCCATGCTTCACGGGGAGGTCAGAGCTGGCTACCAGCAGTCTTGCCCTTTACTGAGCTTAGTGTCATCTTTGGATGCTGTCATATGCTGCTTTGAGTGAACCAGAGAAACAGCCATTTGCAGCATGAGAAAGCCCCAAAAGCTCTGGGATTTACCTCCACTTTAGTAATAATGAATATTTTTTAGCATTAGAATGTGTTATGTCATTTGAATTAATTTTGACTACACTTTGGCTTGGGAGAGGAATTATTTTAAATAGACATTGGTACTTTTTGAACTTGATAGCTAAAGATTCTAAAATGCATGTTTTATACTAAGTTTTAACCAGTCAGGAAAATTTTATGTAACTAGTGATAGTTTATTTTTTTGTATGAATTTTGTTTAGGCTGCAATGTTTAGCTTTTGTTAACTCCTCACTCTTGCTGTCTTAAGTTCATTACTATGTTTAATGGCCTACTTGCCAAGATATTTAGCATGTAAAAAGCAGGGTTTTGATTAAAAAAAAAAAACGGCTTCATATTGAAGCTGAGACTTACAATAACAAGTTGAGTGGCAAGCCTGGTATGCTGTGTCTTATTGCCAGAATCTTAGTAAATGTAATGTTTTAAAAGTTTGTTGTCTTTGTATATTAATAACAAATTATGACAAGTTAAGTTTAAATAAGAGTTACATTATTGCTCTCCCTGTGTCATATTTTACTAAGATTTTGTGCCTCATGTCTACTGCTGAATTGTTTACTAGGAATGTTAAAAGGAATTGATAATTCATTTTCATTTTACATTTTTATATAATCAGGTAACATGACATACAACTTGATGTACAATTTTGCCTGTTACAAAGGGTGTGCTAATTATAGTGGTATATGCACAGAACATGTTGGCATGACAACAGGCTGAATAAATAGCTATTTTACTTAAAAATAGCTGTGTTCTTATCAGCTCCCTTTGGACTGCAAGTAAACTTACAAAGATAAACACTCCTAGATGTTAAGCTGGAAATAGATAAGACATGTCCCTAAATTTTTAGCTATTAAAAAAACACATATCTTGGTTTCTTATACTCAAAGCTGCATGCTATTTCCTAATAAAAGATATCTGTATGCTTTTGAATACACAGAAAATTCAAGGGACATTTTGCATCCAAAAGGAAGTTTCCTAGAATTGTTGTTCATGAAAATGCCAGAAGATAAGTTGATCAGATTACATGGTCATCACTTTTGTTACGACATGGAAGTGCAGGTTTACAGACTAGTCCAATAGGTATATAAAGATTGTATTCCACTAGAAGCAACTGTTCATTTTATTAGACGGGGAAGAAGGTGATTTGGTGAAAAACTATATTCTTTCCAGAATGTGTTAACTGTCTGGGCAACACTTTTTTCTAGTCCTCTGTTGGTAGCCTTAACAGCCTCCTAACAAAGTATGGAAAGAAAAGAAAATTTGACAGAATAATTTTTTAATTTTTTTATTTTTTTTTATTTTTGGCGACAGAGTCTCACTCTGTTTCCTGGGCTGGAGTGCAGTGGTGTGATTTCAGCTCACTGTAGCCTCGACCTCCCAGGCTCAAGTGATCCTCCCACCTCCATCTCCCGAGTAGCTGGGACTTCAGGCGCACACCACCATGCCTGGCTGATTTTTTTTATTTTTTATAGAGATGGGATTTCACCATGTTGCCCAGGCTGATCCCAAACTCCTGGGCTCAAGTGATCCACCCACCTCTGCCTCCCAAAGTACTAGGGTTACAGGTATGAGCCACTGCGCCTAGCTGACAGAGTCATATTATCAGTTATGTTTATTCCAAAGTTATTACCCTGTGCAAGTTACTAACATCTCTTCCTCCCTTCCAAACTACCCTTTTTCTTGACAAACTTTACACCAATTTTTTACAAATACAAGGCATGTTACTAGGATAACGGTACTGGAATAACTGCCATAAATCTGTGGATGTTCCAGATAGAAAAATTGGCTTTATACTCATGCTACCTCTTTGTAATTGTTTGGATTCCTTTGGCTGCCCTTAGTATATTTAGTTGTTTTAAATACCATTAGAGTGTCCTGAATTTATTTTAACTAGAATACAGATTTACATTCCTTCAATCAAGTTGTATTAAAAACCTATTGCTTAATTTTCTGACATTTCATGGAGACCCATAGACAAGGCTCACAGAAACCAAGTGAGAACAGCTATTCTTCAAATTTAAGTGACAGGGTTCATAGTTTTTTAAAAATTGCTACTTTTTAACTTAAAGTCTATGAATACTCATTTATTTATTTGCTTAAGAAAAGTTTTGAGAAACCTTTTTTCCCCCCAACTGTATTTAATGATAGATCACTGCATCCTTGACTTCCCAGGCTCAAGCCAGCCTCCCACTTCAGCCTTCCCAGTAGCTGGAACCTGTGACAGGCATGCACCGCCACACCCAGCTAATTTTTTTTTTTTTTTTTTTTTTTTTTTTTTTTTTTTTGTAGAGACAGGATCTCCCTATGTTACCCAGGCTGGTCTCAAACTCCTGGGCTCAAGCAGTCCTCCCACCTCAGTTTCCCAAACTGCTGAGATTACAGGCATAAGCCACCACGCCCAGCCTTTGCTGTATTTTAAATTTTGGTTTTATGTTTCATTTAAAAGTTAGTAAGAATCTAGTGTCCTAAATTCTAAAAATCACTTTAATACATTTTCTTGCCTTACCACAGTGAAGGCCAGCAGACATAGATGACATGTTTGTTCTCTCTACCAGGATTTTACAATCAACAAGTTAGAACAGTTGACATTTTAGTCAGCTTTGGCATAGTCACACCATGTTATCCTACCAGTCAACCCAATCAAAGTTGGAGGGGTAAAAGTGAGTTTTTAATTTTTCTAGAAGCTCCCAGATTGAAGCTTCTGTTTGGATATCATAAAAGGGTGCTTGGTTAGAGTTTGGAGGAGGTTGTAACCTTTGAAGGAGCTGCTGATAGCCTGGGAAATTACTTCCAGCTTAATAAGGTATTTGTAACTTATTTAGTTATTATGTGTTCAAATATGTTTTCAACTGTTCTGTTGGTGCTGAAGGAGTATAAATGGTATCAAATACCACTTGAAGTGGTGTTTAGCCCCAAAGAAAAGATAAATGTTGGAATTGCTATAAATTTTTAAATCACGTTAGCTGGGTGTGGTGGCTCGTGCCTGCAGTCCCAACTACTTGGGAGGCTGAGATGGAGGGTGGATTGAGCCTGGGAAGCTGAGGCTGCAGTGAGCTATGATTGTACCACTACACTTTAGCCTGGGCAGTGTGACACAGCAAGACCCTGTCTAAAAAATAAAAATAGGCCGGGCACGGTGGCTCAGGCCTGTAATTCCAGTACTTAGGGAGGTGGAGGTGGGTGGATCGCTTGAGCCCAGGAATTCGAGACCAGCCTGGGCAACATGGCAAAATCCCATCTCTACAAAAAATGCAAAAGATAAACCAGGTGTGGTGGTGCATGTCTGTAATCCCAGATACTCACGAGGCTGAGGTGGGAGGATTGCTTGAGCCCCAGGAGGTGGAAGTTGCATTGAGCTGAGATGGCACCACTGCACTGCATCCTAGGCGATGTGGCAGAGCAAGACCCTGTCTCAGAAAATAATGAATTTTTAGATCACAGAAACATTAATGAAATTACCATATTCGGAGTGGTAGCAAACATTTCATACTTTTCCAGTTACTTGAGAACCTTCTGTGTTTGGTTGCTGGGATGTTGCCATGGTCACATGCCATGTTGGGATTGGAGTAACGAACTTTGGAAACAGTGATAGCTCAGGATGTCCAGGCTTGAAGCTAAGCTATCTGGAAATTCTGGAGTTGTTAAAGCCACACGACATGGACCAGAAGGCTCTGAAGAAACTGGTAGAATCCATCAGTGAAACTGTCAAGAACTGTAAGTACTGACCAGACTTCCAGTGCTGCCTGAACATCTTGATTCACAGAAATGTTTAAAAAGCAAAAAGATGAGGATATATTAAAAAGATACAGGAGCCAACCTGAAAACTGCCAATGGCCAAAGCCGGAACAACTTGAGCAACAAAGTAACATAGTATTGAAAGGCGTCTTAGTCTATTTGGGCTTCTGTAACAAAATACCATAGACTGGATGGTTTATAAGCAACAGAAATGTAGTTCTCACAGTTCTGGAGGCTGGGAAGCCCAAGGTCGAGGCCGATTCACTGTCTGGTAAGGAAGGGCCTGCTTTCTGGCTCATGGATGGCACTCCCTTGCTGTGTCCTCACCACAGTGGAAGAGACTAGCTAGCTCTGTGGGGTCTCTTTATAAGAACACTAGGCCTAGCTGCCACTGCCTCCCAAAGGCCACACCTCCTAATACCATTAGCTTGGGGGTTAAAATTTCAACATGAATTTGGTGGAGGCCAGGGAGGGGCCTAAACAGACCATAGCAGTGTATAACCAGTGGTATAAAATAAATACATGTGACTTAATACTGATTAAATAATAGTAATAAATGGAAAAGAAGAATCTTCCTTATGGAAGAATTCTAAATAATAATATAGATACCACTTCCCAGGAAGTGGAGCTTAATTCCCTTCTTGAGTGACTGGCTTCAAAAGAATAGATTGTGGAAAGAGAAAAACAGTAAGTACAGTGGAGAGAGCTGGCAGACTCTAGCTTAACCAAACAATCAAGTTTAACATCCATAGTGATATGTCATGCTGAGATTATGTTTCCCTTTACATGTGATTAGAGCAGCACTTTACGTCTGTGGTTTTATTCCTCAAAACACATAATCACAGTCTAATCTTGAGAAAAACAGGCAAACACCCAGATGTGATGGCATGCACCTGTAGTCCTAACTCCTGGGGAGGCCTTGAGGCAGGAGGATATTTTGAGCCCAGGAGTTGGAGGCTGCAATGAGCTCACACCACTGCTCTCCAGCCTGGGAGACACAGCAAGACTCCATCTCTTAAAAAATAAAAAGAAAAAAATAATTTAAAAAAACAAAATGATGACCATTCCATTCTACAAAATAAATCCAAAACTGTCAGGTTCATGATAGGCAAGGAAAGATTGAAAGCTATCACAGGTTGGAGGAGGCATGACAACCAAATATGGTATCCTGGACTGAATTCTGGGATCAAAAAAAGGATGTTAGTGTAAAAACTGTGGAAATCCAATTAAAGTCTATAGTTTAATGTACTAATGTTAATACATTAGCTTTGACAAATGTACCATGGCTATGTAAGACATTAGCATTAGGGAGAAACTGGGTGAAAAGTATATAGGAACTCTTTGTAATACCGTTGCATCTCTTATGTAAATTTAAAATTATTCCAAACTAAAATGGGTCAATTTCTATTATCTCAACACCATCCTCATTATTGACCCATTGTTTCTCAAATATCATTTACAATGGTTTCTTTTCTCCTTTTCTTTTTGAGACAGAGTCTCACTTTGTCACCCAGGCTGGACTGTAGTAGTGGTACAAACACATCACACTGCAGCCTCGACCTCCCTAACTCAAGCCATCATTTCACCTCAGCCTCCCAAGTAGCTTGGGCCTACAGACATGTGCCACCACACTCAGCTAATTTTTGTATTTTTTGTAGAGATGGGATTTCATTATATTGCCCAGGCTGGTCTCAAATTCCTGAGCTCAAGCAATCTGCCCAACTCTGCCTTTAGAAGTGCTGGGATTACAGGCATGAACCACCATGCCTGTCCTTACAATGGTTTCTTGTGCAAGGTCTTTAGATATAATGAAACATGAGACACACTGATAAAATTCAGGAAAAGTTACCTTATTATTTGCTGCAGATTGTATCTAAAATCTTTGATTGCTTTGTTGGATGACTTGTCAACATTTGACTCTCAGAGAAGCTCCTGACTCTTATTCTTCCAACCTCTCTTTTCTCGGGCTTCCATTTTCACACCACTATTGGTGCTAACATTTTCCACTCAGATAATAACTTTCTACCAGAGTGGAGCAGGATCTCTTTCAGGCAAGCATTAATACACTATACTCTATATAATGCATCTACACCTGAGCTTCCTTTTTCTTCATATTCCAAACAAGAAAAGACTTTCCAAGTTTTTGTCCTCAGAGCAGCTGCGTCCATTTTATGACCTAGTCTTGTAAATCACAGAGCCTCATTTTCACTATATTCTATTGGTTAAAACAGTCACAAAAAGCCCCCTAGTTTTAAGGGGAGAAGACATAGACCCCATCTCTCTAAGAGAGGAGTACCAAAGTCACATTGTAAGAAGAGCATGTTCAATGGGATACATTGATATAATCATCTTTAGGAAAATACAAACTGCCTCATCAGGATTCACCATTAATAAGGTAGTTTCAATAACCTACTGCCAGGCGGCCAGGCACAGTGGCTCACGCCTGTACTCCTAACCCTTTGGGAGGCTGAGGCAGGCGGATTACATGAGGCCAGGAGTTCGAGACCAGCCTGGCCAACATGGTGAAGTCCTATCTCTACTAAAAATATAAAAATTAGCCAGGCATGGTGGTGGGCACCTGTAATCCCAGCTACTCGGGAGGCTGAGGTAGTAGAATCACTTGAACCCAGGAGGCAGAGGTTGCAGTGAGCTGAGATCATGCCACTGCCCTCCAGCCTGGGTAACAGAACAAGACTCCATCTCAAAGGAAAAAAAAAAAAAAGAATCTACTGCCAGGCTGGGCACAGTGGCTCACACCTGTAATCCCAGCACTTTCAGAGGCCAAGGCAGGAGGACTGCATGAGCCCAGGAGTTGTAGACCAGCCTGGCCAACATAGTGAGACTTCATCTCTACTAAAAATTTGAAAGTTAATGGCCTTTAGATGGAGCAACTTGGGTGGAGCTGGAGGCCATTATTCTAAATGAAGCAACTCAGGAATGGAAAACCAAATATCACATGTTCTCATAAGTGGGAGCTAAGCTATGAGGATGCAAAGACATAAGAATGATACAATGGACTTTAGGGACTCTGTGGGAAGGGTGGGAGGAGGGTGAGGGATAAAAGACTACATACTGGGCACCATGTACCCTGCTCAGGTGATGAATGCACCAAAATATCAGAAATCACCACTGAAGAACTTATTCATGTAGCCAAAAACCACATGTACCCCAAAAACTATTGAAATAAACTTTTTAAAATTAAAATTAGCCAGACATGGTGGTGTGCACCTGTAGTCCCAGCTACTCAAGAGGCTGAGGCAGGAGGATCTCTTGAGCCCGGGAGTTCAGGGCTGCAGTGAACTATCATTCACATTACTGCACTCCAGCCTGGGTGACAGAGAAAGATCCTGTGCTAAAAAAAAAAAAAAAAAAAAAAAAAAAAAAAAAAAAAAAAAAAAAAATCATATAGTGTAATCCTTTTTTTTTTTTTTTTTTTGAGACAGAGTTTCACTCTTGTTGCCCGGGCTGGAGTGCAATAATACGATCTTGGCTCGCCGCAACCTCCGCCTTCCAGGTTCAAGCGATTCTTCTGCCTCACCCTCCCGAGTAGCTGGGATTACAGGCATGTGCCACCACACCCAGCTAATTTTGTATTTTTAGTAGAGATGGGGTTTCTCCATGTTGGTCAGGCTGGTCTCAAACTCTTGACCTCAGGTGATCTGCCCGCCTCAGTCTCCCAAAGTGCTGGGATTACAGGCGTGAGCCAGCGTGCCCGGTGCCACTTTATGCTTTTAGAGACTGAAGGAATCTTAGAGATCATCCAGGACAAAACCTAAGTGTTATAGGTGAGGGCAGTGAGGCATAAAGAAGCTGTATGACTTGTGTAAGTCTCTCAGTTATTTAGGATAAGAAATGGAAGTGGAACCCAGGGGCTTATTAAGTCTTGTATCCCCAGCCCACGAAGTCTCACCTGTTGGTTCTCAGTCCTGACAGTGCATCAGACACTTGTGCACTTGTTCAAAATAGCATTTTACTAAGTCTGGAGTGAGAACCAGGTATGTGCATATTTAAAAATTTCCATTTGAACACTGCAGATCTGATCGGTCACAAAGCCTGACTGAGTTTCTGCAGCATCTCAGGCTCCCTCCCAGCTTTCTGTCTTTATTTCCACCTTTCTATCCCAAACCCTACGCCTCCAAGCCTGGCTTCCATGCTTCCAGCTTTCCTACTTCAATAGATTTTCCTAAACCACTTTGTACTGTTATGGCCCTCTCCTGTTCCGAAATGTTCAGTGGCTTAACCCAAAGATTCTCAACTCCTAGGGCATAGAAGTTGAGCTCTTGTTCAAAAGCTAATTCCTGGGCCTGCTGTTAACAATTCTGGTTTAGCAGATTTGGGGCAAGTTCTGGGAAACTGCAAGCATGGGGCAGTGGAGAAGGGGTTAATTCTCATACAGATGGTCTAAAATGACACTGCTTCTGTATAGTAAATATTAATCTTCTGACCAGGCATTGAAGGCCCTCCACCATCAGCCTATCCTCTTGAACCTTGCTGTTCTCTTCTTCCCAACTCCTTGCTATGCTCATTATGCTTCCAGTAAGGCACGTTCTATTTCAATCCTAAAATTCTACCTCTTTCCTTTACTCATGTCATCCTATTTTCCTAGAATTTTCCTCCTCTTTACCACCCTCAACACATTTCTTCCTACATAGATACTACGCATCCTTCAAGGCTCAGTTCACAGTCTAGTTCTCCCATGAAAATGGCCCAACTCTTTTCCCATACTGATTTTTCTTTCTTCACATGTCTATAGTGGTGAACGTTATCTTACATGATTTAGCAGTTGCATACTGTCTTAGGAAATTTCTAAGTGAGGCTCACATTAATTGTGTAAGCTCTTTAGTAACTAGTCCATATCATATATATATTTTTCTATCAGAATACCTAGCATCATAGGAACAAAATAGCTGCTAGTAAGATATATTTCACTGGATTGAATAACTTAATGATTAAAGCTAAGTTGTATTTATTTGCCTTTTCATTTTACAGCCAAAAAAAGTGAGCTAGAGTGTCTCATAAGACTTTTCCACAGCTTAGTGGGAAGAGCTGATGGAAGATTTGGAAACACTGGGCTAGATCGTAACGCTTTTCGAGGGGTCCTGCACAATGTATTAGGAATGACTGATGACATGTTGATGAATAGGGATAAGAAGTCATAAGAGACTAAAAACAGCCGATCTGAAATAGCAGACTACTCATATTCCATTTTCATGAAAGACTTTGAATTTTTTTTTTTTTTTTTTTTTTGAGATGGAGTCTCACCCTGTTGCCCAGGCTGGAGGGCAGTGGCGCTATCTCGGCTCACTGCAACCTCTGCCTCCCGGGTTCAAGCAATTCTCCTGCCTCACCTCCCGAGTAGCTGGGACTACAGGCACGTGCCCCACACCTGGCTAACTTTTGTATTTTTTAGTAGCGATGGGGTTTCACTATGTTGGCCAGGCTGGTCTCGAACTCCTGACGTCGTGATCTGCCACCGTGCCAGGCCTGAATTTTTTTAACTCCGAACTAGAAAGGCATAATACCAGAAGTGTAGTGCTGCAAACATAATTAGTTTGATCGTGAGGATAGTTTTCAATACAAACTCACTCAGAATTTCATACCTCATAGGTGTACAGCTTTGAGAAATAACCAATAGGGCCAGGCGTGGTGGTTCACACCTGAAATCTCAGCACTTTGGAAGACGGAGGTGGGCAGATAACAAGGTCAGGGTATCGAGACCATCCTGGCTAACACAATGAAATCCCATCTCTACTAAAAATACAAAAAATTAGCCTGACGTGGTGACGGGCGCCTGTAGTCCCAGCTACTCGGGAGGCTGAGGCACGAGAATGGCGTGAACCTGGGAGGCGGAGTTTGCAGTGAGCCAAGATCGCGCAACTGCACTCCAGCCTGGGCGACAGAGCGAGACTCCGTCACACAAAAAAAAAGAAAAAAAAAGAAAAAAAAAAGATATGCAGTTTGTAGCTTTTAATCATGATGTCTTTAGATTCACATGCTGTAGACATGTAAATTACTAAATGGCTTCTTTTTCCTCATAAAAATGAACATGTATCAGTTAGTATAAAAAATGGTAATGACTCATCATATTGAAAAAAATCAAAGATCATATCTTTAAAATAAAAAATTATTTAATGTGATCCAGTTAATTTCAGTAACAGATTTTTTTTTTTTTCCGAGATGGAGTCTCGCTCTGTTGACCAGGCTGGAGTGCAGTGGTGCAATCTCAGCTCAGGCAACCTCCAACTCTCGGGTTCAAACAATTCTCCTGCCTCAGCCTCCGGAGTAGCTGGGATTACAGGCGCCTGCCACCATGCCCAGCTAATTTTTTGTATTTTTAGTAGAGACAGGGTTTCACCATGTTGGCCAGGCTGGTCTCGAACTCCTGACCTCAGGTGATCCGCCCTCCTTGGCCTCCCAAAGTGCTGGGATTACAGGCGTGAACCACCGCACCCAGCCAGTAATAGATTTTTAAGATAGAATTTGGTAAGTTTTGACGCATGTATACACCTATGAAACCATCACCACAATCAAAATGATTAACATATTCATCATCTCAAAAAGAGTAAATATCTTATTTTTATAGGCTAATACTAAAGTTTCCCATTTTAAAAATAATGTATTATTTTAGTAATTTACCTTTAAGTATTGTGCAAACTCTTTAGAACATAATTTTTGCCACTTTTTTTTTTAGAATAAGCATTATCCTATTAACTCCACTGTGTGTCTCCTTGGCTCATAGTAACTGTATAAAACATCACAAACGAAACTCATCATTGCTCATGATGGAGAATGTCTCTTTTCTTTCTTCAAGAATACAGCGGAAAACACATTTCCTGTAATTTTGATTCTTTCAAGAAGACTGTGCCAAAACTTCTCCCCCTCAATTTGGGAGAAACATTTTTCTATCCATACTTACATACTGTTGAATTACAAAATAGCACTAAATTACAATACAGTTACGCATTCTTTTTCTTTCAGTGTTTTTTGCATTTGACAAAGACCATGATAACTACATAAAAGTAAAAGAGTGGGTTAAAGGATTATCAGTGTTTCTTCAAGGAACGTATGAAGAAAAGCTCAAGTGTAAGATTTCTGTATGTGATTACTGGCTTAGTAATATATAGTCAATTTTGGACTTAGTGAATGCTTACATGTTTAAAAATATAAAATCAGTGTTCTTTATAGCAACCTTGCAGAAATAGTTCATGACAGCTTAAAAAAAAAAAAAGCTGATGAAATGGGTGGCAGAATTGTAAGGTCACGGAAGAGTCCCCAGCCCCAAACATTTCCTTCACTGGTTCTGGGATGCCGAAATGTCATCACCAGGATGGGTCTTTGGCTTATGGCCCATGCTAAGAACAACAGCTAAGGGTCAGGGCTTGTGCCAACTCTGATCAGCTGGTAAGACTGCATTTCCGAGGCTGCCTCTGAGGCAGGAAACGGGCCTTGCACATGGCAGTGCATGTATTATGGAGGGGTAATTCTTTGACTTTTCTTTGACATTTATGAATTTTTTAGTTTCTCTGTGTTGTACTTTTTTTCTCCCACTCTAACTTTTCATGAGATAAGATAATTTTTAAATATAGTTTCCAGCTGGGTGCAGTGGCTCACTCCTGTAATCCCAGCACTTTGGGAGGCCAAGGTGGGTGGATCACTTGAGGTCAGCAATGCAAGACCAGCCTGCCAACATGGTGAAACCTCCTCTCTACTAAAAATACAAAAAGTAGCTGGGCATGGTTGAGCTTCCCTGTAATCCCAGCTACTGGGGAGGCTGAGGCAGGAGAATTGCTTGAACCCAGGAGGCAGAGGTTGCAGTGAACTGAGATCACACCACTGCACTCCAGCCTGGGTGACACAGTGAGACTCTGTCTCAAAAAATAATACATAAATAAACAAATAAATAAATAAATAAATATAGTTTCCACTGCAGTGTTTTATACCAAAGTCTCACTTAGGAGTGAAAAGTTGTTTTCTGAATGTAAATTCTTGTAATGCTAATATCTGGTGAAAGTGGTCTTGACACTGAATGCAGCTGTACATGGTTGAACAGCCTCCCGTTATCAAAAAAATTTTCCTTCTCTAATCTCACTTCTTAAAAATGTTTCATATACACTTAAGTTAATTTTGAGAAAATACTACTTTCTAGTCAGGTTGTATTGCAAACTCATATGTATGCTACAGATTGAAGAAATTCAACAGAAAGACCCAACTAATCTGCTAATCTGGAGTTTTATTCCTACTTTTGCTAAAACATTTGATTATAAACCCCACAAAAGCTCCTTCACTGTGGGACTCCTTTATTCACAAATGACCTGAGTGAGATCATTTGTGGGATGAGTGAGTGAACTTTGGTGCTTATAAAGATCATGGAAAGCATGATCTTAAGCTCCATGATTATAAGTCATGGCAAGCATTCTCCAGGGAGAGGTTATTCGATAATTTTGGATAGTGCAGATGAGCAGACACCAAGGACATTACTGATTCACCATCCAAATACATCCAAAAATGTTCTTTGTCAGCGATACAGTGAAGGGTGTACTTCGTTTTTGCACTCTATGTAAGAAGAGAATCATAATACTGATATAGATACACACATGCATATACATGTATGTATATATATGTATTGCATGATCAAAGGTTTAAAAACTTCATCTCAAAGCTCCTTGATTGCAGCTTCATATCATTTTTAAACCTTCAATATAAAAATCCAGAAATTATGTTTTTCATTTCATATCCCAAGGAATATTTAATCTGATAGAAAAAAATATAAAGAGTGCTTTATTCTAAAATCTCTCTACCATATAATAAACTAGTCATTGCGTGGAATATAAATTGTTTTTGTCTTTTAGTATCATAAATTGAAATAACTAAAGAGAAGACTAATGACACTTTAACTGCTGTTATTCAAATCTTTAAACTTCTTATGCTTTAAAAAGTCTGTTTCAAGTTTATTATTTGAATGGAGATGGTTACATTTCTTGAGAGCAAATATTTGACATGTTGAAGAACAGTCTACACCAACAGTCATCTGAAGAAGAGACTGATGAAGGAATTAAAGAATCGGTAGATATAACACTGTAGAAAATGGTAAGAATGAAAAATTACAATTCATTTTTGTTAGATAAAGCTAAGGAAATGATTTCTTTTCTTCCATAATGAATGCAGCCTTTATGAGTGCAGGGGTTTTTGTTTGTTCCTGACCTAACTATTGCCTAGAACAATGCCTGGCTGATAGTGGTGCTCAACAAATATTTATAGAATAGCTGGGCAACTAAATGAATCACTATACAAAATGAATGTTTATTTTGTTATTTTTAAAAATTTTACTCAGTAAAACCTCATTAGTTTAGGGGGAGACCAGATGCAATGCATGTACAATTGGATGCTACTCTATTTTGTCTTTATGACCTAACTCCTCCAATCCACCTACATATTCATTATAATACAATAACATAATAATAAAAATAGTTGACCCCTCTAGAGTGCTTTCTAAATGCAGGACCCTTCAGGGAGCTTTAATCTGTGAACTCATTTTATTTTATTTTTATATATATATATATATATATTTTTGAGACAGAGTCTCGCTCTGTCACCCAGGCTGGAGTGCAATGGTGCAATCTTGGCTCACTGCAACCTCCGCTTCCTGAGTTCAAGGGATTCTCCTGCCTCAGTCTCCTGAGTAGCTTGGATTACATGTGCCACCACACCCGGCTAATTTTTGTATTTTTAGTAGAGATGAGGTTTCACCATGTTGTCCAGGCTGGTCTCGAACTCCTGACCTCATGATCCTCCCGCCTCGGCCTCCCAAAGTGCTGGGATTACAGGCGTGAGCCACTGCGCCTGGCCGTGAACTCATTTTATTCTCAAAACAACCTCATTGTCATGGGATTCTTGGGGTGTCACCTTGCCAGCCAGAAACCTCTGTGGCTAGTGGCACCTTTGTCCAAGTTTTGCTCAGGCCTACTGGACTCATTCCATCCACTCGGCCTGGCAGGGTTGTGCTTGGCTTGTGCTACTGGCCTGAATCCCATGCCTGCCAAGGGTGAGTCAGGCTCAGAGCAGCAAAGGGTGTGTGAGTGAATGACCATGGGGTCCAGCCACTGCGCACAGACAGGCACACTGGCTGTGGTGGGGTGGGCAGCTCCAGGTGCTGGCACAAGCGCTACCTCCCTGTGAGGCTGCAGCTGGACCAGGTATACCACAAACAGCTTCCACAGTTGGCACCAGGGAATGTGGTGGTGCCCAGAAGCTTGGAGAAGCCAGGAACTACAGATTCCCAAACAGGGTGTCACATCCCTGGCTTGGGGAGCTCCTAGGTCTGGGCTCTCTGAAGGGCCGCAGCTCTTCTCTCCTTCTCTCTTCAAAACTGAGGACACACCCCTTTCCACCCCAGAGCCTGTCTGCCTCCTGCCGCTGTTCATGGCGCCCAGGTTGTTGGTGACAAGGAGTGCCTGCAGGCCAGCGCTGAACTGCCTTCAGCACCTCCTCGGCCTCTCTCCAATGCTAGTCAGTGCCCAAAGTCCGGAGGGGGCCAAGTCAGCAGGGGGCTGGTGTGTCAGCACTGCCCTGAGTGTGCGCACACCTGGCCAGGTCGCGACAGTGCCCTGGCTCAGCCTCAACTTTGCTCTAAGATTGGAATGGGTGCCGGAGCAGCGAGAGGCCAGAAGTGGCAGCAGGTGCTTCCAAGCCTGTGGAGTAGGTGCCAGGAGAAGGGAGAGGTCAGAGAGTGGGAGCAGGCATCTCCAAGCCTGTGGGGGGAAGGGGGGCCTTCCCGGCCCCTAAGAGTGCAGAGATGCCTGGGTCCGCAGCTGTGGCTTGGGCAGCGGCAGCTGTGCCCAGGAGGGTGGGGATCCTGCCTGCTATGTAGCGCACACAGCCCCAGCTACGCCTCCCTGCTGCAGCTGGCACCTTTGCAATGGCCACTCCAGATGGGCCGCTGTTGCCATCACTATGAAGTAGAAACTATTATCTCCATTTTGCAAATGAGAAAACTGAAATACAGAAAGGTTTACCCAAGGTCACCCTAGAAAATGGGGTGCAT
This sequence comes from Homo sapiens, assembly GCF_000001405.40. Taxonomy (NCBI): domain Eukaryota; kingdom Metazoa; phylum Chordata; class Mammalia; order Primates; family Hominidae; genus Homo; species Homo sapiens. The sequence continues at coordinate 92,546,757 of NC_000007.14, read as the reverse complement.
AATTCATCTCTCAATAAAACCTAAGGTAATTCTTGGCCGGGTGCAGGGCCTCACGCCTGTCATCCCAGCACTTTGGGAGGCCGAGATGGGCAGATCACTTGAGGTCAGGAGTTCAAGATCGGCCTGGCCAACATGGTGAAACCCCGTCCCTATCCAAAATAGAAAAATTACCCAGGCGTGGTGGTGCACACCTGTCATCCCAGCTACTCGGGAGGCTGAGACAGGAGAATTGCTTGAACCCAGGAAATGGAGCTTGCAGTGAGCTGAGATCGCGCCATTGCACTCCAGCCTGGGCAAGGGAGCGAGACTCTCTCAAAACAAAACAAAAACGAAAACAAAAACCAAAGCCTAAGGTAATTCTTTTACTATGAACATGGTGATTTCTACCCTTTTCTTTCTTTGATCGTAAGCTGGATACCAGTGAGGTTTTGTGAATCCAAGGCAGCCCAGGCCCAGTTCACCTGTATTACTTTGGAGTTCAGGAAAGAAACAGATGGTGGGAGGTTTTGGAGTCTCAGATCCAGCTAATGCAGTCTCCAAAGTATCCTCTTCTTTTGGAAATATACTCACTAGGCCTGTTAGGGCTGAGGGTAGATTCCTTCCTGAGAGACAGTATGTTCCCAGTACCACACACACCCTTCTTTTTTTGTATTAATATATTTTTTTAATTTTTAATTCTTGTGGGTACATAGATGTATATATTTATTGGGTGCATGAGATACTTTAATATAGGCATGTAATGCGTAATAATCACATCATGGTAAATGGGTATCCATTCCCTCAAGCATTTATCCTTTGTATTACAAACAATCCAATTATACTCTTTTAGTTCTTATTAATCCTCCCCCTCTCCCTCTCCCTCTCCGTCTCCCGTCTCCCGCCTCCCGTCTCCCGTCTCCCGTCTCCCTCTCCCTCTCCCTCTCCCCATGGTCTCCCTCTCCCTCTCCCTCTCTCTCCACGGTCTCCCTCTGATGCCGAGAGGAGGCTGGACTGTAATGCCGCCATCTCGGCTCACTGCAACCTCCCTGCCTGATTCTCCTGCCTCAGCCTGCCGAGTGCCTGGGATTGCAGGCGCGCGCCGCCACGCCTGACTGGTTTTCGTATTTTTTTGGTGGAGACGGGGTTTCGCCGTGTTGGCCGGGCTGGTCTCCAGCTCCTAACCGCGACTGATCTGCTAGCCTCGGCCTCCCGATGTGCCCAGATTGCAGATGGAGTCTCGCTCACTCAGTGCTCAATGTTGCCCAGGCTGGAGTGCAGTGGCGTGATCTCGGCTCGCTACAACCTCCACCTCCCAGCCGCCTGCCTTGGCCTCCCAAAGTGCCCAGATTGCAGCCACTGCCCGGCCGCCACCCCGTCTGGTAAGCGAGGAGCGTCTCTGCCTGGCCGCCCATCATCTGGGATGTGAAGAGCCCCTCTGCCCGGCCGCCCAGTCTGGGAAGTGAGGAGCGCCTCTTCCCAGCCGCCAACCCGTCTAGGAAGTGAGGAGGGTCTCTGCCCGGCCGCCCATCGTCTGAGGTGTGGGGAGCACCTCTGCCCCGCCGCCCCGTCTGGGATGTGAGGAGCGCCCCTGCCCGGCCGCGACCCCGTCTGGGAACAGGAGTGTCTCTGCCCGACCGCCACCCCGTCTGGGAGGTGAGGAGCGTCTCTGCCTGGCCGCCCCGTCTGAGAAGTGAGGAGCCCCTCCACCCGGCAGCTGCCCCGTCTGGGAAGTGAGGAGCGTCTCCGCCCAGCAGCCGCCCCCTCCAGGAGGTGGGTGACAGCCCCCGCCTGGCAGCCGCCCCGTCCGGGAGGTCGGGGGCGCCTCTGCCCGGCCGCCACCCCGTCTGGGAGGTGTACCCAGCAGCTCATTGAGAACGGGCCATGATGACGATGGCAGTTTTGTCGAGTGGAAGTGGGGGAAGTGTGGGGAAAGGAAAGAGAAATCAGATTGTTGCTGTGTCTGTGTAGAAAGAAGTAGACATGGGAGACTCCATTTTGTTCTGTACTAAGAAAAATTCTTCTGCCTTGGGATGCTGTTAATCTATGGCCTTACCCCCAACCCCTTGCTCTCTGAAACATGTGCTGTGTCCACTCAGGGTTAAATGGATTAAGGGCGGTGCAAGATGTGCTTTGTTAAACAGATGCTTGAAGGCAGCATGCTCCTTAAGAGTCATCACCACTCCCTAATCTCAAGTACCCAGGGACACAAACACTGCGGAAGGCTGCAGGGTCCTCTGCCTAGGAAAACCAGAGACCCTTGTTCACATGTTTATCTGCTGACCTTCCCTCCACTATTGTCCGATGACCCTGCCAAATTCCCCTCTCCGAGAAACACCCAAGAATGATCAATAAATACTAAAAAAAAAAAAAAAAAAAAAAATTTTGGGTTTTTGGGGGATTTTTTTGAGAAAGAGTCTCACTCTGTTGCCCAGGCTAGAGTGCAATGGCGCCATCTCAGCTCACTGCAACCTCTGCCTCCTGGGTTCAAGAAATTCTCCTGCCTCAGCCTCCCTAGTAGCTGGGATTACAGGTGCCAAAAATTAGGTGTCTGGCTTAATTTTTGTATTTTTAGTAGAGATGGGGTTTCACCATTGTGGCCAGGCTGGTCTCGAACTTCTGACCTCAAGTGATCCGCCCATCTCGGCCTCCCAAAGTGTTGGGATTACAGACGTGAGCCACTGCACCTGTCTCTTTGTTATTTTTAAATGTACAATGAAATAATTATTGACTATAGTCACCCTGTTGTGCTATCAAATACTAGTCCTATTCGTTCTTCCCATTTTTGTACATATTAACGATCCCCACCTCACTCCCACCCCTCTACTACCCTTTCCAGCCTCTGGTAACCATTTTACTCTCTATTTCCATGAGTTCAGTTGTTTTAATTTTAACTCCCACGTAAAAGTGAGAACATGTGAAGTTTGTCTTTCTGTGTCTGGCTTATTTAACTTAACATGATGACCTACAGTTCCATCCATGTTGTTGCAAATGACAGGATCTCATGCTTTTTTATGGCTGAATAGTACTCCATTGTGTATATGTACCACTTTTTTTTTTTTTTTTTCTGAGACAGAGTTTCGTTCTTGTTGCCCAGGCTGGAGTGCAATGGCATGATCTCAGCTCACTGCAACCTCTGCCTTCCAGGTTCAAGCAATTCTCCTGCCTCAGCCTCCTGAGTAGCTGGGATTACAGGCATGTGTCACGATGCCCAGCTAAGTTTTTTATTTTTAGTAGAGACGGGGTTTCGCCATGTTAGCCAGACTGGTCTCGAACTCCTGACCTCAGGTGATCTGCCCACCTTGGCCTCCCAAAGTGCTGGGATTACAGGCGTGAGCCACTGCGCCCCGCCACATTTTTTTATCCATTCACCTGTTGATAGACACTTAGGTTGCTTCCTAAGTGTCTTGGCTACTATGGGTGGTGCTGCAATAAGCATGGGAGTACAGCTGTCTCTTCAATATCCTGATTTCTTTTCTTTTAGATATATACCAAGCAGTGGGATTACTGGATCATATGGTAGCTCTATTTTTAATTTTTTGAGAAAAGGTCTCACTCTGTCACCTAGGCTGGAGTGCAGTAGCATGATCACAGCTCACTGCAGTCTTGACCTCCTGTGCTCAAGCAACCCTCCTGCCTCAGCCTTTTGAGCAGCTGGGACTACAGGCATGTGCCACCATATCCAGCTAATTTTTTTAAAATTAATTTTTTTAGAGACAGGGTCTCACTATGTTGTCCAGGCTGGTCTTGAACTCCTAGATTCAAGCAATCCTCCTGCCTCTGCTTCCCAAATTGCTGGAACTACAGATGTGAGCCACCACATCCAGTTCTGAGGAACCTCCAAACTGTTCTCCATGGTGGTTGTACTAATTTACATTCCCGCCTACAGTGTACGAGGGTTCCCTTTTCTTCACATCCCTGGCAGCATTTGTTATTGCCTGACTTTGGGATATACGCATTTTTTTTTTTTGACGTAATTTCACTCTTGTTGCCCAGGCTGGATGGAGTGCAATGGTGCGATCTCGGCTCACTGCAACCTCTGCCTCCTGAGTTCAAGTGATTCTCCTGCCTCAGCCTCCCGAGTAGCTGAGATTACAGGCATGCACCACCACGCCCAGCTAATTTTGTATTTTTAGTAGAGACAGTTTTCTCCATGTTGGTCAGGCTGGTCTTGAACTCCAGACCTCAGGTGATCCACCCGCCTTGGTCTCCCAAAGTGCTGGGATTACAGGTGTAAGCCCCCATGCCCAGCTGATATAAGCCATTTTAAATGGGGCGAGATGATATCTCATTGTAGTTTTGATTTCCATTTCTCTGATGATCAATGATGTTGAGTACCTTTTCATACACCTGTTTGACATTTCTACATTTTCTTTAGAGAAATGTCAGATCTTCTGCCCATTTTTAAATCGTATTATTAGATTTTTTCCTTTAGAGTTGTTTGAACTCCTTACATATTCTGGTTATTAATCCCTTGTCAGATGGATAGTCTGCAAATATTAGTATTTTCTCCCATTCTTTGGGTTTTCTCTTCACTTTGTTGATTGTTTCTTTTGCTGTGCAGAAGTTTTTAAACTTCACGTGATCCAATTTGTCCACTTTTGCTTTGGTTGCCTGTGCTTGTGAGAAATCTTCACCCAGACCAATGTCCTGGAGAGTTTCTCTGATGTTTTCTTGTAGTAGTTTCATAGTTTGAGGTTTTACATTTATGTCTTTAATCCATTTTGACTTGATTTTTGTATATGGTGAGAAGTAGGGTCTAGTTTCATTCTTCAGCATATGGATATCCAGTTTTCCCATCGCCCTTTACTGAAGAGACTGTCTTTTCCCTAACGTATGTTCTTGGCACCTTTGCCAAAAATGAGTTCACTGTAGATGTATGGATTTGTTTCTGAGTTCTCTATTCTGTTCCATTGCTCTGTGTGTCTGTTTTTATGCCAGTACCATGCTGTTTTGGTTACTATAGCACTGTAGTGTAATTTGAAGTTAGGTAACATGATTCCACCAGTTTTGTTCGTTTTGCTCAGGATAGCTTTGGTTATTCTGGGTCTTTTGTGGTTCCATATAAATTTTAGAATTGCTTTTTCTATTTCTGTGAAGAATGTCATTGGTACTTTGATAGAGATTGCATTGAATCTGTAGATTGCTTTGGGTAGTATGGACATTTTAACAATATTGATTCTTCCAATTCATGAACATGGGATATCTTTCCATTTTTGGGGGTGTCTTCTTCAATTTCTTTCATTAGTGTCTTATAGTTTTCATTGTAGAGCTCTTTCATTTCTTAGGTTAATTTCTAGGTATTTAATTTTATGTATGGCTATTGTAAATGGGATTGCTTTTCTTCTTTTTCAGATTGTTGGCATATAGAAATGCTACTGATTTTTGCTATGTTGAAATGCTATGTTGATTTTGCATCCTGCAATGTTACTAAATTTGTCAGTTCTAATAGCTTTTTTGGGGTAGTCTTTAGGTTTTTCCAAATGTAAGATTATATCATTTACAAACAAGGATAATTTGATTTCTTCCTTTCCAATTTGGATCCCCTTTATTTCTCTCTTGTCTAATTGCTAGCTAGGACCTCTCCTTTGAAAGAAAATGTTATGGAGTAAATTTTTTCTGACAATTACTCAAACTTTTCTCTAGATTAGACTCTCAGCAATCCTGATGTAATTAGGCCCAGAAGTGAAAAAACAAGGACCTGTTGAAACCAATCCAATTAAGCAGTTAAAGGCATTCATAATCTCTACACATGCTATTCTCACCCGCTACTCCTGCGCAACATACTTGGTCTCTCATAATCCCTGTCATGAATGCTTCACTCCAGGCAGGTCTGTCTTCTTAATTTATACCCATTTGCTGTCTTAATTCAGGTGGGCCACTCTTCTGCACCTCCTCCTCACACCTCTCTACCTATCCCAACCATCCTTAAAGGTTCAGCAGTGGTCTGCAAGTCTTCTTCAGAACTGTTACTTCCATAACTCCCAGTGCCTTCCTCCTTAACAGAGCAACTTCACTGTTACCCTTTTTACCTGATGGGCTCCCAAGTAAGAGATACTTTGTGGAACAAATTCTACAAAAAAATTAATTTGAAAATCATTGCCCTATTGTACTTATTTTATCATAAAGTAGCCATATAATAATGGACTTCCTCTAATTTTTATCTTATTTCTCCAATTAGAGTATAAGTGTTTTAGGGACAGGGCTATATTTTATATATCTAGGGTAACTCAGGTATGCCTATTAGAATAGTACAAATAAAATAAGTGGCCTCTGTAAATAAATAATTTTTTATGTATGTAGGGTGTCTACAGAAGTGTGAACTTTTATTTGGTAAAATTTTTTTAGTCTAGAGAGCTATTTGCCATGCAAAATTTAAAACTAGTATTTACCAAGAAACATCTTCCTAAGATTATGACAATGATGGCAAGCTATCGCTTGCAGACTTTGAAAAACAGTAAGAGAAGACAGACTTCTGTTGGAGGTGTTTGGACCATGTTTACCAGAAGCAAATGTATAGTTACTAGTGCCAATAGCCCATATAGATTCAGGAAAAATTTTAAAGGGTCAGAGAGTAATACTTGCTAGACACTCTCCTCTGTTGGGCTGCAGCCCACTGCTGAAGTCAAGGCAATCATTGAGAGTTCAGCCCCATCCTGGCATTTGGGCCCCAAGAAGACATTCATGATTATTTCAGTAACTATATTCAAGACTTCCATTGAGCTTTTAACCTCTTTAGCAATAGACAATTCCTGTTTCCTGTAAGTATGGTGTATTTCCCAAACCAAATCCAGGGTATATTGGCTTGCTTAAGGGATAGAACACTGAATAGAGTTTCAGCAAGTACACCACAAACTGCTAGAACACTTGATCTCTTTCAATACAATTGCTGTCAATGTTTTTAAAATTTTGGAGACATAGAGTACTTTGTGCTTATGAAGGTTTTTCATGTATGCATCTGACAAAAGTTTTCTGAGCTGCAAGTATCAGTCTAATAATTGATTTGGCTCATAAAATTGCCTTACATGTTCTTCCTTTATCAACTATGCTTTTCAAACATGGTATACAAGAACACTTTTTTTTGAGACACAGTCTCCGTCTGTTGCCCAGACTGGAGTGCAGTGGTACAATCTCAACTCACTGCGATCTCTGCCTCCTGGGTTCAAGTAATTCTCATGCCTCAGCCTCCCGAGTAGCTGGGATTATAGGCATTTGCCACCACGCCTGGCTTTTTGTATTTTTTGTAGAGATGGAGTTTCATCATGTTGGCCAGGCTGGCCTTGAACTCCTGACCTCAGGTGATCCTCCCACCTTGGCCTCCCAAAGTGCTGGGATTATAGGCATGAGCCACTGTGCCCAAAATAATAACCTATATGGAAATTTTGTAAATTAGCTTGCATGTTATTAAGCTATCCTTATCCACCTCAACTCATCTCTTTAATTTATTTGTCTCCCTGTAGTTTATTCCCTCTACCCCGCATTTTAACTTTCTGGAAACGTGTGGTAAAAAGCAATGTGTAAAAGGCAGGCTTCCAATCTGAAAAGAGATGAGCGAAAACAGTATATAGCATAATGGACTAGATCAGAGTAACTGCTTAGGATGGAACAGCCAACCGTTCTTCAGCTGCTTCCAGAGTTCATCTGTAGCCCAGTTATCTAGAGCCTTGCTATTCAAAGATGGTCTGTGCACCAGCAGCACTGGCAGCACCTAGGGACTTGGGAAAAATGCAGAATCTCAGGCCCCACCCAAACCAACTTAATTTGAATCTTTTTGTTTTGTTTTGCTGCTTGACACCACAAAGGTTTCTTTCTGTCTCTCCTCATGATGAATTATGTTGGTGGGGATGAGGAGTGCTGGCTTCCGCATGGTCACAGGACTATCAGGAACCCATTCAGAAACACACGACCCATTTAGCAGCTCCTCTCCTTAACTGTCAGGTAACGTTTGTCATGCAACAGATCTCTAGAACTCTTTTCATCTTCCAAAACTGAAATTCTATGCCCATTAAACCGTAACTCCTCATTTTCCCTCCCCACAGCCCCTGGCCACCACCACCACCAGAATCTGCATTTTAACAAGATCCTGAGGTGGAGATCATAGCAACTTATAGTCTGAGAAGCCTGAACCAGACAGCAATTTGCTCCTTCCAATTCTATGCTTAGGTCTCTAATATATCCTTTACCTGAGATTTCAGCAAAAACTGTATCTAATTACCTCACATGGAAGTAGGGCCTACCCTCCTTATCTGCAGCTTGCTGTTAGTACCATCTACCACTTGGAGCCATCCTAGTTAATTTGGATCAGTGTGAGGAGAGAGGCCATTTCTCTTCCTGTCTCCCATCTCTGAAGAGGAGGAGGGAGTAAAAGCTGAAAAACAACAGGAATGGAGCCAGTGGCAAAACCAACCGACGCCACTGACCAGGCCTGAGGTTAAAGATTAACCCCCCAACTCTAACCATGTGTTGCCTATAGATCACTTGCTCCGTCTATCACAACCCTTTCACGCAGACCCTCTTACAGTTGTAAGCCCTTAAAAGGACCAGGAACTTTTTCTTCAGGGAGCACGGTTCTTGAGACACAAGTCTGCCGACGCTCCTGGCCGAATAAAGCCTCTTCTTTCTATAACCTGGTGTCTGCGGGGTTTTGTCTGCAGCTCGTCCTGCTACAAGTACATCATAGCTGAAATTGAACCTTATTAACTGGTATGTTCAAATTCAATCCACTAGGCAAGAGGCCATTAAAGATAGGGAGAAATGAAAACAACACACCACGGTATGGACCTTCTCAAGTTATTTTTATCAGTAAAGAAAATGGCCAGGCACAGTGGGTCACACCCATAATCCTAGTACTTTGGGAGGCCGAGGTGGGTGAATCACTTGAGCCCAGGAGTTCAATACCTGCCTGGGCAACACAGTGAGACCCTGTCTCTACTAAAAATAAAAAAAGAAAAAGAAAATAGAGACAGTCTAGATGTACTGAAATTTCCAATTATGTAATCCACTGACAGAAAAAAGTGTGGATATGCCAGAAGTAGTAACAGAAGTCTAGAATTTATAAATACTGATGTATTTTTGGATTGCCACAGGTCAAGCAAATTCTTAAAAGTTATTTAAAGCATATAAGGTTCTAATTTCAGCTTTGTTCTAATAGCTAATCTACTTTTTACTTCATAGAATTGTCTTGATTTTGAAACCCTGGCATTCGGAAACATCCTGACTTCTAGTGTTTCAATGGTTCATTCAATACTTGTATTATAATTGGAAACAGACGCTGGCTGCCTATCTTTATTTCTATTGTAAAGTTTCCATATTTGCTTCAATTAATTTACATATAATTACTGTACATGAGAGATAATGTTATGACAAGAATAGTTTCTGCAACATTAAGTATGGGTCAAAAAAAGAAGAAATGGGCCAGGCGCGGTGGCTCATCCCTTTGGGAGGCTGAGGCAGGTGTATCACAAGGTCAGGAGTTCGAGACCAGCCTGACCAATATGGTGAAAACCCATCTCTACTAAAAAAAACACAAAACTTAGCCAGGCATGGTGGTGCACGCCTGTAATCCCAGATACTCAGGAGGCTGAGGCAGGAGAATCGCTTGAACCCGGGAGGTGGAGGTTGCAGTGAGCCGAGATCACGCCACTGCATTCCAGCCTGGGCAACAGAGCAAGACTCCATCTCCCAAAAAACAAAGAAATGACTTTAGACAAATGGCTTGAATGAAATTACAAAGAGGAGTGCATTAAAAAATACCAGCAGTAAAATCTCTTGAAGAATTAAAATGACAGGCTAAAAATAAATAATAAATGTTCTTTTTAGAAAATACTAAGTTGCTGCTGGCACTCTATATTCTTCTTCTTTGTTTTAATGGATGACTTGTATGTACATCTTCTGGCTTGTCCTCTGGAGGCTTTGGCACAGATGAAATTACCTAATTAAAAAAAAAAAAGAACCATTAAAACTTAGTTTCTATAGCACAGGAGTAAATAAGCTATTAGAAGAGGTAAGACTACATCCAATAGTTCAATCCTTGATGTCACTTTCGAGGCAGAGTTCGCCTAAGTTCAAGGTACAGCCTATGACCTAGGCACAGAGTGGAGTCTTCCATTTGAATACTGATGACAGTAAAATTTCTAAAGCTATTTAAAAAGAAAAAAAATTTGGAGGAAGAAAAGTGAACATATGCTCTACTTTAACATTCCTTTATAGATCTAAAGACACTTGTTATATTACGGATTCAGATAGATATCCTGGTTTTGCATTCTTGAAACACTGATAACGTTTGATAGATTTGGGGGGATGAAAACCTTTGGAGAAATGAGCAGGAAGCAGTATAATCCTCAATTTCCTGGAGAAAAAGGAAAAGCAAACACACCATCAGAAAAAGAGTGTACAAAGAGTATACAATAAGTCAAAGCAAAGTAAGAGTCTTCATTTGAAATGGAAAATTATTAGAAACTATAGTAAACTGTATTTAATATCTTTTTTTTGTTGTTCTATTTCTGGACCTAGAATTTGGACTTCACACGTTTATCTTGAAAATGTAATCAGCTCTGGTTGAGACAGGTATGTATCTATGTCTATGCCTCAGTTCAGCTGTAACTGAAGGAAGGAAGTAAGGGTGGCAGCACAAACTGAAAACCTTTTTTTTTGAGACAGGGTCTCACACTGTCACCCAGGCTGGAGTGCAGTGGCATGATCTTGGCTCACTGCAACCTCCGCCTCCCAGACTCAAGTACCCTTCCACCTAAGCTTCCCAAGTAGCTACAAGAGTTCACCACCACGCCTGGCTAATTTTTGTATATTTATGGTAAAGATGGGGTTTCATCACATTGGTCAGGCTGGTCTCAGACTCCTGGGCTCAAGCAATCTGCTCACCTCAGCCTCCCAAAGTGCTGAAGTTATTGGTGTGAGGCACTGGGCCCAGCCTAAACTGAAAAGCTAAAGAAGGCTTCAAAACTGTGCCCACGGATTTTAATTATTATTAAATAATACCTTTAATCAGATATTTTTAGGTAAAAAATGTACATATATGAAATTAAACTACCTTAGCCTCCCTTAATCACATTGTAAAATATGAGTAAAACTATGTGAAAAGCAGTTTCTGCATCTTGGAGTAAGTATAAGAGAATGTCATAACCCTCAGTTTATGATTTGTAACAGTAGTCCCTACCCCACAAAAAGGTGTCTTTCAAAAGCTAACTCAGATGTTAACTTCATTTGTGCTTAGGAAATGGAAAATGATTATGTAAATGACATTAAAAAAAAAAACAGACTACCTAGGCAGCACAATCTGATCCCGATCATTTAAGAAGTCTACATTTGAAATGCATACCTGGAGGCCTAATTTTTAGAAATCTCACCACCTTCTATTGCTCTTTATCACAAAAGCAAATTAAGCATTTTGAATTTGATATAAACTGTAATAACTCTAAATTTGAGAGAAATAATTTACAATACTTTTGCTTCTCAACTTTGGCTCATATTAGAACTACCTGGGGAGCTTTTAACAAAAATGGCAGGCCTGGGCTCCACTCTCACAGATTGATTTAATTGGCTGAAACCACTGCTTTAATATTTTGTATCTACAGTGATATAAAATGTCTGTTCATTGTTTAAAGCAAGTATTAACAGTTTAAAGCAAATAAAATGTTAGCCAAATTCAGTTATTTCAACAGAGAACTGTAGAAAAACACATCAAAACACTAAAAAGTGAAAAAAAATTACAGTACTATTGTTCCCACAAATAATTCTCCATTTAATCCTATAACCAAATCGTGTCTTAGAATAGTTTTTTAAAAATAACCTTACCTCTTTAAGTTTATGCCGAATTAAATTCGCCGTTGTATTCAATGAGTCATCGTGCATATCCACTTTAGAGATGTCTGGTAACAGAGGTCCAATCATAATCTCATTACCAGTTGGGTTTGTTTGAAGAAAAGTTCCAAGTTTACGATCATCTTCTCTTCTTCTTTTGCGCTCCTGCAGTTGTGTTGTCCTAGGCATAAATCTGTCAACTGCCTCTGAAGACGTAATAGCCTTTTGTGCACCAGGGCAGGCCACTGAGTTTTTCAAAGAGTTTATCTGTGTTTTCCGCAAAGAGTCATTGTGGTTATAATGCCCCATTGTTTTATGATGGTTTCTACCATCCTTAGAGGAGTCTGGTGCTCTGTCTACAGGTCCCCCGGATGAACACATACATTTTGAGGAGAAATAACATAAAGGCAATTCACAGGAATACGGAAGATAAGGATTTGAGTTCCCTGCAGAAGTGTTCAAAGCAGCTTTACAAAATCCAGACATCTCTGAGTGGAAGTCTTGTCTAAAATCCTCTGTGTCTTTATGCTCTGTAACCAATTTCTTCTTTGTCACGTAATGGTCTTTATATTACAATTTAAAAGTTGAGGGAAAGGGAAACAGAAGTGGTTTATTGTTTTCATCATTCAGAATCATATAATTTAAAAAAATCACTTAAAAATGTTAACAAATTCTACTCCAAAAAAATCATTTCTTGAGAAGGGTATATATTCACATGGTTTAAAACCTAAAACGGATAAAAAGATATATAGCATCAAGTGTCACCCTTTCCTTGCTCTCCATGGGTCTGGTTTCATCCCCATAAGTAATCACTATTGTTTTTTATTTATCTGTTCAATATGTCTCACTTTGCCACCTCCTTCCTCCCATTTTCTCCCCACTTTAAGATAACCTGTAATACGCATTTCTCTGCACCTCTGCATTTTCCATTTCACTGTAGATCTTACAGAGGTTTTTCATCATTATATAGAAAGGTTTTTTTTTTTTTTTTTTTTTTACAATTTCAGAGTATTCCACTATCTGGATGTATCATGCTCCTTGGCTTGTGTTTGTTAGTCACTAAAGAAAGCAATATGCTTGTCGCACTTCTAGGGCTGGCAAGGGCCTCTTCCCTGGTTTACTCTCCCAAAAGCAGATTACAACAGGAATGGAGTATGGAAGATGTGGTAAAGATGAAATTGGCTATGTGTTGATGATTGTTAATGTTAATATTAATACATGGGAGTTATGTTAACTTAGTCTCTCTGCCTGTGTGTTTTGAAATTTCCATAATAAGAGTTTTTGAAAAGTAAGACCACGTATACAAATGCATCTTGTAGAGGCTAGAATGCTGCAGATGAAAGAGAGCTTAACTAAAGTGTCCAAGGCCAAACAAGTCATAGTTTAATTCTGAGGTCAGCAGCACAGCAAAAAGGTCTTAAGAGGAAGGGGAGCAAATAATGAAGATAATCCTAGGCTGTCACCAACACTGAGATGATTAAAGCAGTTAAAAAGTAAACTCTGGACAGAGTCCAAAGCTTGGGTTTTAACCCTTATTTTGTCTTTAATTCATCTCTAATAATATAGGCAGGTCACAAACTTTCTGAGACTTAGTTTCCTCACCCAGAAAAATTAGGACCCAGGTCAGATAATGTCAAAGGTCTTTCTCCACATTAATATTTTATAATTTCCTTTGCCACACAAACATACAAGTTTTCCTGGTGCTATTTATTTACTTATCTTACAAGTTAGAGTTCAATGTCTGCAGATGACTGGGGATTCTCAACAGCTCTCTTACCAGATTTCTGAGTAAGTTTTCCAAGAGTTTTCCCACTTTATTTCTCTCCATCACTATGTGGTAGAACAGGCATGTGGGGGCATTTAGCCAATTGCTGGTCAAAAGTAGAACTTCTCCATGATTAGCAGTGACAACTATATGATTTGACAACTGCAAATCATAACTGCTTCTCACTGCATTCTGGTCAAAGCCTTAATTCCTTAGCATGGGACACAAGGCCCTCCATGATTCACTTCTTACCCACTTTTCTAAACTTATCTCTCACTGAAACCTTTGGGCTTTGGTTATACTGTATTAATTAAAGTTCCTTAAATGCATGATGCTCATTTATTCCTCTAAACATTTAAACATCTTGCCTGGCTTGCCTTTCCATCTTTTCCTCTCCCATTTAGTTAACGTCTACTTATCCTTTAAAATTCAGCCACTTCTCACATACTATAGGAAGTCTTCTATGAACCAATATTTCTCCCTTCTCAACCCAGATTATGTAGTGTGCTGCAGAGAACCCTGTGGTTCACAGTTACTGAATACTGTGATGGTTTACTTGCCTCTCCTACCACTAGACTGGGAATTGCATGATGACACACCTGGCAGAGTGCCTGACACACAGGAGGCATTTAGCAATATGCTTTCCATACCTTTATTTTCAGTAGTTTTTACTACATATGCCTTCCGCATTTGTAGTTTTTTTCTAGTTTCTTCAACTGTTTCAAATTCTGGAGCATAGCACACATGAAGCAATCCACCGAAGAAACTCTGTTCATCCATTTTTCTCTTGGCTGTCCTGAATGGAAATACAAGATAGCATAGTTTTTTAATCTAGATTTACTTGGGATGAAAGCTTAACTAGTATGCAATATCTGGATCTAAAGAGCAAAGTCCAGCTTTTGCTACGTGTATATATATCCTGTGGATTGGGAATTAAGATGCTCTGCTTGTGGACAGTATTCATCCCATTGATCGAGTATGTACTCGTAGAGCCTCCCCTTTCCTTCCCTTTGAGCCTCTTTGTTCCCTAGTCTTTAAACAACTAAGGACCCAGCTGGTTGGCCTGAAGTATGTAAACTGTGGTCATAAAATGGAGCTTTTCTCTGTGGCCCTGAAGAGTTGGTTCATACCCAATTAAGCTTTTTCAGCACTATGTATTTCTGTGATGGGATTCATGCCTTAAAAATCAGATGAAAGATACTATAATCATAAAACATTCAATAACTGAGGAACTATTAAATATATAACAATGAGAAAATGAGAAGAATGTTATTCAGTCAATAAATACTTACTAAACATCTATGACTGGCCAGGTACTACAATAAATTTAACTACTTCTATATCCAGGGATAATGATAAATACTTGTTGAGATTTCACCATATGCCAGGCAATGTCATAAGCGCTTCACTTGAATTAACACCTAAAAACAACACTGTAATGAAACTGAAGCACTGGGACATTATGTAACTTAGCCATGCTCATAGTCTGGTTTGAGGAGCAAGGATTCAAATCCAGATGTCTTACTTCAGAGCCTACCAGACTACGTACTATAGAAAACAGAAAAGCTCTAGAAAATGTTTCCCTAACCATGGGAGCTGGCAGGTTGGTTAAGAAAGTGAAATTACATATAACAGCAGCCTGAGAAAACCACACAAGACCCAGTAAAATCAAGTGCTTTTGTGGTAGACTATGAGTTCTACTGATAGCACAAGAAAGAAAATATGAATTGTAATAGCCAGAGAAGGATGGGTCTCAGAGCAGATTAGTGAGGAGAACAGAGATCAATATAAAAATAGATAAGGCACTGCATACTTCAGCCTTTTTGGAGCAGAGGATTATGTCACATAGAAGGCTGGAAAAAACTGAGTCAGTTTGCAGAAAGGAGTAACAGTAGAAACCACAATAGCTAATGTTTACTGTATTCTGACCAGGATACACCTTTATATGGATTATCTCATTTCATCCTCATACAACCCCAAGAAGTAGATAGGTCCCTTTACCATACAGATTTTATGGAAGAGGAAAAACTTAAACAGGTTAAATAACTTGCCCAAGATCATGAAGCTAGTAAGCAGTGGAAATGGAAAACTTACTCCAAACCCAACTTTTTTTTTCTTTTGAGACAGAGTCTCACTCCATCACCCAGGATGGAGTGTAGTGGCCCATAAGACTCACTGCAACCTCCACCTCCTGGGCTCAACTGATTCTCCTACCTCGGCCTCCCAAGTAGCTGGAACTACAGGAATGCACCAACACACCCAGCTTGATTTTTGTATTTTTACAAAATACAAAATACTGGCCATGTTGGCCAGTCTGGTCTCGAACTCCTGGGCTCAAGCAATCTGCCTACCTTGGCCTTCCAAAGTGCTGGGATCAAATCCAACTTTTTCTTTTTTTTTTTTTGAGACAGTCTCACTCTTGCCCAGGCTGGAGTGCAATGGCATGATCTTGGCTCACTGCAACCTCCACTTTCTGGGTTCAAGTGATACTTGTGCCTCAGCCTCCCCAGGAGCTGGGATTAAAGGTTTGCACCAACACAGCCGGCTAATTTTTGTATTTAGTAGAGTGAGGGTTTCACCATGTTGGCCAGACTGGTCTTGAACTCCTGACCTCAGGTGATCCACCTACCTCGACCTCCCAAAGTGCTGGGATTACAGGTGTGAGCCACGTGCCTGGCGTCAAACCAGAATTTTTTTTTTTTTTTGAGACAGAGCCTTGCTCTGTCATCTAGGCTGGAGGGCAGTGGCATGATCTCTGCTCACTGCAATCTCCACCTCCCAGGTTCAAGCAATTCCCATGCCTCAGCCACCTGAGTAGCTGGGACTACAGGTCCGCACCACCACACCCGGCTAATTTTTGTATTTTTAGTAGAGGAGGGGTTTCCATCATGTTGGCCAGGCTTGTCTTGAACCCCTGACCTCAAGTGATCTGCCTGCCTCGGTCTCCCAAAGTGCTGGGATTACAGGCGTGAGTCACCACGCCCAGGCTTCAAACCCAAATTTTTTTTTTTTTTTTTTTTTTGAGGCAGAGCTTCCCTCTTGTTGCCCTGTCTGGAGTGCAATGGCGCAATCTCGGCTCACTGCAACCTCTGCCTCCCGGTTTCAAGCGATTCTCCTGCCTCAGCCTCCCGAGTAGCTGGGATTACAGGCCTGCGCCACTAGACCCAGCTAATTTTGTATTTTTAGTAGAGAGGGGGGTTTCACCATGTTGGCCAGGCTGGTCTCAAACTCCTGACCTCGTGATCCGCCCACCTCGGTCTCCCAGAGTGCTGGGATTGCAGGCGTGAGCCACCGTGCCTGGCCAAACCCAACTTCTACTCTACCAAGCTACAGGACATTAAATTGTTAAGCATGGGAATGATGTGATGGATACAGTGTTTCAGTAAAGTTAACTTTTAAAAAGGCTGGAGGAAGATATGCTAGATTACGTTTTGGGGTAATTCAGTTATGAATGAGGGAAACTTGGGGCCAAAATGACAGAAATATGAATGGAAGAAATGAGGAAATGAGTCATTTCTTAACTTGCACATTACCTTGCACTTTGTAAGTTCATAAATTTAATAAGATAAACTTCAGTAAAGTCTTCTGCTGGGTATTCATCTAGAGCATTGTACTGTTCAATTGCACCATATAAAGCGAATCGCTCAACTAATTCCTTCATGACTCCCACAGCAGGAACTCCTTGTATTAATAAGTACTGAGATTCCAAATTGATTGTATATACCTGAAAGAAATGCAGAGTTATTAAACGTATTTCGCAAATAAGCCTAGGACGAATCTGCCTCTATTTTTTTTTAAAGAGAACTTTGAAAACAAGAAATAATCTGTTCAACCCAGTCAGCAAAAGAACACAAAATGAAATTTCTGCCATTCCTTCTGCATAAAGAATAACAGTCCATGTGAGAGGCTACCTAAGGCATATAACAGACTACCTTCAGTCGACATTTTTTTCCAGAAATTGAGTCGGTAGAAGTCACTGGGAACAATCACTCAACGAATATTCACTGAGTGCTTACCTGTGCCAAGTAGTACTGTAAACACAGAAGATCCAATGACTAAAACCAAGGCCTATTCTCGTGGAGTTGATGTTCTAATACTTGACCAAAGGCGTCGTGAGAATCTTTGGTAACTGACCGAGGGTTCTTCACGCCAGCTCTAACGAGAGACAGATCTGACGGAAGCCTTGTCGTGCCTTTATTTCCGTAGGCTGGTCATATGGCGCTAGCACTCACATAAAGCTACCGAGGAGAGCGAATGAAACCAAAATCACTTTACCTTCACAGCACGAGGCCGTCGTCCCTCTCGATATTTGGCCCGTGTGTCGCATACCGCCCTCTGGACGTGGTGATCAAATAAACTCCCTAGCTCCCCGCCGCTCGACGCCATCTTGCCTACTTTGATCCTCGCAGGGAGGACAACATCCGCCCTACTGAGCTCCCTTTTATCCAATAAGAGAGCGGGATGAGTTAAGGAGTGCCAGGATTGGCTGGAGAATCGACAGCGTCGGCCATCGTTTCCTGCGTGCGAAGATTTGATGAACGAGGTGCCGCCCCCGAGCGGCTCGGCGGAGAGGCGCGGTGGGTGACAGAAGCTTTCTTGTCCCACCCACTACAGGCTTACGGCAGGATGCGCAGCGGGGAGAGGGGGCGGGGCCGCAGGGGGCGGGGCCGATCGATCTCCTCCGGCTCCGACGTCCTCGGCCTGCCGGGTCCCGGGTCCTTTGCGGCGCTAGGGTGGGCGAACCCAGAGCGACGCTCCGGGACGATGTGGGGCAGCGATCGCCTGGCGGGTGCTGGGGGAGGCGGGGCGGCAGTGACTGTGGCCTTCACCAACGCTCGCGACTGCTTCCTCCACCTGCCGCGGCGTCTCGTGGCCCAGCTGCATCTGCTGCAGGTAACCTGCCGGCCCCGAGCCACCTGATCTTCAGCCTGGGGTCGGACGAGGCCGAAGCCTCTCAGGGACGCGGCGGGACACCGGCTGCCACCCGGGCGCCGCCGAAGCGCGCAGAGATCAGGGTCCCTCGACGGCAGGGCCCTTCTGGGTAGTCTCTGGATCCCACAAGTCCAGTGCAGCCCTGGGCTCGTCTTATCCCAGGTCTTTTCACTTGGTGAAACTGAACCTAGAAACGTCCTAATATTCTACCACTGTTTTTATAAATATTCCTTATTCCAGGCTGGAAAAGCTCCTGAGAAGTGGTTTGTTTTTATTATTTTAAAAGGTGTTTTCCTTGCCAGCCATTTCCAGTTAACCTGCGCTGCTGCCGTCCGGGCCGCGAGAGCGGGACGCAGAGTTGTTGGCGGAGCCCCTGTCGGTTCCCGGGGACTAAGCACCGCGTCCCATGAGCGGGAAAGGTTAATACAATGATGGTTCTGCCCTGCGTCGCTGACGCGGAACACAGCTGTAGTGTGTTAGGAACACATAACGTAGTTAAGATCACTTGAAGCTCTGCGATCAGTCGCCCTTCTGGACGTTGTGGTTAGGATGTTTCACAGTTCTAACCACTGGTGGAGATACAGCGTCCATATTTTCATAATTAAAAATAGAGGCACATGGTCTCACGAGTTTGAGTGTACTTATGGGGGCAAAAGGACGGCGTATTTGAAATCCTCATAAATCCTGGATGCATGGTACCCACCAGTGGCTAATCTATGCAATGAATAGAGTTTGCAATAATTTCAAGCATCCCTTCTTTCCACTTGAGTTACTTCCCCATACCTAGGGGAAGATATTTTTGGTCCACTGAAAACATGAGTTCAGCAGAATCCTCCTATCATCGTCGTTATTATTTTTTACCACTAAGTAGACAATCTTTTGGTTTTTGATGGGCTTTATGGCTAGAGACAAATCAGTCACTGTCACCAAGTTCCAGGTAGAAGTTGGTTCAGTGCTCTGTCAGCTTCGATGGGATTTTTCAACATGTTTTCAAATCTGCACTTAATAGTAGGAATGCTTTCTTACAGTAACTCTAATTTGATCCTAAGATGTAGTTGTTACCTTACATTCATCACTGTTTAAGAATTTAGTGGTCTTGATCTTTGTTTTAAATTTTGAGCCTTCGGGAAGTACTTATAAGAATTAATTCATGCATATCTTTTTGAAATGTAAATGTCTTTAGCCCTGGAACAAATTGCTGTTTCTGTTCAGCCCATATTAGCAGAATAGGTCAACTTTACTTTCTAATTATCAATGTAATAAGTTTATTACTTTATAGATTCCATAAATCTATACATTTATTCCTCGATGAATTATATAAATTTATAGAATTTATGTTTTATAGAAAATTTGGAAAGCATGGAAAATTATTAACAAGAAAATAAGTTACCCATAATCCCAGAACTTAGAGGTGACTAATGTTGACAGTTTGGATCAAATCTTCCAGTTTTGTTTCTAATCTTTATTTTTAACATAAATGAGGTCCTGTATACACACGTACAGTTTTGTGTCCTGGTGTTTTTATTTAATGTTATTATGAGTGTTTTATTTTGTTAAAAGGTCATCATTTTAAGTTGTTAATTAGTATTCTAGCACAAATTTGCCATAATTTATTTAATTGTTTACTATGATTGACCATTTAGATTGTACTTAATTTTTAGGCATTAGAAGTGATAAACTATATTTTAATCAGACGTTGAAAATAACACATCTTTGTTTAGAAAACATCATTTTATTTCTGGTTGTCTAGGATAGATTCCCAGAATTCTTGGGTTAGAGGCCATAGATAATTATGAAAGCAGAAAGATTCACAAGTTGGGAGTTAATACTTGAATTACTTTATTTGGGGTGAAGCATTGAGTGCATAATACAGATCATGCAGTAATGGGAAGAAGGGTTGGAACAATGGTTTTCTGGCCTATGTCAGACTTACCTTGAAGCTTTTAAGAATACAGATGTTCTGATCAACCCTCAGACCTATTAAATCAGACCTAAAATCTTAGGGAATAGGCTTTAGGCATCTCTAATTTTAAAAAATTTATTCAGGCTACTTGGATGCACAAAAGAGTTGAGACCTACTGTCCTAGAATCATAGAATTTTAATGACGATAGAGACCTTAAGCATCTAGGTCGTTTCTGTACTTTTACATGTAAGGAAACTGGCATTCCTAGGCCAGTACCATTGCCATGCAGCTAATTTGCCCTCTTGTCTATAGCTCACTCTGCATCACCCAACCTACCGTTCTCACTGTTTCTTCTATAACCAATCTCCTTCCCACTTCTGTTCTCTTACTCATGCCATTCTTCCCTCAGTCATTTTTCTTCCTTCCATACAAATTCCATGTCTTTAAAAAGGAATAATCCTACCTCCTCCACATAGCTTTCCAATTCTCTGTTGCCCACATTTGTCTCCCTTTCAATACTTCTCTGTTGTGTTATGTGACACATCACATTTGATATACTCTGTACTGTGTTTCAAGTATTGTATTCTCTTGTTTACTCAAGTCATTATTTCAGGACTGACTACCCAGTAGATGCTTTAAGTCAGGATTTCTCAACCTTGGCACTGTTGACATTTTGAGCTGGATAATTTTTTGTTTTGGGGGCTCTCCTGTACATTTTAAGATGTTTAACAGCACCCTTGGCCTCTATCCAGTAGACGCCTGTACTGCCTCCCCCTATCTGTGACAACCAAAAAGGTCTTCAGACATTGTCAGATGTCTACTGAAGGACAAAATCACCTCTGGTTGAGAACCACCGCTTCAACTAAGTTATCTTCTCTGTACTCAGAACTTGATGTGATTGCAGCAGGGGGAGAGGATTCATATACACAGTGAATGCAAACGAACCTAAATCACCATTCGGATATGGCCACACAATTTTCATTTCCCTTGTGTTAGCAAGAGATACCCTAGGCTTTGGACCTGATTATTCCTAAGGCATTCTGATGTATGGTTTTACCTGCAGATTTCCTGGTAATACTGATACCTCAGTTTGGGTCAAAGAAGGTCAATTAATTGATTGATTTGATTTGACTCCTGGAAAAGACGCTCCTTTCTAGCTGTCTCTTTCTTCTCTTTACCTGAATAGCCAGGGCTCTGTGGTTCAAGTGAAGTATTTTGACATAAAAATTAACTTAGAACATTGGTCTGCAGAGTTTGCTCAATATAACTGAGCACATATTGTGGCTTTATGGAGCTGGTTACTACTTTTTGACCAAATAAATAATTAGAAGTATTTTTCCTCCTCAATAAGGTTCATTTTTCCTTTTTTCAGTGAGCTGGTAGAGTTTCCTTTTTTGATATTTCAGGGCATCTTTCATATTTCCATCTCTTAAGTTTCTTCATATGAAGTAGAATTTATCTGGATTATGTATTGCTGACTCTGATGAAAACCCATAGAAAGCATCTGGGGCTTGATCACCTTCATTCTTGTAATAGCTCACACGGTTACAGCTGATATGGTAACTTAAGACTTTTGATTCCAAATCTAGGCAAAATACACTCAGTTGAAAGAATTTGTCAGCCAGAACAGTTGGACTGTTCTGTGAAAATTGTGAGAAAAATTACACAACTAAGTGATACATGATGATGGCTTTCTTAAATATAAAATTGTAATAACATGGTTAATTTCCAGTACGTTATATTGTCCCAGAAGTGGCTCCAACATTGTTTGAAATTTGTCTCATTTAAAGAAACATAAGCTGGCTATGGTGGCTCACGCCTGTAATCCCAGCACTTTGGGAGGCTGAGGCAGGCAGATCACCTGAGGTCAGGAGTTCGAGACCAGCCTGGCCAACATGGTAAAACCCCATCTCTACTAAAAATACAAAAATTAGCCGGGCATTTGGTGGGGGCCTGTAATCCCAGCTACTTGGGAGGCTGAGGCAGGAGAATTGCTTGAATCTGGGAGGTGGAGGTTGCAGTGAGCCGAGATTGTGCCACTGCCCTCCAGCCTGGGTGACAGAGTGAGTCTCCGTCTCAAGAAAAAAAAAAAAAAAAGCAAGAAACATAAAGACTGGGCATGTTGGCTCATGCCTGTAATCCCAGCACTTTGAGAGACTGAGGTGGGAAGATCACTTGAGCCCAGGAGGTTAAGGCTGCAGTGAGCCGTGATTTTGCCACTGTACTCGAGCCTGGGCAACACAGTGAGATCCTGTCTCAGGAAAAAAAAAATTGCATGTAAATGAATGAATTTGATATTTAATATTTTAAATTATGAAAACTGTTCTGTAGAGATGTAGATCTTGCCATGTTGCCCAGGCTGGCTTTGAACTTCTGGGCTCAAACAATCCTCCTGTCTCAGTCTCCCAAAGTATAAAGATTACACATGTGAGCCACTGCACCTGGCCTAATATTTTTAACTTAATGAATTTATTTTGATATAAATAAATTAATAACACTGAAGCTTCCTGATATAATAAGTCTTTTTGTGTGTGTGACGGGTTCTCACTCTGTTGCCCAGACTGGAGTGTAATGGCACTATCATGGCTCACTGTAGCCTCAACCTCCCTGACTCAAGTGATCCTCCCACCTCGGCTTCCTGAGTAGATGGGACCACAGGCGTATGCCACCACACCTGGCTGATTTTTAAAATTTATTATTGATACATATTAATAAAATTATTTTTATTTTAAAAATGATATATGTGGCTGGGCATGGTGGCTCATGCCTGTAATCCCGACAGTTTGGGAGGCCGAGGTGGGAGGATCACTTGAGACCAGGAGCTTAAGACCAGCCTAAGCAACATAGTGAGATCCCATCTCTATAGAAAAAAAAAATGGCTAGGTGTGGTGGTGTATGCCTATATTCCCAGCTACTCAGGAGACTGAGGTGAGAGGATTGCTAGAGCCCAGGAGTTTCAAGTTACAGTGACCTATGATTGTGCCAGTGCACTCCAGCCTGGGCAACAGAGCAAAATCCTGTCTCAAAAAAAAAAAAAGTTCGAAAATGCTTATGATGCAATATAAGTAGTGGAAAAGGATATTAAATTGTGCCTATATGAACACAACTATATGAAAAACTTGCACATAGAGAAAAGGATTAACAAGAAATAGACCAAATTGTTCACATGGTTGTCTTGTTTGTGGAGAGAATATCAGTAGTTCATTTGTTTCCTTCCAAGTTTATATGTTTTCCGAGGTCTCTATAATGAGTTTGTAATTGTTTAATCATAGAAAACCCTTTTTTGGTCCTTGGCCACAAACTTACATGTTTTAATGTAATTGCTTTTTTAATGAGAATAAATGTTATATTTTGCTTTTTTAAAACCTATATTCCCATAGTTATATGAGCCCTTACAATTATTAAGAGGCTGCATAATATAACGTTTCTGGAAGGGTACAGAAGAAACAGCAGTAATTACCTCTGAGAACAGAGACATGGCTTCACATTTTACCCTTTTGTACGTTTTGTGCTTTTGCCACATGCATTTATTATTCTTCCAATAAATAAGTAAATAAATATGGATTGTATACTCCATCTGGTTGGTGTTTCATAATTCTAAAATTATATTGCTACATTTTTAAAGATGATATGTGTTTCTACTTATTAACGTATATGTTAAAATAGTAAATTTATATCTTATTTAATAATTTCCCTATTGATAGACATTTAAGACAGTCTCAAGTGTTCACTATCATAGAAAATACTGCACAGATAGCTTTTGCTATAGTTTCTTTTTTCTTTGAATCGTTAATTGGGAATAAATGCTCAAATAGTTATATGTGGCTCAACTGCTATTTAAGTTTATTGACTGACTGCTGCCATTTTGAATTCTGAAGGGGTTGATTAAATTTATAATGCTGCCATAAGAATATAAGGGTATTGGCTTCATTAGCATCCACCAGCATTGGGTGTTGGAAATGATTATAGATTTTTAAATGCTACAACAAATGTAGATAACAGAGAACTATCTATAGAACTCTTTTTGGACATGTGAATTGTAATAATAGTTTATTTTCATGTGAATCCAGAAAAATGTATACGAAAACCTTTTTTCCTCTCATTTCTTATATGAATAGAATCAAGCTATAGAAGTGGTCTGGAGTCACCAGCCTGCATTCTTGAGCTGGGTGGAAGGCAGGCATTTTAGTGATCAAGGTGAAAATGTGGCTGAAATTAACAGACAAGTTGGTCAAAAACTTGGACTCTCAAATGGGGGACAGGTAAGCACATGTGATGGCAATAACTTTCTTCTAATATCACATAATATAGCAATAGAAATAAAATTAAAAGTTTAGATTTTTTGTTAAAGGAGGTGAGATGTCACCTAATTTGTATGCTATTATGTAACTAGTCTAGGATATTGAAGCTGACTATACTCTGTTTTTAGGTCATTATCTTGTAGTTTACCATACTCCCTACTTGCTTCTTATTCTACTATTTAACTCATTTTCCACATCCCCTAATTTTGGTTTCATGAAATTATTTTTCCTTCTGAATTACTAGGTTCTACTTACTATTATTAAACTTTATTTCTGACATATTTTATAACCTTCCATGGTCTCACTTGATTAAAAATAAAAAATTCAGCTGGGTGCGGTGGCTCACACCTATAATCCCAGCACTTTGGGAGGCCAAGGTGGGCGGATAATTTGAGGTCAGGAGTTGGAGACCAGCCTGCCCAACGTGGTGAAACCCCCCCTCTCTACTAAAAATTCAAAAATTAGCTGGGCATGGTGGCAGGTGCCTGTAATCCCAGCTACTCAGGAGGCTGAGGCAGGAGAATTGCTTGAACCTGGGAGGTGGAGGTTGCAGTGAGCTGAGATTGCACTGCTGCACTTCAGCTGGGTGACAAGAGCGAAACAATGTCTTGAAAAAAAATAAAAAATAAAAAATTCTACAACACAGGGTTATTATTTTTCCATTTTTGTTTTCCCTTATGAGTTTAATATGTTTAGATTATAAACCTGAAAGCTTGAATACCTATGTCTATCTTTTGTTTTCTTATGTTTATCAAGTTATTCCTTTAAACATTTTCTAAACTGTAAGAATAATGTGAGGCTGGGCTCAATGGCTTATGCCTGTAATCCCAGTGCTTTGGGAGGCCAAGGTGGGAGGACCACTTGAGGCCACGAGTTCAAGATTAGCCTGGCTAGGCAACATAGCAAGACCCTATCTCTATAAAAAAATTAAAAAAATTAGCTGGGCATGGTAGCAAATGCTTGTAGTCCCAGCTACTCAGCAGACTGAGGTAGGAGGAATGCTTGAGACCAGGAATTTGAGTGACCTATGATTATGCACTCCAGCCCGGGCAATAGCAAGACCCTATCTCTTAAAAGAAGAAGATGTAGTAATAATACATATTCATTATAACTATTTTACCATTGAAAGTAAAAAATGAGTTTTTACCTTTTCCCAGTCCCATCCTCAGAATGGGGATCTCAGTAGACCTTTAGGATTGGAAGAATGAGATCATTCATATTTTCTGCAATTATTACCCCACAAAATATTTCAGATACCTTTCCATGTATTACAAACAATGTGCATTTAACATGTCTCTCTCTTTCTCTCTCTCTCTGTGTGCGTCTTCATGATCCTCTGTTGCAGCCCTGCCAGTAAGACACTATCTCCTGAAGAATCACTGATAGGAACAGAAAGTGGACTGGCTAGGCCAGGAGTCCTTAGCTTCTTAGGGGGCAGGAGCTGCTTTGTGCTTTCTCAGAATCAGATATATATGTGGACTGAAACATTTAAAAACAGAATAGCCAAGGGTGCTATACGTTTAAAACTTATATAGATGGGGCTACATTGCTCTCTATTACTAATTTCCCATGACAATACACGAGAGTGCCATGTCTTTTTAACTTGTTTTGAGCACAGACTAATCTTGTTTATGCATGTTTTTTGATGAGAATAGGCTACTCATGAGAAATCTGTAAACCTAACACTAGTCCCTTGCATACTCTAAATTGTTGCTAGAATCTTAAAATTTTAGCACCAGACGGACCTTAGAAATCATTAACTTTGGTGCTTTGTTCTACAATACAAGGAGATGGAATATTTTACCCAGGATTGCTTAGCAGGTTACAGTTCTGCCCTCTGAGTACCCAGCACTTCCCTGTGGGCAACATCAACTTCCTGATTTTCAAGTCTTAATTAGTACTCTGAAGAATCCTACTTGTTTTTAACTCCCATTTGCTTTGAAGTGACTTTACCTGATTTTTTTAGATCCCTTATTGCAGCAATGCCACTAAGAAACTGAGTCTCTAGCTTCTTGGTGGGCAGGAGCTGCTTTGTGCTTGCTCAGAATCATCCTTTTCAGTAAGGGAGATATTGAAGAGAAATCTACTGAGGAGTCTGGGGGTGAGGCACTCAGGGAAATCCTGCTCCAGTCCACAAAAGCAGAGAGGAAGGGTTGGTTACCTAGAGTATTTAACATGCAGAGGCTTTGGATTTTACTCCTTTAATCCTTGGAAATGCCTATGGAAGGGGAAAGGAAGTAAGATGGTGACTCCAGCTTATAGACATACTAGTGTTACATATATTTAAACTATAATAGGAGGGTATTATTAGTTTTACTTAACTTTCAACTGTGAAGGATTATACTTCTCAATATTTGTCTCCAGTGTCTATTTCAGTGTATTTTTCACTTTTCTTGAAGCAGCATGTCTGTTGCAAAACTTCTAGAAATAATGAGAATATTTATATATTAGATCAAGCCATAACTTGATGATATAGTCATTTCTTCTTATATTTTTTACTTACATTTTTACATTTTAATGATTACTTTCATTTTTGAAAAACATGTCATGCTGAGATGTATTTTTCTTCATTCTGTAATTAGTTATGAAACAGTTTTTCCTAAAATGCTGAGTATATCAAGTCTTGGCTAAGAATAAGTAATAAATATTTGCCACATGAAAGACTACACATATAGCCAGGTGCAGTGGCTTGCACCTGTTTTCCCAGCTACCCAGGAGGCTGAGGCAGGAGGATTGCTTGAGCCCAGGGTTTCCAGGCTGCAGTGAACTATGATTGTACCACTCTACTCCAGAATGGGTGACAGAGCCAGGCCCCATCTCTCAAAACAGAAAAGAAAGATTACATAGACTACATATACACCCCCATCCAAAACATACACACACATCTACTTAACCTAAAATGGTAAGAAGATAACTTCTTATTTTCTAATATATGACACAGAAAAGTTTTTTTAAAGTAGTTTTAAATTTTTAATTTTTTCTAGGTATTTCTCAAGCCATGTTCCCATGTGGTATCTTGTCAACAAGTTGAGGTGGAACCCCTCTCAGCAGATGATTGGGAGATACTGGTAAAGAAAACCAAATAAGAACTATCTCATTTAAGGTTAAATTACTTCACAATATCAATGTCTTTAGCTTTCTCTAAGCTTTATTATATATTCTGAGTTGGTTTTGAATTATAAGAATGAATTGGGGCCAGGCACAGTAGCTCATGCCTATAGTCCCAGCACTTTGGGAGGCCAAGGCAGGTGGATTGCTTGAGTCCAGGAGTTCAAGACCAGGCTGGGCAACATGGTGAAACCCCGTATCTACTAAAAATACAAAAATTAGCCAGGCATGGTAGTGCATGCCATTAGTCCCAGTCACTTGGGAGGCTGAGGCAGGAGAATCGCTTGAGCCCGTAAAGTCAAGGCTGCAGTGAGTCAGGATCTTGCCATTGTACTCCAGTCTGGAAAACAGAGTGAGACCTTGTCTCAAATAAAAAAAGAATGAATTGATAGAGATCTAATGTACAACCTGACAACTATAGGTAATAAAATTGTATTGGGGATTCATGTTAAATGAGTAGATTTTAACTACTCTTACCACAAAAACACAAAAGTGGGTAACTGTGAGATGATGTATATGTTAATTTACTTCACTATAGTAACCATTATACTATCTATATGTAGCTCATAACACCATGTCGTGTATATTAAATATGCACATTAAAATTTGTTTTTTAAAAAAAGAATTGAGATTTTTTTTAACTAGATATGGAGTGGACAAAATGTAAAGTGAATTGATCTTTTCGTCTGTTGGTTCTAGGAGCTGCATGCTGTTTCCCTTGAACAACATCTTCTAGATCAAATTCGAATAGTTTTTCCAAAAGCCATTTTTCCTGTTTGGGTTGATCAACAAACGTACATATTTATCCAAATTGGTAGGTGCTATTGTAATATTTGCTGTCATATTCTACACTATAGCATTGAGTCCAAAGTAGAAATGAATGTGCACTAATGAGCTTTATTTTCTACACAGTTGCACTAATACCAGCTGCCTCTTATGGAAGGCTGGAAACTGACACCAAACTCCTTATTCAGCCAAAGACACGCCGAGCCAAAGAGAATACATTTTCAAAAGCTGATGCTGAATATAAAAAACTTCATAGTTATGGAAGAGACCAGAAAGGAATGATGAAAGAACTTCAAACCAAGCAACTTCAGTCAAATACTGTGGGAATCACTGAATCTAATGAAAACGAGTCAGAGATTCCAGTTGACTCATCATCAGTAGCAAGTTTATGGACTATGATAGGAAGCATTTTTTCCTTTCAATCTGAGAAGAAACAAGAGACATCTTGGGGTTTAACTGAAATCAATGCATTCAAAAATATGCAGTCAAAGGTTGTTCCTCTAGACAATATTTTCAGAGTATGCAAATCTCAACCTCCTAGTATATATAACGCGTCAGCAACCTCTGTTTTTCATAAACACTGTGCCATTCATGTATTTCCATGGGACCAGGAATATTTTGATGTAGAGCCCAGCTTTACTGTGACATATGGAAAGCTAGTTAAGCTACTTTCTCCAAAGCAACAGCAAAGTAAAACAAAACAAAATGTGTTATCACCTGAAAAAGAGAAGCAGATGTCAGAGCCACTAGATCAAAAAAAAATTAGGTCAGATCATAATGAAGAAGATGAGAAGGCCTGTGTGCTACAAGTAGTCTGGAATGGACTTGAAGAATTGAACAATGCCATCAAATATACCAAAAATGTAGAAGTTCTCCATCTTGGGAAAGTCTGGGTTAGTATAAATTTTATAACTTGGGAGAAATTTTATGTGGCTTAAACATCCCCAAATTATGAATTAGAATAGTATTTCATATATAAATTGAAAATCAATTAAAAAGAAACACAGTGCCTAAAGGCACTTGGGGGACACATTTACGCTTTGCAGTAAAGTCCTTGTTTGGATAAAGATTGTATGTTTTCTGGCCAAGTAAGCTTGAATAGGTACAAGCTTAGATAGGTTCAGGCCAGAGAGGTCAAAATTACTTGCCTGAGATTGCATAGCTAGTGTTACAACTAGGATTCAAACCCAGGCAGATTGACTTGGGGGTTCATCAGGATGGAGTGCCCTACAAAGCCTCCCATCTTTAATGCTTGCAGATTTGTTCCCCAGTTACCGAAAGCAACTTGTTAATATTAGGGAAAAGGGCCAGTGTAGGGAGAGATCCATGGCATGAGGTAACCTTCCTGCTGCATGTGGTGGCACCTGGATTGGAATGCATCCAGGAGCTGCTTACCCTGCCGGTGTCTGCTCTTTAATTTGTGTATAACGGAGAGGAAGTAGACAGGGCAACTAGTGCTCCAGCCCCTCATCCTGGCCACAAATATTAATGCTACCTTTATATGACATAAGTCACTAGTCCATTTATTGGAACCTAAATTTGAACCACTGTAAAGTAAGACTTCATAGTGATAAAGAGAGGAACTTGTTAGGAAAGAGAATAAAATAGAAAGAGAAGGTTGTCTCCTTTTGTAGATTTTTTTTTTTTCTCCAACAGTTTTACCTGTGACCTTTATACAAATAACTGACAAAGCATTAATCTCTTTGGCCTACATCATTTTCTTTTCTATTTTTTTTTTCCACAAGATGGAGTTTCACTCTTCTTGCCCAAGCTGGAGTGCAGTGGCATGATCTGGCTCACTGCAACCTCCGCCTCCCACGTTCAAGTGGTTCTCCTGCCTCAGCCTCCTGAGTAGCTGGGACTACAGGCATGCACCACCACGCCTGGCTAATTTTTTGTATTTTTAGTAGAAACTGGGTTTCACCATGTTAGCCAGCCTGGTCTGGAACTCCTGACCTCAGGTGATCTGCCTGCCTCGGCCTCCCAAAGTGCTGGGATTACAGGCATGAGCCACTGCTCCTGGCCGGCCTACATCATTTTCTAAAGCTCCAGACCATTCTTTTCTTTTCTTTTCTTTTCTTTTCTTTTCTTTTCTTTTCTTTTCTTTTCTTTTTTCTCTTCTCTTCTCTTCTCTTCTCTTCTCTTCTCTTCTCTTCTCTTTTCTTTTCTTTTTTTGAGTTAGAAGCTTGCTTTGTTGCCCAGGCTGGAGTGCAGTGGCACCACCTCCACTCACTACAACCTCCACCTCCCAGGTTCAAATGATTCTCCTGCCTCAGCCTTCAGAGTAGCTGGGACTACAAGTGTGCGCCACCACTCCTGGCTAATTTTTGTATTTTTAGTAGGGACGAGGTTTCACCATGTTGGCCAGGCTAGTCTTGAACTCCTGGTCTCAAGTGATCCGCCTGCCTCAGTCTCCCAAGGTGCTGGGATTACAGGCGTGAGCCACTGTGCCTGGCCTCAGATCATTATTTTCTGTTAGCTTTAAACTGTCCGTTCAGGAGATCCCACTGCATCCTCAAATTCAAAATATCTAACACTGAGCTTATGATTTAGCTGGTTCTGTCATTAGATGGGAATATCCTTTTATTTCCTTGAAATTATATGGTGAGAACAGGGAGAAGTGCTGATGGTAAAGTCCTGTGATTAAGATAGCAATAAGGACTCCGCCCTTCCCACTCCACTGAAGGTTGAAGAGCCATGGACAATGAGAAGTCACAGTAGGTGAAATCAGGTACTAAAATGGACTTGGCTTGAGAGATCAAAATTGATCACTTGGTGATACAACTAACAAATTCATGTTAACTTGAACCTTTATTACCCTGTGAAGCATGGTGATTAAAAAAAAACAACAAACAAACAGGAAACTTGATTGTTAAATTCTCTTTAAGTCAGAATATGTACCTTAGAGTTTTTATTTATGCTTTTGTCTACCATTAATATGTCTGCACCTGCTCTTTAGAAGTTAATAGAGAGTAAAGTCGTCTTTATGTCTTTCAGTGCTTACTTATATTTGGGAAGTTGAGAAAAATTTTTAACATCATTATTGATATATATATATATATATATATATATATATATATATATATATATATATATATATAGATAATTTTTTTTTTTTTCTTGAGACGGAGTCTCACTCTGTCGCCCAGGCCGGAGTGTGGTGGCGATCTCCACTCAATGCAAGCTCTGCCTCCCAGGTTCAAGCGATTCTCTTGCCTCAGCCTCCCGAGTAGCTAGGATACAGGCTCCCACCACCACGCCTGGCTAATTTTTGTAGTTTTAGTAGAGACGAGGTTTCACCATATTGGCCACGCTGGTCTCAAACTCCTGACCTTGTGATCCGCCCACCTCGGCCTCCCAAAGTGCTGGGATTACAGGCGTGAGCCACTGCGCCCGGCTGAGGTAAAATTTAAAGTGTACAATTCAGTCATTTTTAGTATATTTATACTAGTTGTACAGCCATCACCACAATCTAAGTTTAGAACATTTTCATTAGGGGGTGGGAGAAATTTTACTCTGCTTTTTAGATTAAGTTTCTGTCTGGATCTAATCATTTAATCAGACAATCAGGCAGATTGTCTGTGATTAGTTTTGGCCATTCCAGCTTCTTCATTGGTTGTTAACTTTCACAAATAAAGGCTGCTCAAAGATTAGAAATAACATTTAATTTGAATGTAAATGTGCCATAGTTTAAAAGATGGGTTTGGTGAATACAGTCAAATACATACATTTAAAGCTCTAATTCTGAAGATTATGTAAAGAAAAGGAAAGAAATGTAGGGAGAGGATTGAAATGTTCATGGTATAACAATATCTGAACATCCATCTGGTCACACCGTTGGTATTTGAATGTTTTGTCCTCCTCAAATTCATATGTCGAAATCCCAACTCCCAAGGTGATCGTATTAGGAGGTGTGGTCTTTGGGAAGTGATTAGGTCATGAAGGTGAAGCCTTCATGAATGGGATTCGTGCTCTTATAAAAGAGAACTGTGAGAAATAAGTTTCTGTCGTTTGTTAGCCACCCAGTTTAGGATATTTTGATATAGCAGCCTGCATGGACTGAGACAACTATGAGTTATTATGATAGCTTCTGTTATTTCACCTAAATTCATAGAAGCTAATATATCAATATTTATGCTATGAAATATTTCTTAACCAAGCTTTGAATATATTTATATTTTTGTTTATTTTTAAATTTCAGATTCCAGATGACCTGAGGAAGAGACTAAATATAGAAATGCATGCCGTAGTCAGGATAACTCCAGTGGAAGTTACCCCTAAAATTCCAAGATCTCTAAAGTTACAACCTAGAGAGAATTTAGTGAGTTCAAATATATATGTTACATCAAAATTCTTTTACACGTTTTGTAAGATTTCTAGTTGCTTTAGCTAAGTAATAAGAATGTTGTATTCCTTTTTGATACAAATCTTTTTTTATTGTGTTAAACTATATATAACATAAAATATGCCATGTTCGCCATTTTTAAGTGTATAATTCAAAGGCATTAATTACATTCATAATATTGTACAACCATCACCACTATCTATATCCAGAACTTTTCCATCACCCCAAAGAGAAACTTGGTACCCATTAAACAATAATTCCCCGTCCACTCCTTTCCCCAGTCCCTGGTAATCTCTAATGTATATTGTGTCTCTATGAATTTACTTATTCTAGATATTTCATATATAAGTAGAAGTATGCATTTGTCTTATGTATCTGACTTATTTCATTTAACATAATGTTTTCAAGGCTCATCTGTGTTGTATGTATCAGAATGTTATTCCTTTTCATGGCTGAATACTATTCCATTGACTGCATATACCACATTTGTTTATCCATTCATCTGTTGATGGACACTTGGGTTGTTTCCACATTTTTGGCTGCTGTGAATAATGCTACAGTGAACATTGGTGTACAAGTATCTGTTTGAGTTCCTCTTTTCAGCTCCTTTGGGATATACCTAGGAATTATGTTTAACTTTTTGAGAAGCTGAGAAATCTTTAATAAATGATAACACAAATACTTATATTTGCCAATGCAAATATGAATATTTTTGGCTTTTAAGAGATTGATCATTTTGCCACGTGGTTGTAATTAAAAAAAATTGTCCCATGTTGTTTCAGTATTAATATTGTAGCCTAAAAGAGTGCTAGACTGTTTTACTTTTTACTCAGTTAATTCTTTGGATACTGGTAGAGTCAGGAAATGAGATATTGAACTTAAAGATCTTTGCAGGTGGGGTCCAGTGGCTCACACCTGTAATCCTAGCACTTTGGGAAGCTGAGGTGGGAGGATTGCTTGAGGCCAAGAGTTTGAGAATAGCCTGGGCAACATAGCAAGACCCCATCTCTACAAAAAAATTAAAAAAAAAATTAAGCCAGGCGTGGTAGCTCACGCCTGTTATCCCAACACTTCGGGAGGCTGAGATGGGTGGATCACTTGAGGTCAGGAGTTGGAGACCAGCCTGGCCAACATGGTGAAACCCCATCTCTACTAAAAATACCAAAATTATCGGGGCGTGGTGCTAATCCTGTAATCTCAGCTACTCAGGAGGCTGAGGCAGGAGAACCACTTGAACTGAGGAGGTGGAAGTTGCAGTGAGCCTAGATCTCACCACTGCACTCCAGCCTGGGTAACAGAGCGAGACTCTATTTCAAAAAAAGTAAAAATAAAAATTAGACACATGTGGTGGCACATGCCTGTAGTCCTAGCTACTCAGGAGGCTGACTGAAGTGGGAGGATCTCTTGAGCCCAGGAGTTCCACACTGCAGTGAGCTATGATTGTGCCACTGCACTCCAGCCTAGGCAATATCTCAAAAAAAATTTTTTTAAATAGATTATTAGGCCAGACGTGGTGGCTCATGCCAGTAATCCCAGCACTTTGGAAGGCCAAGGCAGGCGGATCACCTGAGGCCAGGAGTTTGAGACCAGCCTGGCCAACATGGTGAAACCCCATGTCTACCAAAAATACAAAAATTAGCTGCAATGTCTATAATCCCAGCTACTTGGGAGCCTGAGGCAAGCGAATCGCTTGAACCCGGGAGGCAGAGGTTGCAGTGAGTGGAGACTGCGCCACTGCACTCCAGCCTGGGCGATACAGCGAGATTCTGTCTCAAAGAAAAAGGAATTTGTTTTCCTGTCTTTATCGTAGAGGGAGGAAAGGGAGAATGGGGTTGGAATGGTTATTGAGTGAGCCACATTATGGTAGATGTATCACTGGGCATAGAGAAAAGGAGCATTTAAAACTTTTCCGCCTAACAGATGTTTCTTCAGGCTACACTGCACTCATTGTGCTAACTGTAATGTCAAATCCCAGACCTGTGCCTATAGAACATGAACATCCTTCATTGGATTTGTTTGGTCAGGCTTACACTTTATTAGGAAGATCAGATGTTAAAATAAGGGTGTTAAAGTTAAGTTCAGATATGAGGATAATTCATTACTATTCCTTTTTCTGGCAGCCTAAAGACATAAGTGAAGAAGACATAAAAACTGTATTTTATTCATGGCTACAGCAGTCTACTACCACCATGCTTCCTTTGGTAATATCAGAGGAAGAATTTATTAAGCTGGAAACTAAAGATGGTGAGTACATTTGTTATTTTGACTTTTTTTTCTATTTAAATAGTTGTACATTTTTAATTGTTCTTGCAACCTGTCATACCTGTGAACAGTATGTGAATAGTGAAATATAATTATGATAATTAAACAGTAGTTTTTATGTATTGAAAAATATCTTTGGCCGGGTGCAGTGGCTCATGCCTGTAATCCCAGCACTTTGGGAGGCCGAGGCAGGCGGATCACTTGAGGCCAGGAGTTCGAGAGCAGCCTGCCAACATGGCGCAACCCTATCTATACAAAAAAATACAAAAATTAGCCTGACATAGTGGTGTATGCCTGTAGTCCCAGCTACTTGGGAGGCTGAGGCAGAAGGATCACTTGAGCCCAGGAGGTCTGTGTTCCTGCCACTGCACTCCAGCCTGGGCAGCAGAGTGAGACCCTGTTGGGGGGAAAAAAAAAAAAGTCTTTAACTTAAATAAATTTGACATTTAAAATCTTAAATTATTTCATCTCTGTTTCAGTACTAACTCTGCATTTATTACTTTCTTTTTAATAGGACTGAAGGAATTTTCTCTGAGTATAGTTCATTCTTGGGAAAAAGAAAAAGATAAAAATATTTTTCTGTTGAGTCCCAATTTGCTGCAGAAGACTACAATACAAGTAATAGCATGTTATTGAATATTTAATAAAATACTATTTGTTACATATGATTGATAATAAAGTATGAAGTTCCTTGTAACACCTTGCATTGTGAAGTGTATTAAAAACCTGCTAAGAGTAAGGAATAACTTGATTTAAAATATTTTATTCTGTAATCTCTTTAAATTATCTGTACAAATTATTGACTTAACCTAAATTTAAAAATGAATGCCTTAGCACAATTAAGTTCCAAGAATAGAGTTGATCATGTTAACTGGTAAATGGATCATGATTTAAAATTCTTCTAGGATTGAAACAAATGAAAACGTAGTTTTAAGGGTTTGATTTTTTAAATTCCTATTTTTACATGCAATTTTACTGCACAACCCATCTTATTTTGACAGTTCTTAAATTCGCAACTCTTCAGAAATATTATCAGATCACTTTTCTTTGCTTCCATAAGTTTTTTTATTATTATATTATTATTTTTTTTTTTTAAAAGACGGTGTCTCACTTTGTCGCCCAGGCTGGAGTGCAGTGGCATGATCATGGCTCACTGCAGCCTCGACCTCCCAGGCTCAGGTGATTCTCCCACCTCAGCCTCCCAAGTAGCTGGGACCACAGGCGAATGCCATGATGCCTGGCTAATTTTTGTATGTTTTGTAGAGATAGGGTTTCACCATGTTGCCCAGAATTGTCTTGAACTCCTGGGTTCAAGCAGTTGTTCTGCCTTGCCCACCCAAAGTTGTGGGATTACAAGTGTGAGCCACTGCGCCCAGCTATTCTAGAAGTATTTTAAGAGTCATCTTTTTTTTTTTTTTGAGATGGAGTCTCACTCTGTCACCCAGGCTGGAGTGCAGTGGCACACTCTCGGCTCACTGCAACCTCCACCTCCTGGGTTCAAGTGATTCTCCTGCCTCAGCTTCCCTAGTAGCTAGGATTACAGGCGCATGCCACCATGCCCTGCTATTTTTTGTAGTTTTAGTAGAGACGAGATTTCACCATGTTGGCCAGGCTGCTCTTGAACTCCTGACCTCAAGTGATCTGCCCTCCTCAGCCTCCCAAAGTGCTGGGATTCTAAGTGTAAACCACCACACCCAGCCAAGAGTGGTCTTTTTACAATATTATTTTTTGATTAGGACATTCATTCTTGTCATAAAATTGAAGATACTCTAGTCATTTAGAATTTCATTGTTTTGGAACTAGACATTGTTTCTTTATTTTTGAAATGTTATTGAAGGAATACCATTTGGAGAAGATACAAATGTAAGAATTGTGAAAAGGATAATTGTGACACAAATCAAAATTATAGATAAAAATATACCTGTAAAATGTATTAAGGCAATAACATTCTTTCTGCTTGTTGACCATAAATATTTATATTCCCTGGATGGGTACATTGTTATTGTCAAGGGTGTTTAAATAATGATCTTGCATGCATAATTTATTCTCTCTGGTATAACAGAATCAGCAATTTAGTTTTCTGGGACCCGAGAAAAACATGCAAAAGACATACTTTGAAATGTAAAACTGATTTTTCCTTGCAACTGTAGGTCCTTCTAGATCCTATGGTAAAAGAAGAAAACAGTGAGGAAATTGACTTTATTCTTCCTTTTTTAAAGCTGAGCTCTTTGGGGTAAGAAGTTATGGCCAAACTAGCATGTTAGACATGTTTTTAACACTATATCTGGCAGAGTTTTCAATGTAAATATTAAAGTAGATGTTAATGTCAATAAGTGATCTTAATAATGCATCAGTAGATATTTTTTCAAGGATTGTCTCTATCTTCACGCCTAGCTTATAATTTGCCTTGTCGTCTTTTTTTTTTTCTCTTTATTTTTATGTTTTTATCCATCCCTGGTGGTAGGGGATAACCTTGTCTTCTTCGATAACAAGAAGTCTGAAGCTTATTAGAAATTTTACTTTGAGAATTGATCGATGAGAAGAAAGCAACTAGATATCACGTGGATCATATATGCTTGAATAAAACAATAATTCTTAGAACAAATAAATACATTTTAAAAGTTAAAGCCAAAAACATTAGTTGAATGTTTAAAAATATTTCAAATTAAGTTATTCCTTCACTGTCTTGTATTACTGTAATAATTTGGATTATTTGTGTTTTTCTCAACTTTTAAAACAAATATTTAAAAAATTCCTCTTTTGATTAAGTAGGGCTAGATAAAATATAAAAAATATTTTTTAAACTCCTCTTAATTTCCATATTTCTTATATAATATGAGAATCTCTTATAAACACTACCTCTTAGAAGTCTCCACAGAAGCTTTGGTAGATGTAGTAGTAGGGATTTGATTTCTTAGAATGGTATAATCTGTAAATGTTTTAGTAAAAGGATTAAACGATAAAGTCAAAATGTTTATAGCACAGTGTTTATTAATATAAAATAAAATCTCTTTTTTTTTTTTTGAGATGGACTCTCACTTTGTCACTCAGGCTGGAGTGCAGTGTTGCAATCTCAGCTCATTGCAACCTCCGCCTCCTGGGTTCAAGCAATCCTTCCGCATCAGCCTCCTAAGTAGCTGGGATTACAAGCATGCACCACCACACCTGCCTAATTTTTTGTATTTTTAGTAGAGATGGGGTTTCACCATGTTGGCCAGGCTGGTCTCAAGTGATCCGCCTGCCTCAGCCTCCCAAAGTGCTGGGATTACAGGCGTGAACCACTGTGCCCAGCATAAAGTAAAATCTCTTCAGACTCTCATGTGATCATGTAAAGTGGCAGGCAGTCACAGTCAAGAAGTAGTTTAAAGTTCATGTTTGTAAAATATAATCTACAGATTGATACTGGATTTCATAGGTAATGTTTAAGAGAAAATAAGTTTTTAGTTATCCTCAGTACTTCAAAAGCACCCATTTATGATTATGTTGATTACTAAACTAAATCATTTGGGGGCTAGAGGTGTTTTTTTATGTGTTAAGATTCCTTAAGGAGTTCTATTAGGGCAAAACTTTTAGTAACTGCATATTTTAAAAGTAATAAAACTAATTTTAAAAGCTTGGAGGCTGGGCGCGGTGGCTCACACCTGTAATTCCAGCACTTTGGGAGGCCAAGGCGGGTGGATCACTTGAGGTCAGGAGTTTGAGACGAGCCTGAGCAACATGGTGAAACCTTGTCTCTACTAAAAATACAGAAATTAGCCAGGTGTGGTGGTGGGCACCTGTAATCCCAGCTACTCGGGAGGCTAAGGCAGGAGAATTGCTCGAACTTGGGAGGCAGAGGTTGCAGTGAGCCGAGATCATGCCACTGCACTCCAGCCTGGGTGACAGAGCAAGACTCCGTCTCAAAAAAAAAAAAAAAAAAAAGCTTGAAGTCAGATTCGACATTAATCAGTATACTTTCTCTCAAGTAGGGGACAATTTCTAAGATTTTAGTCTTTTAAAATTTATTAACTAGTCTGAGCATGGTGGCTTGTGTCTATAATCCCAGCACTTTGTGGGGCCGAGGCAGATGGATCACTTGAGCCCAGGAGTTGGAGACTAGCCTGGGCAACATGGCAAAACCCCGTCTCTACAACAAATGCACACACAAAAAACCCAATCAGCTGGGTGTGGTGTTACACTCCTGAAGTCCCAGCTACTCGGGAGGCTGAGGCAGGAGGATCACCTTTGCCAGGGCGTTTGAGGCTGCAGGGAGCTGGGTTCACACCACTGCGCTCCAGCCTGGATGACACAGCAAGCCCCTTTCTCAAAAAAAAAAAGATAAAAAATTAAATTAAATTAATTAACTACACTGGGAAGGCAAAATTCAGCATTTTTTTATAGCTAAATTTTATCCTGCTTCAGTCTTTTATCATGTAACTATGTATATTTTTTACAGAGGAGTGAATTCCTTAGGCGTATCCTCCTTGGAGCACATCACTCACAGCCTCCTGGGACGCCCTTTGTCTCGGCAGCTGATGTCTCTTGTTGCAGGACTTAGGAATGGAGCTCTTTTACTCACAGGAGGAAAGGTAAGTGGTTAAGGTGTGTTCATTTTTCTGTAACATTTAATAACTTTTCATTTATCTTTCTTTGGGTTTTGACCATCTATTATATAGGGTGGGTTTTGACCATCTATTATATAGGGTTTATACGACATATGGAAAGCATTCATTTATTCACTAATATTTCTGTGTGTCTGCTTTTAGGTGTTGGGGGAGTGATGACGAATAAGACTGATGTTCT